>NC_000004.12:152860774-153163805 GCF_000001405.40 Homo sapiens | reverse complement strand
AATCGGCTGAGCACGGTGGCTCATTCCTGTAATCCCAACAGTCTGGGAGGCCGAGGCGGGCAGATCACCTGAGGTCAGGAGTTCGAGACCAGCCTGGCCAACCTGGTGAAACCCTGTCTCTACTAAACACACAAAAATTAGCCAGGCATGGTGGCACTCGCCTGTAATCCCAGCTACTCCGGAGGCTGAGGCAGGAAAATTGCTTAAACCTGGGAAGCGGAGGTTGCAGTGAGCTGAGATCATGCCATTGCACTCCAGCCTAGGTGACAGAACAAGACTCTGCCTCAAAAAAAAAAAAAAAAAAAAAAAAGATGTAAATCTAGGTTGGGTGCAGTGGTTCATGCCTATAATTCCAGCACTTTGGGAGGCTGAGGCAGGAAGATAGCTTGAGGCCAGGAGTTTGAGACCAGCCTGGACAACATAGTGAGACCTCATCTCTACAAAACTAATAAATTAGCCAGGCATGGTGGCTCATGCCTGTAGTCCCAGATACTCAGGAGGCTGAGATGGGAGGATTGCCTGAGCCCAGGAGTTGGAGGCTGTAGTGGGCCAAGATTGCGCCCCTGCACTCCAGCCTGGGCAACAGAGCAAGACCCTGTCTCAAAGAAAAAAAAATGATGTAAATCTAGAAATGGATCCCATTATAATTTTAGAGAAGCAATAATCTACAAGTTTCAGATATTTACAGTAACCACTGAGTTGCATTAAATCAACTAAACAAAGCAGTCAAATGTGGCTACATACACTCAGGTAAAGGTTATTTTTTTCCCACAAATTCTTAGAAAAACTAGGGTCTTACATGATAGGATTCCACTTCCAAAAAATCTTACCTCTTAGAAAGACACCCTTTTCACCCTCAGTTCTGGAGAGCATGGTCCATGTCCCAACCTGTTTCTTTAATTCACATAATTCAGTGGTAACTGATCACTTGGACACAAGTGGCCACATGAGAATTCCCCTCAGGTGGCATCTTGGGTTCAAGCCCTATAGTCTGTTGGTGCTGCCTCACTGGAAAGAAGAGCTCTTCCTATTACTGAGGTGTGGTATAACTCAAGGCTACAACAGAGGCCAATGCCTGAAGTCCACTTGCTCTGCCACAGTTCAGAAACTACTGTTTCTTATTTACTCATTCACTCATTGTAATGGCTAATTTTATGTGTCTATGTGCCTGAGCCATGCAGTGCCCAGATATTTGGTCAAACATTATTCTGGGTATTTCTATGGGGGTCTTTTTGCCTGAGATTAGCGTTTTCATCAGTAAAGAAGATTGCCCTCCATAATGTGGGTGGATCTTATTTAACTAATGCAGGTGTCACTAGAACAAAAGGATGAATGCTTTCCTGTGTAAGAGAGAACTTTCCAGCAGATGGTCTGTGGACTTCAGCTGAAGCATCAGCTCTTTCTGACTGAAGGCCTTGGAATTGGAACTCTGGCTTTCCTTGGGTCTCTAGCATGCTGCCCCATCCTACAGATTGGACTTGTCTATCTCCATAATCATATGAGCCAATTCCTTATAATAAATCTCTGTATATATCAATATCCATATCATCTATATCTATATCATCTATATATCTATATGTATATATTTCCCACTGGTTCTGTTTTTCTGGAGAACCCTGATACACTCAATCCAAACAAGTATTTCTTGAAGATGTACTATATGCCAAGCAGTAAGCTAAATGACTAAATGCCAGAATAAAGAGTTAAAACTACAGTCCTTACCCTTGAAAGTTTAGAAATTTGGCAAGAATGCAGACAACAGAAAGCTTTTCCTTAAAGTAAGCTGGCCAAATTGGTCCCACGCAGAGAGAATGTACACACGAATTTCATTTCGGAGGTTTATGCTTAATCATAATCAGAGTCTGGCCATATTTGCTTAAGCACTCATTTTTTTCTAGTGGATGGAAGTTTCCAGTGAAATATTGCAACTTTATGTTCCCTAATAAGTTAGCTGCAGAGGACAATTGTACATTGATTTGCTCTTGATCCATGGAGCAATCCTTGCTAATGCTTTTGTGTGAGTCTTAGACATAATTGACCACCTTGGAATACTGCCCAATATTCAGTCATCTAGGAAATTTGTTGGACCTGCCTTGTAGCAGTTGGCCTGTGAGAACCAAAGGATACAAAGAAAACTAATAAGTGTACTAGCGTTGTCTGTGAGAGTTCTTTGAGCACGAAGCACTCACTAAGCAGGGAACTCCAAGGGGAGCAGAATATTCCCAAGGATTCTGCTGTGCATCATGTCATATGCAGAGTATATCAGGAAAAGCAACGGCTTTAAATTCAGACAGACATGACTCCAACTCCTGCACCTGCTTTTTAACAGCTAGCGACTTTGCAAATGTACTCAATCTCTCTAAGTCTCAGTTTTCTCATCTCTAAAACGAGGATAATAACTTTTCATAGGATAACTGTTAAGGCTGAATGGGATCATGCATGCACAGTGACAAGAATGATGCCTACCATATAGCACGTACGTTCAATTCATGGAGGTTCTTTCTAGCACAAAGCTTTTGTGTATATTTGATTCATCTCTGTGCTTGTAAAAGCAGTAGGGGCTGGTTATAAACATTTGCTTGCAAAGTGTTTCTGTATAAATACAGTCTCCATCTCAAAATTTAGTATTACGTTCTTAGAACAAACAAGCTATTTTAGTTTAAAGTACAACAAAATCTTTGTTCCTTAGAATACTAGAGAATGAGCAGTAAATGGGTGTCCAAAGAGGCTGGCCAATGAAGAGTTAATCACTTTGGCAAGATGAGCATGCCTAGTCTTCCTCTCCCTCCCAGGGAAACATAAAAATCAATTGAAAGAACAGAAATTGAAGTCATTATTGTTTGTGAGCCAGAGAGCTAGCTCCCAACCCTCCCCTCCCCTTTTTAAAAATGAAGCCTGGCCAGGCATGGTGGCTCACGCCTGTAACTGCAGCACTTCGGGAGGCTAAAGCAGGAGGCTCAGATCACTTCGGCCCAGGAGTTTGAGATCAGCCCCGGGCAACATACAGAGACCCTTGTCTCTATGAAAAAAATAAATTTTAAAAATTAGCCAGGTGTGGTGGTGCATGCCTATAGTCCCAGCTACTTGGGAGGCTGAAGTATAAGGATCGCTTGAGCCTGAGAGGTTGAGGCTGCAGTGAGCCATGATCACATTACTGTACTCCAGCTTGGGCAACAGGGTGGGAACCTTGTCTCCAAACAAACAAACAAACAAACATCCCTTGAAGCCTAGATGGCCAGCATGGTGGCTCATGCCTATAATCCCAGCACTTTGGGAGGCTGAAGTGGGAGGATGCCTTGAGGCCAGGAGTTCAAGATCAGCCTGGACAACACAGTGAGTCCCCATCTCTTTAAAATGAGGCCTGGAAAACTCTAAAAATCCCAGTAGTAGCTCACAAGACTTATTTGTTTCCTTTGGAGAAGCTAATGAGATTGGTGATTTTTGCTCGCCTGTCTCAAAAGCGCTTATTTCTAGAACCTTGAAGCTTTGTTGAATCTCCGATTCATCTTTGTGCTTGTAAAAGCAGTAGAAAAGTGTTAGATAACACAGCTTACTCTACTCAATTATAATGCTTAACAAAGACTAACTTAAGGGAATTAAGGAAAGGGGAGAGGGAAAGCAGGGGAAATTTTCAGAGAAATATTTCGCTTAGAAGGTCATAAAAAGATGGTTCAAAACTGCAGTGTAAAGATTGTAACTGACTCATATTCTAAAAATTGCACTAAACAGTTCAGGGAAGTTGTAAAATAGAGATATAACAATGGAAACATTACTCATCACCAAACCAAAAGCATAGCAAAGTTGTAACTCTTACTTAAAATAGCTAAAAATAATGGGTTGTGGGAAAATGTTCAAGAATAATATACTAATGGAAATAGACGATCCTACGTATTTGATAAATATTTTCAAGTACTGAATTTTTTCAAAGTTTATTTCTCGTGGCATCAAATAGTAGGCATAGCTTATTACATAATTAAACTCGGAGCTACTGTTAGCTCTTCAGAAAGGCTGGAGATAACACAATGCTGACCATAAACCACATGGTTTACTGACAAACCATCTTGGGAGACAGTCTTCTTACAGATTTAGAAAAGTATATTCAAATTTTCATGAATCTTTTCAAGTATTAAAGTTTGAGTTACAAGCACAAGAGAGAAGAAAAAAAATCTAAGCAGAGATTCAAATGGTCATATAAGAATTTTTAGGCTGGTGTGGCTCATGCCTGTAATCCTAGCACTTTGGGAGGCTGAAGCTGGAGGATCGCTTGAGCCCAGGAGTTCAAGACCAGCATGAACAATATGGCGAGACCCTGTCTCTTCAAAAAATAATTTAAAAAAATTAGCCGGGTGTGGTAGTGCACACTTGTGGTCCCAGCTACTTGGGAGGTTGACACGAGAGGATCACTTGAGTCCAGAACCAAGCAGCAGTGACCTATGTTCATGTCACTGCACTCCAGCCTCAACAACAGAGTAAGATACTGTCTCTACAAAAAAAAAAAAAAAAAAAAAAGATTTTGTAAAAACTCAATGAACTTCTAATGTAAAGTGGTATAAAAATGCTTTCACTTCCTAAAGCCACCATAGGGTGGCTTCGTATGGTCTTGAGAACAAGTTCAAAGTCCTCATTCTGATATTGAAGTAAGATACAGTTCCGTTTTATGTCTTTGTCCTGAAAAAAATACTCATCACAGACTAATCATCTGTATGCAATGAACAGTGCCGGACACTTTATATCAATTTTCTTTAATCCTTAGAACAACCTGCAATGGCTCAGTTGTTCATTTACAGATAAGAAAATTGAGACACTGCATCTTAAGCAAATTGCTCAAGGTCACACACCTTTGAAATACAAACCCCAACCACCGGTCTCCAAGAAGAAAGCCTGTCTTCTTTCTCCCCATATCAAATGAGTTGCCAAATCCATGCTCCTGCAGCCTTTTGAGCCACTGCTCAAGCTGTTTGCCTTTAGGTGAAAAGTATTTCCACCTTCTCGGCTTACCTTTCCAGTTCTAGATCACCGCTCAAAGCCCTAGAGCCAGCACTCATAACCTGATTGTGTCCAAGAATATCAGTTTCCCCTCTTCTAGCCTTGGTGTAGAACAGGCTATCCGCACCACTTGTCCCAGCATTTGATTAGCCAGTCTAGCACTCCACCTGACACTGTCTTTGTTTTATTTTTTATCTGTTTTTTTTTAATTGTGCAAATCTTTCTTCTAAACATGATGGCAAGAGCTAATGTTTTAAAATTGTCACATGCTTCCTTTGCTTTTTTTCATTCTCAGTAGGAACAAGAGTGATTATTTAACAGATTTAAAGTTTCCTGCATTTTTGTTGCCCATTACATATCACTATACCTTAGGAGGAGAATTTACTTTTTGATTTGCCACTATACAATGATCAAAATAATCTACTTTAAATAAAATTTCCAATGAAATTGTTTTTACAAACCAATTATAGTTCATAGGATTGCATAATTGAGCTTTCCTAATATTCTTACTAATTTCATATAATAAGAATTATTGATCAGGACAGGGATGAATTGAATAGTTGCATTTTAGCCAACAGTATGAAATTTCCCCTTCGTTGATTTTTCTGCTACCACCACAACAAGGTTCAAAGCAATAGACTGGGGTTTTACCTTCTCTCTCTGTCCCTGGACACACTTAAGTAGATCTTCCGTTAAGTAGTCAATTTGTCAAAAAGAAAGAGCCAACAGGAAAGCTCTAGAATAGAGAGGCAACCGGGTAAACTACCTCAAGAAAAAACACAAACTGACTGTGTAAACCCTGGCTGACAAGCTCATAGGCCAAAATTCTCCATAGGGAACCTGTCATTATCAAGCCAGAAATAGTCAGAGCCTGACATTCCAGGTGCCAGTGCAAAGCAGTGGATGGTATTTAACCACTGCCCTGGAAAAGAGGACAGGAATACTGATCCCCAAGGTTGGTCTCATGCCTGAAAGGAGCACGTAGGAAGAACCTTGTGTGCAGCCCATTTTGGGGCACAGCTTTGAGGCTGCTTAGTGGCTCGAAGCAAGGCACTGTGAGACTGTTAAATGGGTGTCAGAGCACCCCACTATTCATCCCCTGCTCCTCAGGATCTGGTCTAGCTGGGGGCAGAGGGTAATGCAGTGGAATGTGCTAATCTATGATTCCAGGAAAAGAATCAACCACATTTTTTACGCAGTCACTAAGAGAGAGGGAGAGAGATTATGCCAGGGTAGAGCATCTCAGCCCGAGCCTATGGTTTTGGCAACTCAAAATTGGGGCTGATGTGGCTTCTGCTCCTCCAAGAAACATATTTCTGTGTTTGACAACCAGAATCCAACCAAACAGCTGGATCTTACTTCCTTTCCTTTTCCCTGGGCCATTTACACATTCTAACTTCAAAACTCCCCTTACCTTCTCATTGATAGTGAAATCTTTGGACCACAAGCCAAAGATTTGACTTTGGAGAACCAAGAGGCTGGCAAAAGGACTGGAGACAGCATGGCCATGGCTTTGGGGTTTTTCTTTTTTTGTGACCTTTGGAGGGGAACCTGACACCTGCTCATAGTCGCTCTGGTTTTGCCTGCTTAGCCTGTGGGAACTGAAAACAGGCAGCTGCTTAAGGATGTTGATTTAATTTATATACAGTGCAACCTTGCTAAACAACACTGTTTTGAACAAAGCTGGCTTCTGTGTATCAGCACTGGAGTAAGTGCCCATCTCTTCTGCGCCACATCTCTGCCACCTTGCACACACAGGTCTCTCTGCCACCCTGGAAGGCTGTCAGTGCCTCATCATTGGGAAAGAAGAGAGGTGTCACCCTGGTCTTAGCACTACAGCAGGGTGGGCAGGCAGGGGCGGGGAATGCTAGAGAGGCAGGTGATCTGCCTTCCTGTTACTTCACCACCTGGCCCCACCATCCAAAGTACAACAGCCCTAACCCACAGGGGAGAGGCAGGGAGAATCCAGTCAACTCTCAGTGCTAGTCCGCCTGGATTTGTTGTACCTCTGGTCAAGATAGTCTTGTCTATGCAGAGAGGTGTCGATTGCTCCTCTTTGGTGATGGAGACATACTATACTCCGTGGCTTGTGTGGCTTAGAGAGGCTAGAGGGAAATTCAAGAGATGAGTGAACTGGGAATTTTAGAGTCTCATTTGTAAGAATCATACTTCAACAATGGTGCTGCTTATAAGCTTATATATATGATCAATCCATACTCCTCCCCTCCCCTGCAAGAGATGGGGCACCAGGAGGCAGCTTCAGGACACTTCCCAGGCCTCCTGAACCCCACTCACCCCATCTACATCACCAGTGGAGGGAGCAAGGGAGCTGTGAGTGGCGGATGTGGGGGAGGTGGCAGGCGTGGTTAAGAATGGTTAGAATTCTCACTGTCTCAGAATCTCCAGGGGGCAGCCTCCTTAATTTACAGCCAGGGTAAGATTAGGGAACTAGAAACGTTCCTTTATTCAAACAATCCAGAGAGATCTATGGAGGGGTAGACACTCGGCCAGGAAGACATGACATGCCTTTAAAAAGACTGAGGCCAAGAGATGTTTCTTCAGGTTAAAAAGAAAGCATCAAATCATAAAACTGAAGCTAGAAGAGGCCCCGGGAGAGCTCCCATTCACACCCGTTACCCACAAAGAAGGCAAAAGTCTGGTTGCAGTTGCCTATCTGGATGAGGGGCCAGCTTCGGCTGGGGTGTTTTGTTCAGCAAGCACGAAACATTTTAAAATGCTTTACCCTTAATTAGTTGCCAACCTCTAAAGATCTGGAGATGTCATATTCACAAATGTAAAAACCAAAAATTCCAGCTTCCCTTGGCAAATCAGAAGATCTGGAGAACATTGAGTGTGGCTCACAGCTGCCTCCTCAGCAAGTGAACCCCAGCAGGTCCTGGCCCTCCTTGGATATCTATGCTCCCTGCCTGGCCCTGCAGTGGTAGACTTTGTCCTCTTAGGCATGGACCAACGTTTCTCTACCTAGTGTTTTGCCTAGGGAGCTCCTAGAACATATCCATACCTGGGCTTATACCAGTTAAGTCAGAATCTTGGAGTCTGGGGAAGGATCCAGGTTCAGAGGAGTTTTTAAGTCCCCAGGTGATTCTAGCCTGCAGCTAGGGTAAAGAATGGCTGGGCTGGGGCCATGAACGGCAGATGATAAATTGTTCACTTCTAGACGCCTCTTGGTGGTTAATTTTACTTTTTCGCCATTTTGTAAGTTTTTCATTATATCCAATCAAAATCTGGTTTTCTCTTACTCCATCCTTCTCAGCCCCTCACACATTTGACAGTAACGAAGTCGCCACTCCACCTTCTCTCCCTAAAACAGCCTCGGTTCTTTTAGTCTCTCCTCTTTCCACCTCATTATTTGATTTCCCCATTCTGAACCCCTTCCCTCCAATTTCTGCATATTCTTTTTAAAGTACAGTGGACAAAATTAAGAACAATACCCTAACCATTATTTTACTAGAGTAGAATTCAGTAGAAGTATTTATTTCTAGTTTTGATATGTCATATGTAATATTTCAGAATCACATTTATTTCTTTTAACAACACTTCTACTTAATCATCATCTGGTTTTTATTAACAAGAAACTCATGTGCAAAAATCTGAGAAACCCCACTCTGAGATGGAAAACCAAAATTTGGGACACATTTTTTCTTTCTTTCTTTTTTTTTGAGACGGAGTCTCACCCTGTTGCCCAGGCTGGAGTGCAATGGTGTGATCTCGGCTCACTGCAACCTCTGCCTCCTGGGTTCAAACAATTCCCCTGCCTCAGCCTCTCTAGTAGCTGGGATTACAGGTGCCCACCATTACGCCTGGCTATTTTTTGTATTTTCAGTAGAGACGGAGTTTCACCATTTTGGCCAGGCTGGTCTTGAACTCCTGACCTCAGGTAATCCGCCTGCCTCGGCCTCCCAAAGTGCTGGGAATACAGGCGTGAGCCACTGTGCCTGGCCAATTTGGGGCAAATTTAAGCACCAAATGTCAAGCATTATTTTTGAGGCAGACAGACATCAATCTTTCCCCAGGGCCATAACCTGATAAATAAAATTAAAGAGACCATATGTGTCCATATGGACACCATGTGTGTACAAGCAATTGGTTAGTGTATTTTTAGGCAAATTCTAAGCTATACTGATTACTACTTTTCTGAGGATTATTATATTTTAATTTTTCCACTTTGTAGTCTTTCTGTCTTTTCTACTTGCTCTCATTAAGCCAATCCTCCAATGTCAGGTTAAAAGAAAAGCTGCTTGGTGGGAGATGGAAGACACGCAGAAATCGTAGCCTATCTCTTAGGCTAGGAGTTAGATATTACTTTGATGGATATCTGATATTATCCTGTTACACCCATTATATGGATGAGGAAACGGAGACCTGGAAAGTTTAAGTAGTTGTTCACTGTTCATTGCTCACACTCCCAACACAGGGTCCTGGCTCTGGTAAGCCCCTCTGGGGAAGGTGAGGTCTTCCATTGGCTATCAGCCCCTGACCGTGGAGGCCAGACACCACATCAAGAAACCTGAGCCTCAGAGACTGCAGTAGTTAGACTTCAGGTCCGCCTGCCTCTGTATCACATATTTGGGCCTCAGCCAAATCAACACAGAAATGCACTTGAAACATTAAACAGGACGTTCTGAAACCACGTGACTCTGTGAAACGCTCCTCGGAACCTTTAGGGAAGGGCCGAGTTTCTTTAAGAAATGTGTAAACGACAGAGACACACACCCTTGCATGATGCCAGCTCTGTAAAATTAAAACCTTGTCTGGAATTAAATATAAAACTGAGTTGAACTTCAAGATTCCTTTTAGCAATCTATAGTAAGGAAAAAAAACCACACCCCCCACACTCATATTTTGGGGAGAAAGGAGGGAATTGAGGTCTTTTCACTTCATGTCTGCCCTCTTAAACCCCTTGTGCGAAGAGAAGGAAGAAACGAGTTCTGGGCGCGGCGAGAGACTGAGGCCTGCAGGGCTCTGAAATCCCAAAGGCGCTGAGATCTCAAAGAAACCCAGACGCGCCCCCTCCGGGGCCCGGACTCAGCGATGCGCGCCGCTCCCTGAGACGCCGCCACGCCCGTGTCCCTGCAGGACCGGCCGCAGCCGCCACTGCGCAGCGCACAAAGGTCCCCACGGGCTGGAACACTGGCCTCATCTCGTTTCGAGCCAACCGTAAAACGCGCCTTCTCTCCATCTTCAAAAAGGGCCGGAAAGATCGGGGGCGGGACGGGGCTGCCTGCCCTGGCTGCCTAGGCCAAGGTTATTTCCTTTGTGTGTGGATCCCCAAAGCATAGGGCGGTTCCAAGCCCGGCGCTGGCAACCCTGCACTCAACGCCCCCGTCTGCAGCCTTCCGGGCTGTCGCCTCCTCGCCAGCGCGCACCACCTCCAGACGAGGCGTGGCGACGCGCGTCTCGGGGCCCTCCCGCAGCCCCGCCGCACGCGCGCCCGCCTCTCCTATCCCTGCCTTTCCGTCCCCGCCACCGGTCTGGAAGCTTTAAGCGCCTAGCCGCCTGCCAGCAGCGCGGGGGACACAGATACTCACGTTTCCAATTGCGTCCCGAAGCGCGCACTGCCCCCGCCGCTGTAATTAGAAGGACAGGAAAGGGCTCTGAGAGCTGCCTTTCAGGCAGCGAGAGGTGACAAGCAGGCGACCAGCTGAAAGCCCCTCATTTTCTGCAAGCTCACTCAAAATGCTCCTCAGTGCCGCCAGCGCAGCTGCCAGGTTTAATAACTGTGTCAGACCGCCCGCCCCTCCCCCACAAGGAGCCACAAAGATGACAGGCGGGGAACTAAATCCGCATGCCTAGCCGCAGTCACCCGGCCTCAGCCCCAGCGACGCCGCCGCTGAAGTGACTGTGCAGGGAAAGACCATGAAAAGGTGCAAATGCCAGCCTTGACCTAGGAATTCTCCAGAGACCACTTCCTTCACTCCGAGCAGAAATCGGATCCTTTTCCCAACAGTATTTCTGAAACAAAACAAGAGGCAGGCGCCTTTCCAGTTAACCTAACATGCATTTCAAATGCAAAAGGCTCTTTCGCAGCAACACTCGTCCCTATTTCTACTGGATTTCTGGGTATCGGTGGGATATTCTGCGCACCATGCAAAGCGTAAGAAGCTCATTCAACTGCTCTGCTCCCGTTTCAGTCGCGCGCACCAACACTCGTGTCTGTCCCCAGGACCCTGGCCAACAGAACCTTACTGTCTGAGGGGGCTCCTTGGCAGTTCCTCGTCGATTTGGACCATTTCCAAAGCACGGGCAGCTCCTTGATAGCGACTCAATCTTGTCAAGCAGGAAGGAATCAGTGGTTCTGTTTTGCAAGTGGAATATCAAAGTAAAGTACTCCACCGAAGTTAGAATTTTATAACATATATATATGTGTGTATATATATATATATATATATACACACATATATATATGTATAAAAAGACTGATCCCGAGCGCACGGCAGCCCGGCGACCACGCCCCAGGCCCCGAGTGCCCCGACTCCGCCCAGAGAGCCCTTCCCCGCGAGGCCCAGCCAGCCGCACCTGCCTCTGCGGGGGGTGGTTTCCCGGGAAACTCCGGAGAGCCTGTTCTCCCTCCAGACACGCGGTTCCCTTGACAACTGCGACTTAGCACTAGGCCTTCTAAGAAGAATGTCCATGAATGCCTGTTTTAAATCACAGATTCAAAGAGATTGACGAGGGTGGTTGGGCAGGAATAAGACGGCAGTGATTTGGGGGAATGGAAGAGGGGCCGCGCGAGCCTGAGTGGGGTCAGTGGCTATCGCAGGCGAGGGACTGCGTCGCTCGCCCTTCCCTACCAGTGAGTTAATACCTGGCTTTAGAATGAATTCCATCATTCCCTTCGGCTTATTTCCTTTTCTCTATTTATTTTCCTTAAGATACTATTTAAACAGTTATTTTGCACTGACAGAGCACTAGCTGGCTCCAGGTAGGAGTGAGGAGAAGCCCATAAAGATGTATGAAACAGAGGTGAGACTTCATGGGAATAATATTTGGCTATAGATGATCTCGTGCACAGAAATTCAAGAATTGTTTCAAATACAGTCTTGCATCATCAGGCCATGATGCTTATGAAATTTCACTCATGATTTCAGTCGGTTTCTATGGAGAAAAGAGGAAGTGTAGATGAGACTATGCATATTTATTAAACATTTAAATGTTCACATGCCACCTGGTTCCTTTTGTTTTGGTTTTGTTGTTGTTTGTTTGTTTGTTGAGACACAGCTTCACTCTATTGCCCAGGCTGGAGTGCAGTGGTGCCATCTTTGCTCACTGCAACCTCCGCCTCCTGGGTTCAGGTGATTCTCGAGTCTCAGCTTCCCGAATAGCTGGGAATACAGGCGTGAGCCACCAAGCCAGGCTAATTTTTGTATTTTTAGTAGCGATAGGGTTTCACCATGTTGGCCAGGCTGGTCTTGAGCTCCTGGCCTCAAGTGATCCGCCCACCTTGACCTTCTCAAGTACAGCTATTACAGGTGTGAGCCACTGCCTGACCTCTATCTTGTTACTTTTGGTTACAGACATATCATACTAATCACACCACAAATAGGCGCTAAAAGGTAAAATGAAACAAGTTAATGAGCTTGCATCTAAGGCATAAGAAGATTGTATATAAAAAAAATTACACATGCCCCGTACTGGTTTATCCTATGATCAATTATGTATTCCGTATTTGAGCTATTAAAAGTTAAAGATCAGTGGCATGTTTGAATTAATGAGATTTTACTATACACATTATGGTAATATGATTATATTAATCTCTGGGTTGAGACTGAAATATGTACATACAAATGCATCCTTTAAAAAGTCATAAATTCATTTCTGAAAAGTTTCACATGCATCCAATTTTCACAAAGCAAGTGATATTTCCATATTCTAGGGAAACGGTTTATGCAAAATAAAACACACAAGAAAATTTCTTCATAAAGCAAAAAAACCTTTTTGTTAAGAAAAATCATGCGTGTAATCCCAGCACTTTGGGAGGCTGAGGCGGGCGGATCATGAGGTCAGGAGATCAAGACCATACTGGCCAACATGGTGAAACCCTGTCTCTACTACAATACAAAAAAAAAAATTAGCCAGGTGTGGTGGTATGCGCATGTAGTCCCAGCTACTCGGGAGGCTGAGGCAAGGGAATCGCTTGAATCTGGGAGGCAGAGATTGCAGTAAGACAAGATCGCACCACTGCACTCCAGCCTGGCGACAAGAGCGAGACTCCAACTCAAAAAAAAAGAAAGAGAAAAATCATCTAATTTCTGTTTTTAAATTTTGTTTATTTATTTATTATTTTGAGATGGAGTCTCACTCTGTCACCCAGGCTGGAGTGCAGAGGTGTGATTCTGGCTCACTGCAACCTCTGCCTCCCAGGTTCAAGCCATTCTCCTGCCTCAGCTTCTCAAGTAGCTGGTGCTCACCACCAAGCCCAGCTAATTTTTGTATTTTTAGAAGAGTCGGAGTTTCACCATGTTGGCCAGGCCTGTCTCGAACTCCTGACCTCAAGTGATCCACCCATCTCAGCCTCCCAAAATGCTGAGATTACAGGTGTGAGCCTGTGCCTAGCCTAATTTCTGTTTTGAAAATTCACATGCTGTATCCTGAATCTGCTTTGAAGCACAAATTTTGTAAACATGTGACACACATGTTTATTTGCAAATGGAGATCCCTAAAGCAGAAATATGTATACCCAGCAATAGAATAGACATCCCTACATAGGCATCTCCTAATACATTTCATGTTTGAGAAAACAGAAAATTCTAAACAGATCATCTTCACTTTTAACAAAAATTAACAATGAACATTGTAGAAGTCAGTTAAAAGATACTAAGAATGCAGTCATTGAAAAATGTCTTTCTAAAGGATAATTAAGAGCAGGACGATTATATTCAGAATATTATATTAACTGATAATATTAAGTGAGATTCAAAACAGTAGATAGTTGTGATTCCAATCTTTTTCAAAATTATATGTGTGTATACTTACGACTATGATGATTTGAGGGAATTCTTGGCTTTATACTTGCCAATTTTTTTTCTTTTTCCTTTCATCTTTTTCTTTTTTCTTTTTTTTTTTCTTACTCTGCCCCCCAGGTTGCAGTGCAGTGATACAAACATGGCTCACTGAAGCCTTGATCTCCTGGGCTCAAGTAATCCTTCTGCCTCAGCCTCTCTGAGTAGCTGGGACTACAGGTGTGTACCACCATGCTTGACTAATTTAACAAATTTTTTTTTTGTAGAGACAGGGTCTTGCCATGTTGCCCAGGTTGGCCTCAAACTCCTGGGCTCAAGCAATCCTCTCGCCTTGGCATCCCAAAGTGCTGGGATTACAGGCATGAGCCACCATGCCTGGCAATATTTTCTATTTCATTTTATTTTCTATTTTATTTATTTTAGAGACAAGGTCTCGCTATGTTGCCCAGGCTGGTCTTGAACTCCTGGCCTCAATCAATGCTCCTGCTTTGACCCCTATATTTTCCATGACAAACATTTCCATGGAGAGCAGTGTGGTAGAGTGGTTAAGATGGTAGATTCAAAGTCAGAGGCCAGGTGCAGTGGCTCATGCTTGTAATCCCAGCACTTTGCAGGGCTGAGGTGGGAGGATTGCTTGAGGCCAGGAGGTTGAGACCAGCCTGGACAACACAGGGAGATCTTGTCCTACCAAAAATAAAAAATTAGCTGGGTGTGGTGGTGGGTGCCTGTAGTTCCAGCTACTCGGGAGACTAAGATGGGAAGATCCCTTGAGCCTAACAGATTGAGGCTGCAATGAGCTTTGACTGCATCACTGCATTCCAGCCTAAGTGGCAGAGTGAGACTCTCTAAAAAATAAACAAACAACCCCCCCAAAAGTCGGATAGATCTGGCTTTAAATCTCAGCTGCTACTTCCTGTGTGTTCTCATTTGAAAAATGGGATTAATAATAGCACGTTACTCAGCATGGTTGGAAGGATTAAGTGAGATAATGCCTGAAGAATACTCAGCACAGGACCTGGCACATGGAAGAATGTGCTCATTTTGGCAAATGTGTTTATCCTAATTTGTAGGCTTTTTTTTTTTCCAGGATTTTAGTTCTACATTGCACATTTTTGACCCTTCAATTAGACCTTCTTTTTATTCTTCTCCTTTGTCTTTGTCTTTCTTCTTCTGACAGGATCTCACTGTGTTGCCCAGGCTACAGTGCAGTGGCGAGATCACAGCTCATAGCAGCCTCCACCTCCTGGGCTCAAGTGATCCTCCCACCTCAGCCTCTTGAGTAGTTGGGACCACAGGCACATGCCCCCACTCCCAGCTAATTTTTTAAATTTTTAATAGAGAAGAGGTCTTGCTATGTTGCCAAGTGGGTCTCGAACTCCTGAGCTCAAGCAATTCTCACCTTGGCCTCCCAAAGTGCCCAGCCCACTATTATTAATATTTTATAAATGCAACATTGCTTATATTTGTACACAGTTTTTACCTATATTTCTCATCATTCCTTTTTGCTTCTCAGAATGTCCTTCTGGGATCATTCTCCTTTTCCTTAAAGTACATCCCTGGGAAGATTCATAGAGTGTTTTATTACTGAATTATCTCAGCTTTGGTTTGATAATGTCTTCATTTTGGTTTTGTTCTGATATACAGTTTCACTTGACATGATTTTGGGGTTCACGGTTATTTCTTTTTCTTTTTCTTTCTTTTTTTTTTTTTTGAGACAGAGTCTCACTCATCGCCCAGGCTGGAATGAATGCAATGTTGTGATTATGGCTCACTGAAGCCTCTATCTCTTGGGCTCAAGTGATCCTCCCACCTCAGCCTCCAGAGTAGCTGGGACTGGAGCTGCCACATGCCTGGCTAATTTTTTGTATTTTTTTTGTAGAAACGGGGTTTCACCATGTTGCCCAGGCTGGTCTCAAACTCCTGGCCTCAAGCAATCCACCTACCTTGGCCTCCTAAAGTGCTGGGATTACAGATGTGAGCCACCACGCCCAGTCTCATGGTTATTTTCAAGTAATACTTTGAAATATAATTCCGCTGTCTTACAGCTTCACTGTTGCTATTGAGGAATCAGCTGCCATCTAATTTTTGCTTCTTTTTCTAGTTAATCTGTCAACTTTAGGTGTTTTGCTTCATGTTATGCTTGTATTCCACTATATTATTTTTACAAAATGTCAAACACACTTATTTAATATTCCATACCGATCACTCTAGTATTCAGCCTTTGCAGGTTTAAGTCAGCAGCTTTTTGTCTCAGCTGACACTTACTCATGTCTTATTTTCCTGTTTATTTAGTGGTTTTTATTTATGGTGAATTCTTGTATCTGGAAGCTTTATCCTGTGGGAACTCTGTGTTAAAGTGCAATGCCCAGGTAGGTGAATTAGGAAGATTGAGACACTTCCCACATGAAACCACTTTAAAATAAATTTTATGTTTAAAGCTTTCAAGCCCAGTAGCAAGTGTACATTTCAGGTTCACACACTTGTGAGTTGGAGCATATGGTTGGGCAGTTCTGAGCATTTCTCCATACTTCACCCAGAGCCAAGCCTGAGATAGGTAACATGGTGTTATGTAGGTACATTTTTCCCTTGTATAATCATTGTGTTGCTTTTCAGGGGTTCTGGCTTCAGATTGGGCATCTCTTATCTGGCCTCCAGCCCTGCTCAAGCCCCAGGCTTTTTATCTTCTTCCCTTGTATGTGGCTCATTCAAATTCAAACCGTAAGCCATGGAGGGTTGGCAGACATTCTCCACCCCCACCCATAAAAAGGCCTGCTCTACCCTGTTTCCCTCCTGCAATCAAGCTTTCTTACAGTTCGGCCTTCTTCTTATTCTTCTTTTTTTTTTTTGGAGATAGAGTCCCGCTCCATCGACCAGGCTGGAGTGCAGTGGCGTGATCTCAGCTCACTGCAACCTCCATCTCCCAGGTTCAAGCAATTCTCCTGCCTCAGCCTCTGGAGTAGCTAGGATTACAGGTGCATGCCATCATGCCCAGCTAATTTTTGTATTTTGGTAGAGACGGGGTTTCACTAGGTTGGCCAGGCTGGTCTCAAACTCCTGACCTCAGGTGATCTACACACCTCGGCCTCCCAAAGTACTGGGATTACAGACGTGAGCCACTGCGCCCAGCCAGTTCTGTCTTTTATTAACTTTACCATCAGCCAAGCAGAGCTTTGAAATAATAAGACAAATAATCCAATTTAAAAAGTGGGCTAAAGATTTGGACAGACATTTTACTAAAGAATGAACAGGCATGGTGGCTCATGCCTGTAATCCCAGTGCCTTGGGAGGCTAAGTCAGGGTGATTGCTTGAGCCCAGGAGTTTGAGACTAGCCTAGGCAACATAGTGAGGCTCCGTCTCTACAAATATAAAAAATAAAATTAGCTGGGCCTTGTGGTGCACGGCGGTAGTCCCAGCTACTAGGGAGGCTGAGATGGGAAGATCTCTTGAGTCAGGGAGTTCAAGGTTACAGTGAGCTATGATCATGCCACTGCACTTCAGCCCGAGCAACAGAGCAAGACTTGTCTGAAGAAAAAAAAAAAAAGATATACAGGGATAGCAAATAAGCATATGAAAAGATGCCTAACACTATTAGTCATTAGGGAAATGCAAATTAAAACCACAATGAAATGCCACTATATGAGAATGGTTAAAAATCAAAAAGACTGACAATATCAAGTATTGTCAAGAATGTGGAACAACTGGAACTCTCCTACATTGCTGGTAGAAGTGTAAAATGGTGTAGCTGCTTTTGGAAACAATTGAGCAGGTTTCTTATGAAGTTAAACATACACATACCATATATATTAGTTTTCTATCGTTGTAACAAATCATCACAAACAGTGGCTTATAACTACATTTATTTGTTAGCTCACAGTTCTCATGGTTCTATAGGTCAGCAGGCTTGAACATTGTGGCGGGTTTTCTGCTCATGGTATCACAGGATGGACTTGAAGGTGTTGACTGGGCTGAATTATCTTCTGGAGGCTGTAGGATGAAATCCACCTCCAAGTTCATTCAGGCTGTTGGCAGAATCCAGTTCCTTGAAGTTGCAGGACTGCAGTCACCATTTTCCCTTTTTTTTTTTTTTTTTTTGAGATGGAATGTCACTCCTGCTGCCCAGGCTGGAGTGCAATGGCACGATCTCGGCTCACCACAACTTCCGCCTTCCAGGTTCAAGTGATTCTCCTGCCTCAGCCTCCCAAGTAGCTGGGATTACAGACATACGCCACCATGCCTGGCTAATTTTGTATTTTTAGTAGAGATGGGGTTTCTCCATGTTGGTCAGGCTGGTCTTGAACTCCCGACCTCAGGTGATCAGCCTGCCTTGGCCTCCCAAAGTGCTGAGATTAAAGACGTGAGCCACCGCACCTGGCCTGCAGTCATCATTTTCTTGCTAGCTGTCAGCTGGGGCCTCTCTCAGCTGCTAAGGCCACCCACATTCCTTCTTAGGGGAGTCCTTCATCTTCAAGCCAGTACGGATGCATTGAATCCCCCCTGTGCTTCAAATCTCTCTGACTTTCTTTTTTTCTTGCCAGCATTTAAAGGGCTCACATGATTAGATTAGATTCCCTCAGATAATCTTGCTTTACCCTGTAAGATAATCATGGGAGCGATAGCTTAAGTTTTATAATCATAAATTTGACCCATAATCAAAGAGGTAGTGATTATCAGAGGGCTAGGTCACTAGGAGTCATTTTTAGAGCTCTGCTTACCATACCCAGCCATTCCACTCCTAGGTATCTACCTAAGAAAAGTAAAAACATATGTCTACCCAAAGACTTGTAGGTGAATATTTATATCAACTTTATTCATAATAGCTAAAAACCAGAATGAACTCAAATGTCCATGAATTGGTGAATTAATAAAACAAATCGTGGTATATCCACTCTGTAGAATACTACTTACCAAGAGAAATACACAGACTCCTGACATGCATCACAAGAAGAAATCTCAGAAGCACCATGTTACATGACAGACTACATATGATTTAATTTATAGGAAATTTTAGAAAAAGCGAAACAGGAGGCAGATCAGTGGATGCCTGGGGTCAGAAGGTAGCGGGAAGGGACTGGCTGTAAAGGGGTACAAGGGAACTTCAGGAGTGATGGACGTGTGCTATGTCATGATGTGGTGGCAGTGACAGGACTCTATACATTTGTCAATACTCATTGAATTGTACAGTTAAAATCAGCGAATTTCATTGTATGTAAATTATAACAACAAAATTGGCAAAACAGTCTTTTTTAAATACTTCATTCAGCAGTTTAAGATGCTCTATATTGGGAGTTTCTCTACACATTTAATTCACAAAATTCACGTGAGACTTTCTTAACATGCCTAAATATGTCTATATTTTAACCGATAGCACTTACTGTAGGTGGGCTTGCATAGGTATTTGATGATTACCTAGCTCCCTTGTGCTAGACCGTAAACCCAAGTGGACAGGCCACCATTGTACCCATACCTGGCACATACTGGGCCTTTAAGAAATATTTGTTGAATAAATGCATAACCCCTCCCCCAGAGCAAATCTGAACACTGGAAAATCTGATTATACATCTTTCCTCCAGCTGATCTCTGATTACCTTCGATTTCATTACTAAAATCTTTTCTGAGCCACAAATGAAAGTGGGAGAGTTAGAAATCTTTCATTTAACCCCATTATGTTATAGAAACCACTTATCCTGGCTGCATTTATCTGGGCTGCATGCCCAGTGTGCACTCAAGAGTGTCACCATATGGGCTGAGATGGAGGACATTCAGCAGCCAAGGGCTGCGTCTGTGGGCTGCTGTGTCTGACCTCGCTGATCTCCTTCCATTTCCAGTCTTCTTTTGTTACCACAGACTAAGCATCCTATTTCACCTCAAGGCTTAAATCCAAGGTTTTCCTTTTAATGCATACATAATTCGTCTAAGCATTAAAACATAGTATTAGTCAGAGGGCAATGTGATTGGAATCAGGTGAGAAATCAATGGAAGCCAAAGAATGCAGAGGCCTTTGGGCTGGAGCCAACAGCCCCTTCGGAGAGGACTGAGGCCAGGAAGGCACCAGACGTTTCTCTGTTTAGGGAATGAATTACATCATCCATTCATTTGACCTTGGTCTTCAGTTACTTATCTATAAATGCCACACCCTCCTCCTTTCCAGGTCAGAACCAAGGTGCAAAAATGCCAAATGCCAAAATCCTTCCTGGTTATTGTGATCGATCAACAGGAAAAAAACAAAACAAAAAATAACAACAACAAAACACACACACAAGAATCAGGCATTTCTCTTGTCTTTGTATAGAAATCTGTAAGCACAAATTGTATAAATTTGGTGGCTTCTCTTAAAATGTAATGTAGTACACATTGGCTATTTGATACCCTGCATCTATATTCTCTCCTGGATACAAGAACACAGATTTCAAGAGTGAATTTGGCTTGAGTGGGACTGAACCCTCCCCAAGTGCCTGGAGTGGTTTCTGGCTGGCTTAAACCAATGGGCACACCCACCATGGCCCCAAGCCAAATGGACTGGTTTGGAGACTGGCACTACCAAATCAGAGGCAACAAGCCAGGAGGACATTTGCCGGGGCTTTTGGGAAGAATAAACCTATTTTATAGTAGCTCTGAAAAAGAGACCACCCTTTTTACCCGAATGGTGAATTTTGGAGCAGCTACAGCCTTTTTCCAGTAATCGAGATCCTGGAGCAGCCTCTGGGGCCACCTTGTGGAATCTGTGGATAAAGCCAACACCATATAAAGCAGATTGAGGACAGAAGGCAGGCTGTTGGTGACATTTTTTGAGCTGCTGGATCAAATGTCACCTGAAATTATTACCTTTAGAGTTTTAGTTACCATTAAGTCAATAAACTACCTTTCTCTTATAGGCCAGCCTGGTTTCAATTTCCTTTTGTATTTTGTGCAAATCACTTTCATTTGTAATTTTTTTAAAAAATTTTTATTTATTTATTTATTTATTTATTTATTTTATTTATTTATTTTTTGAGACAAGGTCTTCCTCTGTTGCCCAGGCTAGAGTGCAGTGGCGCCATCTCAGCTCACTGCAACCTCCGCATCCCAGGTTCAAGCAATTCTCGTGCCTCAGTCACTGAGTAGTGGGGATTACAGGTGTGTGTCAACACACCCGGCTAATTTTTGTGTTTTTAGTAGAGACGGGGTTTCGCCATGTTGCCCAGGCTGGTCTTGAACTCCTGAACTCAAGTGATCTGCCTGCCTCGGCCTCCCAAAGTGCTGGGATTACAGGCGTGAGCCACCATGGCTGGCCAAGTCTGTTCTTAACCAGTTCTCCATACTCTTCTCAAGTCAAACCTGTCTACCACAGTTGAAATCATTCCAGTATTTCATCCAAACAACAGTCATTCATTACTACCTTACCCTAATCCAACCGGAGATCATGAAAGCTCTTTTCTGTAAATGAACCACCCTCCACCTGCCCTGAAATTCCTGCCACTCTTTGTCTCTCAGGGCTGACACAGAGGAGGAGAGAACTCCTTGCAGAAGTGGGAAAGTTGTGGGTTTGGAGATTCACACTTTGCTTTCCCACCCATCAGTTAAAATCTTGGGCACCCTCAGTCGGAAATCTCCCTTTCGCAGACCAAAGCAGGCAGCTCCTTTGGAGAAGCCTAGAGCCCTTCCACCTCCTCTTCATTTCTGTGGCTGCCTGGCAGCTGCTGGCTGCACACCTGTGCACAGGGCTCCATTGTTTTCCCTGTGCACTTGTCTCATGCTTTCTCTTAAAATGTTGCCCCTTCTCATTCTTGAAGCACAAAAGCACATAGCATGGGTCTAATATATTGTCAACAATTTTTTTTTTGAAATAGAAAGAAAGAGGCTGGGCATGGTGGTTCATGCCTGTAATCCCGGCACTTTGGGAGGCCAAGGCGGGTGGATCACCTGAGGTCAGGATTCCGAGACTAGCCTGGCCAACATGGCAAAACCCTGTCTCTACTAAAAATACATATTAGCCGGGCATGGTAGCACATGCCTGTAATCCCAGCTACTCTGGAGGCTGAGGCAGAAGAATCACTTGAACCCAGGAGGCAGAGGTTTCAGTGAGCTGAGATGTATCACTGCGCTCCAGTGTGGACTACAGAGCAAGACTCTGTTAAAGCAAAAAAAAAAAAGAAAGAAAGGGAAGGGAAGGGAAGGGAGGAGGGAGGGAGGGAGGGAGGGAAGGTAGGAAGGAAGGAATGAAGGGAGGGAGGGAGGGAGGGAAGGAAGGAAGGAAAAGAAGAAAGAAAGAAAAAGAAAGAAAGAAAGAGAAAGAAGGAAAGAAGGAGAAAGAAAGAGAAAGAAAGAAAACAGAAAGAAAGAAAGAGGAAAAGAAAGAAAAGTATTTGAACAGCAGTGTGGTCTGTCACTGGCTGGCTGGTTCCGCAAGGGGAACTGGGATTTTTGCAAGCACCTACCCAGCTCCTCTATGCATGTCTTTTTTTTTGAGCTGCCCCACACTCTAGTAGGCAGGTATCTTATTCCTATTTTACAGATGGGGAGACAGGAGGACTTGCCCAGGGTCACAGAGCAGTGGTGTGGCCACTCTTTGAACCAGGCTGTGTGGTTCTAATGCTTAGGCTCTCATACTGCACCACCCAGGGAAAAGCCAGGACTGTGGGCTGGGGGCAGCTGGGCCTTCAGGTTGAGAATGAGAAGCACTGCCGTACCAAAGGCCACCAGGATTGCCAATCAAAGCAGGAATTAAGTCCCCACGTGGCACCTAATAAAAGGCTGAGGAGAGCATGGCCTTAGAGTCAGGAGCAACAGGGAGGCCAGGCACAGTGGTTCGTGCCTATAATTCCAGGACTTTGGGAGGCTGAGGTGGGAGGATGGCTTGAGCCCAGGAGTTTGAGACCAGCCTGGGCAACATAGGGAAACCCTGTCTTTAAAAAAAAATTAAAAACTAGCTGGATGTGATGGCATACACCTGTGGTCCCAGCTACTCAGGAGGCTGAGCTGGGAGGATCATCTGAGCCTGGAGGCAGAGGTTGCAGTGAGCCGAGATTGCACCACTGTGCTCCAGCCTGGGTGACCCTATCTCAAAGAAAAGAAAAGAAAAGAAAAAGAACGTCAGGGAAGTGGGGAAGAGACAAGAGACAAGGAGTGTGGCAAAGGACCAGAAGCAAAAACCCAACTTTTTGTTCCCTTCATTTTGCCCAAAGTAGCCACAGCTTTAATGGGGAGTGCAGGCAGCAGCGGCCTGGTAAGGGCTGCCGCATCCCGGGGGACTGAGGTCACAGTCTCACTGTTGCTCAGAACTCCATGGTAGCTTCTTTCTGCTGAGCAGGGCCTTCCCCTGAATTCCTGTTAAACCTCAATCTTTCCTGGTCATATGAACATTCATTATGTGGTTTTATGACATTTTGTCATCCTCTATTCCCTGTCTCCAACAACCCCAACAAAAACATGTCTTTCTGGAGATGGATGGTGATGATGGTTGCACAACAATGTGAACGTATTTAGTGCCATGCAACCGTATGCTTAAGAATGGTGAAGATGGTAAGTTTTATGTATATTTTACCACCATTAAAAACTGTGATAAAAACGTGCTTATCCAAACTTTTCACTGACTTATACTTAGGTACTGTGACTTTATGGCCACACTGAAACATTCTAGAGGCTTGTACCAAATGTTCCCCACCCATTCCATCCCCCACTTCAGCCTCATTCACACTTCTACAAGCTGAGGCCAGTCTGGACTGGACAAGAGGGGTCAGGTGGGTGGGCATGGGGGGAGGGGGCCTGTATTAGTCAGGGTTCTCTAGAGGGACAGAATTAATAGGATAGATGTATATATAAAAGGGAGTTTATTAAGGAGTATTGACTCACACAATCACAAGGTCCCACAATAGGCCATCTGCAAGCTGAGGAGCAAGGAAGCCAGTCTGAGTCCCAAAACCTCAAAAGTAGGAAGGCTGACAGTGCAGCCTTCAGTCTGTGGCCAAAGGCCCAATAGCCCCTGGCAAACCACTGGTGTAAGTTCAAGAGTCCAAAAGAACTTGGAGCCTGATGTTCGAGGGCAGGAAGCATCCAGCACGGGAGAAATATGAAGTCTGGAAGACTCAGCCTGTCTATCCCTTCCATGTTTTTCTCCCTGCTTTTATCCTAGACACGCTGACGGCTGATTAGATGGAGCCCATCCACATTGAGGGTGGGTCTGCCTCTCCCAGTCCACTGACTCTAATGTTAATCTCCTTTAGCAACACCCTCACAGACACACCCAGGATCAATACTTTGCATCCTTCAATCCGATCATGTTGACACTCAATATTAACCATCACAAGGTATTTGCCGTCAAAACAGAGCAGTGGTCCCTGCTCCTCTTGGCCTGGTGAAGCTTTGGTGCCAGTGTCTGCAATTTTAGACACAATATAAATCAAGGCATGCATAGAATTCACTGGCCTGAGAAGGCACAGTGCATGCATATGTAGAGCTTTTGGCAGCACTGGCGTTTCTAAGGCAGGTACTGGGCATAAAATCTCCTTTCCTGCAGGTACTAGAAACAAAGTGTTTTCTCCAACACATGGTACAGGAGAGGCCCCGGGGTATGGAATCTTCTGGGGGTGGAGCCAGGGACCCCTTTCTGATGTTTTATAGTGTCTAGTTTCTTCCTTGATTTCAGCGAGCATAACAATGTTCTCTGTTCACATTGCCTATATTAGCATTGGCTGGTTTGTAAAATTCAGAAATTGACTCAAAATGGGCAGTGTATTAAAGTGCCACAGGTATGACTCTATGTTATATTACGAAGGAGTGGGGAGAAAATTAGTTATTAAAACATGATAATAACAGCTAACATTACTGAGTGTTATTCTGTACCAGGCACTGGGCTAATTGTTTTTCATGTTGTAGGTTACGTAATCATCCCAGCCCTATGTGGCAGGCTGGTGGCACAGATGAGGAAGTTGTGGCACAAAGCGATAATTTAGCTTACTCCAGATCCCAGGGGACAATAAATGGCAAAGCCATTGCAGGCGGCCTAATATCAGAGCCCCTCATGCTTTCTGTTATATAAAAGCACAGTGGAACCTGCTGTATATGAGGTTATTGATGCATCCTTTTTAAAAAAACAGAAACATTAAGTACTGAAGACAATCGTACCATAAATCTTTCCATTTTGTTTATTCAGATTTTCATTTATCAGATTTTATTTTTATTTTATCCAATTTTAAGTGCAACACACTTTCATATAGTTCACTCAAGATATTTTGAGGCAAATTTAACATTGCATTGTCAAAGCCATGATCACAATTCAGTAATTGTTATGCCCTGCAGCGATTAAGACAGAAATGAACATTTCTACTACCAATGGCTTTTGTTTAAAAGAAGAAAAAGGGCACTTAACTCTCTAAGGCATAGAAGGCTTCTGTCATTTTAGATAAGCCGCCAGCCACCAACCAGAACCCACAGGCCAGGGGTGGGTGTCCCCATTCAGATAAGGACTGTGTATGACCAAGGCAGGAAATAAAATAAAACCCAAACAGCAGTTGTGAGGAGGATGAAGATGCTGATGCCAATGAGGTCCTTGGGTGCTTTCTCCTTTTCAACCAATGCCAGCCTGAGCTGTCTCCCAGGAATGCCAGACCCCCTGATGTGTGTGGTCAGTGATTCTAGGCTCACACTGGATCGGGGTTGTTCAGGGCTGGTGGAATCCAGTGCCCGACCCCTGGAACCTGAGAAGCAGATTTCTCCCTCGGGAGCCTCTTGGGCTGCTTCAGCTTGAGAAACAGCTGCTAATTCTGGTAATTTCTGGCCTCGCTCTCCTTTTTTGGAGTGACAGGGTCTTGCTCTGTCACCCAGGCTGGAGTACAGTGGCAGAATCATAGCTCACTGCAGCCTTGAACTCCTGTGCTCAAGGGATCCTCCTTCCTTGGCCTCCCAAGTAGCTGGGAATACAAGTCCCCACCACCATGCCCATTTTTTTTTTCAGTTTTGCAGAGATGGGGTCTTGCTGTGTTGCCCAGGCGGGGCTCCAGTTCGGGCCTCAAGTGATCCTCCCACCTCTGCCAGTTAAAATGCTGGGATTACAGGTGTGAGCCACTGTACCCAGCCATGCTTTTATTTTTCATCCTCCCACACAGCATCCTCTGCCCTTTCTCCTACAGTGCTCCTTCTCAGTAACTCAGACTGAAGGATCCTTGGTGTTAAACACCTGCCATGCATCTATCGCTGCCACTGAATAATAATAATAATAATAATAATAATAATAATAATAATAAAAACCCACCTCTTTTAGAAAGCGCAATAAAGTAATGGGGGGATCCATCCTCTTGAGACCTTCCCTTCCCTCTTTCTCATATTGAAACATTAAAAAAAAATAGAGAGCTCCCCTAAGACATATTAAATACAATTTAATTTGGAAAGATTCCATTGATCAGACGCACAGCAATTCTTTCACTGTAATTTGGCAAGTTCGATGCCAAGTTAACACCGCCCTCCGTCTAGCAGTCTCCTGAAGATTGTGAGTCATCTGCAATTCTGCATCCTCGGCCTGGGGGAGGAGTGAGAAGCATGCCAGGAGAGGCAGTACTTGGAGAGTGTGACTCCTGAAACTTCCAGACCTTCATTTATGGTTTTCAGATATGGTCCAACTCAATAGAGAGGGGCGTTACCTGCTTTTGTTATTCTGCAGTTCCTGACACTGCTCAGATGTAAGGTTATCTGTCCCACCATAGCTGACATGGGACCAGGCACTGGATGCAGAAGGAGTTGGGTTCCAGGGAACCGATTCCTCATGGTACTTTAATGGCCACCGCAGATGTATCTTCTGGCACCTGGCTGACAATCTCCCATGAGTAATCTAATGTCTCTCCCTTTCTTTCACAGCTCAGACTCTCCTATTCTGTCTGCATGAAAAATGCAAGTGGGTCATTTTCTCCAAAACGCAACTTTACTTCCACCTCTGTTAAAATCCCCATGCTCCTCCCAGCCAGGTGTAGCCAGCAGGGCCTGTGGACTTTTCAGGGGAATGACATCAGCTAGTCAGCGCCCACCGTGAAGTGCCAGAGTATTCTCAGCTGCAGCTCTTCACGCGTAGGGCCATTTCCCCAGTGCCTCTCTATCAGCAAAGATGCTGCCCTGCCTGCAGAAAGTCTCATTACAATTATGGAAACACTCACTTGGCATCTCCCTTCTGGAGTATCTGCTTCGAAACCATTCTATCTGGGATTTACACCGCAATCATTGTCCTAGTCAGCTTTTTCTACTTTTCACTTTTGAAAATCATAATGAGGGTGACACATGTGAAATCCCACAGTATTTTCCAACTAGTACATATGGCGAGGGAAAGAGCATGAAAACCCTCACAAGTGTCTACCACAGGGCCAGGAGCTTTGCTTTATCAATCATGTGAAAGCACATCAAGAAAATAGCTGTGTGTCTATGTATGCAAGTATATATCCATGTACTTACACATAAAACAAAATTATTATTAAAAAGTAACTACAGGCTGGGCGTGGTGGCCCACGCCTGTAATCCCCGCACTTTGGGAGGCCGAGGTGGGCGGATCACAAGGTCAGGAGATCGAGACCACCCTGGCTAACATGGTGAAACCCTATCTCTACTAAAAATACAAAAATTAGCCAGGCATGGTGGCACGCGCCTGTAGTCCCAGCTACTCGGGAGGCTGAGGCAGGAGAATTGCTTGAACCCGGGAGGCTGAGGTTGCAGGGAGCCGAGATTGTGCCATTGCACTCCAGCCTGAGTGACAGAGTGAGACTCCATCTCAAAAAAAAAAAAAAAAAGTAACTACAATAAAATACATTTTGACAAGGAAAAAAATCACCCACTATTCTTTCATTGATGCAACAATGATTTTCCTTCCTTCCTTCCTTCCTTCCTTCCTTCCTTTCTCTCTCTCTCTTTCTTTCTTTCTTTCTTCCTTCCTTTCTTTCCTTTTTTGAGACAGGGTCTTACTCTGTTGCCCAGGCTGGAGTGCAGTGGCACGATTATAGCTTACAGCAGCCTAAGACTCCTGGGCTGAAGTGACCCTCTTGCCTCAGCCTCCTGAGTACCCAGGACTACAGAAGCATGCCAGTACACCCAACTAATTTTTAAATTTTTTGTAGAGATGGGGTCTCACCATGTTGTCCAGGCTGGTCTTGAACTCCTGGGCTTAAGCAATCCTCCCGCCTGAGCCTCCCAAAGTGCTGGGATTACAGGATTAAGTAAAAATTATATTCATAATGGTGTATTCCATCCCCACCTTTGCCAAATACATACGTTTTGTATGTTGGATCACAGAACACATGCAGTTTTATTTTCTGATATAGGAATTACAGTTGACAGTTGTGCTTTTCTTTGCATCTGCCCTCACAGCATATCATATAATCTGTATTTCTATTCTAGCCATGATTTCCCTGCACCACAATTAATATTTGTGCACCAATCTCCCCTTTTCCTGGAGGAGAGAGAAAGGGTCATATTTATCTTTATGTTCCTAGTGTGTGGCATAGTGTCTGCACACAGTAGGTCTGTGTTCTTAGTGTGCGGCACAGTGTCTGGTACACAGTAGGCACTTGATAAGTGCCTGTTGAATGAGTGATTACAAGTACAGTGTAATCAGACAAGATGAGTCTAGCCTGGAATTTTTGCTGTTCAAGGGGCTGTTTGTACAGAGTCCAGAGTCCATGGGAGCCTTGACATTTAGCACATGGGATTAGAGGGGAGAGCCTGACATTTGCAAGAAGCATTCCTGTAGTAACTTCTCAGTAAGAAAGAATCTAGCAGCAAGACGCTGGGTAGACACGCAAAGGCACGGGGCGAAAAGAGCCACAGCTTGACGTGGAGTGGCTCAGGCCTTGGGTGGACCTGCTGAGTCACAGGCCTTGAGGATTGCTGATTGCCTAATGAGATTTCAAAGTACCCAGAGCTCCCATAGCGTTCAGATCTAGTTTGCCAGAGTAATAAAGAACATACACTTTGGCCAGGGGTGGTGGCTCACGCCTGTAATCCCAACACTTTGGGAGGCCAAGGTGGGTGGATCACCTGACGTCAGGAGTTCGAGACCAGCCTGACCAATATGGTGAAACCCCGTCTCTACTAAAATTACAAAAATTAGCCGGGCATGGTGGCATGCATCTGTAGTCCCAGCTACTCAGGAAGCTGAGGCAGGAGAATCGCTGAAATCCGGGAGGCGGAGGTTGCAGTGAGCTGAGATTGTGCCACTCCAGCCTGGGCGACAGAGCGAGACTCTGTCTCAAAAAAAAAAGAACATACTCTTTTTGAGGTAACTAATTATCCTTGATATGATTAATAACCCCGGCCTGAATCTGCATGATTCAAATAGATCAGGTTCAAAGCAAATAGCAAAATGAAAGGCAAATTGAATTTTCATTGTCAAGGAAGTGGTCTGAGAAGGATTCTGGAAAGGCAGCCGTGGTGACAGCATAGTCCTTTAATCACACCAATTCCCCCATAAAACCAGAAGAGCAACCAAGTAGCAAAACCAAAAACCCACAGACCTTTATAATGAAACTGGAAGTTAGGCTGTCCCCACAACTCCCAAACTATAAGCAACAAAGAGCAAACCACCAACACCTACAAGGCCTGCATGGTAATCAGTATCGGTGCAGAAGAAAGGTGAGGGAGGCAGTGGGGCATCAGCACAGGAGACCCCCGAGGCAGTCATCAGGTGTTCCCTGGAAAGCAAGATGGAGCCATTTGAGAAGAGCAGCTGAAACCAGAAGGGCCTCGCCCAGGCTCATGGTGGGTGCACGTGAGAAGTCCCTGGTAGCTCAGAGGAGGCCAGAGCTGCCTAACCCCGATGAGCTCTCTAACCAGTCCAGCCAGGGCACCCTTTGGGCACAGAACTCCACACTGAGGACAAATTGTGGGAGCACAGTCAAAACAGATCAGGATGTGGACTGCTCAGACAGGAAAAGACAAGGTCCAGATAAAAGTGGTAGAGGGGACCAGCGTCAGGAAATCTCAGAAAGCAAGTTACACACACACACACACACACACACACACACACACACACACACACTCACACATTGAAAAACCAGAGGGTGCTCTGTAAAGACAGAAAATTCACGCTGCCTCCTTCTAAACTTAAGGGCAATTGATTTTGCTTATAAATGAATAATAGGAAAATAAAACCAAATTCCATAGAAAAGTCTTAAAAAAAAGAATAAACGCAGAATAACAATACTATAGACATTGTAAGCACACCAGGAAAAAAAAGTCCACAGAAAAGATCGCAACTATAACTTTCTCTTTGAAAATGAGCTAAGAGACATTAAGAAAATGATATGACTGGACAGACATTGCTCCAAAGAAAACATACAAATGGCCAATAAGCACATAAAAATATATTCACCATCATTAGCCACCAGGGAAATGCATGTCAAAACCACAATGAAAAACCACTTGAGTAGGCCAGGCGCTGTGGCTCATGCCTGTAATCCCAGCACATTGGGAGGCCGAGGCGGGTGGATCATGAGGTCAGGAGATTGAGACCATCTTGGTCAACATGGTGAAACCCCATCTCTACTAAAAATACAAAAATTAGCAAGATGTGGTGGTGCATGCCTGTAGTCCCAGCTACTCAGGAGGCTGAGGCAGGAGAATCGCTTGAACGCAGGAGGTGGAGGCTGTAGTGAGCCGAGATCGTGCCACTGCACTGCACTCCAGCCTGGGTGACAGAGCGAGACTCTGTCTCAAAAAAAACAAAACAAAACAAAAAAAACAAAAAAAAACCCAATTGAACACTCAGTAGAATGGCTATAAAAGACAGGTAATAACAAGTGTTCACAAGAATGTGGAGAAATAGAAACTTTCATACACTGCTGGTGGGAATTTAAAATGGTTCAGAAACTCTGGAAAACAGCTTGGCAGTGCCCCACAAGGTTAAACATAGAGGACCATATGACCCAGCATTTCTACTCCTAGTTTTATACCCAAGAGAACTGAAAACATGTCTACACAGAAACTTGCGCATGAGGCTGGGCACGGTGGCTCATGCCTGTAACCCCAGCACTTCAGGAGGCTGAGGCAGGAGGATCGCTTGAGCCCAGGAGTTTGAGACCAGCCTGGGCAACATGACAAGAACCCATCCCTAAAAAAATTCAAAAAAATTAGCCGGCTTGGTGGTGTGCACCTGTAGTCCCAACTACTTGGGAGGCTGAGGTGGGAGGATTGCTTGAGCCTGGGAGGTGGAGGTTGCAGTAAGCCATGACTGTGCCACTGCACTCCAGCCTGGGCAACAGAGGAAGGCTCTGTCTCAAAAAGAAACAAACAAAAAACATGTACATGAATATTGATAGCAGTGTCATTAATAAAAGCTGAAAAGTGGAAATAATCCTAATGTATATCAACGAATGAATGGGTAGACAAATATTATGTCTATACATGGAATGTTATTTAGCCATAAAAGGTAATAAAGTATTGTTACATGCCATAACATGGATGAACCTTGAAAACATTGTGCTAAAAAGCCAGACACAAAAGACCACATATTGTATGGTTTTATGTATATGAAATGTCTGAATAGACAAATCTATAAAGACAGAAAGTGGATTAGTGGTTGCCTTGAGAGCGGGGAAAGACATAGGTAGTGACTGCTAATTTCTAATTTTTTCTGAGTTCTATCACCGCAGTTTTGAATTTGTCTAATTCTGATTTGTGTTATTTTGTCTTTTGTAATTGTCTTCCCTTAAATAAGAGCTTTTTGATAAAAAAAAATTTACATAGCATACAGTTCACCTACTTAAAGTGTATAATTCAATGGTTTGTTGTGTATTCATAGAGCTATGTCAAAAGGACTCAGAATCCAGTATGAAGAGGTGCCATTGGTCAAATAAGGGACAATTTGAGTGTCAAGAAGCATAATGAATCCATTGATTGAAATCATGAAATATTTTTTAAATTCATGAGTTTACAAGGATATAAATAAATCTCATTGGTCACCTTTAGAGGGCGATGAGGAACCGTTATCATTAACTATTATGTATAACAAACTCCCCCCAAGACGAAGCAGTGTAAACACCCGTTCTATCATGCATATGGATTCTGTATTTCAGGACTTCAGATAGGGCCTGGTGGACCTGGCTCTGTGACATCTGGGACATCAGCTGGAAAGACGAAATGGCTGGGACTGGAGTCATCTGGAGGCCACTTCACTTGCACATTTGGGTCTGGGTTGGGATGACGGAAGCCTGTGCTCAGCTGGGCTGCTATCCAGAGTGCCCATATGCAGCCTTTCTGAGGCAGTGTTCTCAGCGGAGCTGGATTTCTCACAGGGCAGCCACGGGCTCCATGAGCATGTGTCCGAGGAAACAAGGTAGAAGCTGTGTGGCCTTTTATGATGTAGGCATGGAAGTCACAAATTGTCTTTCTTTTTTTTAAACAGAGTCTTGCTCTGTCACCCAGGCTGGAGTGCAGTGGCGCAATCTTGGCTCACTACAATCTCTGCCTCCTGGGTTCAAGCAATTCTCCTGCCTCAGCCTCCTGAGTAGTTGGGATTACAGGTGTCCACCACCACGCCTGGCTAATTTTTGCATTTTTAGTAAAGACAGGGTTTCACCATGTTGGCCAGGCTGGTCTCAAACTCCTGACCTCAGGCGATCTGCCTGCCTCAGCCTCCCAAAGTGCTGGGATTACAGGCAGGAGCCACTGCACCCGGCACAAATTGTCATTTTTAATGCTCTCCTATGCCCCTCCAGATTCAACAAGCGGGATGTAGATCCCATCTCTTGAAGGCAGAAGCGCTGCAGAATTTGCAGTCAAGTTTTACAACCACCACGGGAACACATTCACTTTCTTGAAAACTGGGTAATTAAAGCAAAGAAAATCAAGTTTTTTTTCCTATGTGAACTGTACCGCGGAGAAATCAAATACAGCATGAAGGGCAGAAATGCTTACTAAAAGTATTTTAACTAAAGGATGCAAAATAAATGGTGACATTAGAATATCGTCATTTTGCAGACCACATAAATCTAGCCACTGAGCTAATGAAAGGACACAGCACTACCTAGAATCTTGCCAAAGAGACAACACGAGTCTAGGGATAGAAGAGGAGTCTGACGCAGCCTCTGGCCCCAGCTTCCAAGCTGGCAGGAAAGACAGACAGAGGAACATGTTGAATTGCACCATGAGCCTGCAGTCACCTCAGAGCCAGACTCTGAGATGTTCTACACATCAAATACCCCAGCTTCTTCAGCAGGCAAACTGCAAGGAATGGAGAGAAGCCTATACATTATAATAAACTTAAAAGACATAAGGTAGAAAAATTGGGGGAGGTACAGACTAAACTAAAGTGTCTAGTCAGGCACATTTGGGTCCTAAAACCAAAAAGAAACAGGAAAGTCACTACAGTAAAAGGACAGTGGTTCCTTTTTGGGGAAGGGAGGGAGTTGAGGCTGGAACAGCACAATGGAGCGTTCTGGGGTGACTGGTTCTTTTGGTTACATGGGCGTTCACCTTATTATGACTCATTAAGTTCTACTTTTATTTTGGAAGGTTTCTATATGTTTTATTTTACAATAAAAAGTAAAAGAGGAGCAGAGAAATACAGAAAGAAAGTGATTTTGATGGTGGTGGTGATTGAGGCAGTGGTGGTGATGGCAGTGGTGATGCTATTGGTGGTGGGGGTGGTGGTGGTAGTGATGCTGGTGGTGGTGGTGGGGTGGTAATGGTGGTGGTAGTGATATGGTAGTGGTAGTGGTGGTGGTGATGGTGGTGATGGTAGTGGTGGTGGTGGTGGTGGTAGTGATAGTGATATGGTAGTGGTAGTGGTGGTGGTGATGGTGGTGATGGTAGTGGTGGTGGTGGTGGTGGTAGTGATAGTGATATGGTAGTGGTAGTGGTGGTGGTGATGGTGGTGATGGTAGTGGTGGTGGTGGTGGTGGTAGTGATAGTGATATGGTGGTGATGGTGGTGGTGGGGGTGGTGATGGTGGTAATGGTGATGGTGGTGGTGGTGATGGTGGTGGTGATGGTGTTGATGGTGGTGGTGGGGGTGGTGATGGTGGTGATGGTAGTGGTGGTGGTGGTAGTGATATGGTGGTGATGGTGGTGGTGATGGTGGTGATGGTGGTGGTGGGGGTGGTGATGGTGGTAATGGTGATGGTGGTGTTGGTGATGGTGGTGATGGTAGTGATGGTGGTGGTGATGGTGTTGATGGTGGTGGGGGGGTGGTGATGTTGGTGATGGTGATGGTGGTGGTGAAGGTGGTGGTGATGGTGATGCTGGTGGTGGTAGTGGTGATGGTGGTGGTGGTGATGGTGGTGGTGGTGGTGGGGGTGGTGATGGTGGTAATGGTGATGGTGGTGGTGGTGGTGGTGATGGTGGTGATGGTGGTGGTGATGGTGGTGATGGTGGTGGTGGTGGTGATGGTGGTGATGCTGGTGGTGGTGGTGGTGATGGTGGTGGTGGTGGTGATGGTGGTGGTGGTGATGGTGGTAGTGGTATGGTGGTGGTGATGGTGGTGGTGGTAGTGGTTATGGTGGAGGTAGTGGTATGTTGGTGGTGGTGGTAATGGTGGTGGTGATGCTGATGGTGGTGATGGCAGTGGTGACAGTAGTGGTGGTGGGGGTAATGGTGGCAGTTGTGGTGATGGTGGTAGTGGTGGTGGTGATGGTGGTGGCTAACATTTATTGAACATTTATTAAATGCAAGGCACTGGCCCAGCACCTACCACAGGTTAGCTCATTTAATTCCCCCCACTATTATCCCCCTTTTTCATATAGTGAGACTGAGATTTACAAACTTTAAGTAATCTTCCCAAGGTCTTATGTTACTGAGTGATAGACCAGAAATTTGCTGATGATCCACAAACTGAACAGTCCCACAAGTGAGGTTAAGGGAATGGCAAGGCCATGGGGATTCTATTCCCCTCTTCTCGGCTGAGTGAAAAAAAAAAGTAAATACAGAGTATTTTGCTCTGTAATCTTCAGTCTGGAGAGACTGAAATAAATGTTTCACTTTTGATAAACAGGACTTTAGGGGAGTAGAGAATATTGCTCTAAGCACTTTGTGATAAATTATTGATTTTATTTGGGATTTACATGGAATAATTGATCTTCATGTAGTGATTTTAAAGATCCAGTTATCTTTACTGAAAACAAATGTCCTACACACCTTTGCTATTTATCTTGTTTCTACTCTTTTAAAAGGAAGGCTTTGTTTGTTTGTTTTTTAGGGATAGGGTCTTGCTCTGTTGTCCAAGCTGGGGTGCAGGGGCGCGATCACAGTGCCCTGCAGCCTGGAACTCCCAGGCTCAAGGGACTCTCCCACTTCAGCCTCCTGAGTAGCTGGGACTAGAGAAATGGCCGCCATGCCTGGCTAATTTTTGTATTTTTTGTACAGACAGGGTCTCTCTATGTTACCCAGGCTGGTCTGGAACTCTTGGGCTCAAGCGATCCTTCTGCCTCAGCCTCCCAAAGTGCTTGGATTACAGGTGAGAGCCATTGCGCCAGGCCAGGAAGCCGTTTAAATCATATAAATTCAAAAATAATTCAAATAGAGAAAGAAAATAAATCGTTAGATTTTTAAAATGAAATTTTGGCTATAAAAGAAATACCTTTTTAAGAAACACGATTAAAAGAATATATTCTCTGGTCTCTCCAAATCACACTGAAAATCCCAAAGCAAGCTGTTTAATCTTCTAACATAAAAGCAGGCCCTTTGAATGCAGGGAACATGTCATAATTTCTTTTGTGTTCTCTACCAAGAACATTCAAATTCAGGGCCCGCTTGATAACCAGACCAATGCTTTACAGAATTTGCAATTAGTGGATTGTCCAGAAGAGGGCGCGCGTTGCCCATGTTACTCAAAGGCGCCGCCAGACCCGGCCGAAGCTGAGTAGCTAAGAACAAAAGATGCACATTCCTCTCTGAGGACAGAACAAAAGGGTGGATTTTAAAAAGCAAAAGAAACGCAACATTTAACGCTGCCTCCCATAATCTCCACGAACACCCTACAACTCAGCCACAGCTGGTCACAGGCAGGCTGAATATTACATTGTAAAAAACAAACTGGAAAGCAGCTGTTTTTAAAACAGATATCGTTTGCTTGGTGTAATTCCATCCGGGTAATGCCTATTTATTCAACAGTCAATTCTGCCTGAGTTGTGTTTTCCCGTTATGAGATACAGGTGGGCATCGCTGAATCCAAAACCAGTACATAGTAGAGACAAAAGTATAGATGCTCCATTTTGTAAGATCGTGGTGGGACACTGCATTCCCCCAAATAATGCCTCGTATTCTCACCCCTCACTTTGTTTGCTCTCATTACCAGTGAAAAACGCATCTCATCCACATGAATAGCTCCACTCAAATGATAATGCTTTTTTTTTTTTTTTCTGAGACAGAGTCTTACTCTGTAGCCCAGGCTGGAGTACAGTGGCGCAATCTCGGCTGCACTGCAACCTCCGTCTCCCGGGTTCAGGCGATTCTCCTGCCTCAGCCTCGCGAGTGCTGAGATTACAAGCGCGCACCACCACGCCCAGCTAAGTTTTTGTATTTTTACTAGAGATGGGGTTGCTCCATGTTGGCCAGGATGGTCTCGAACTCCTGACCTCAAGTGATCTGCCTACCTCAGCCTCCCAAAGTGCTGGGATTACAGGCGTGAGCCATGGCGCCTGGCCTGATAAAGCTTTTTAAAACTTAGTTATAGCCACTTTCATGGTCAGCTTTTAAGAAAGCAGTAAATATTCCTCAGCAAAGGCAAAGATAGCAATATCTCAGAGCAGGCAACTCAAAGCAAACACACAAAAGGAAAACCCAGCCCCCTTGTTTACTTACGGGTCTTCAAGCTCCTAATATTGACATGAGTTTCTGAGGTCTCCTGTGCATTTTCTTTTCTACAGCAAACAACAGGGCTTTTAACCTATAAAGAGGTAGATCTGGCTGCCCCAGAAAGGTGGGTTAACTGTCCCCCAACAGACTAAAGGAGAGTGAACGGTGCTGAAGAGCAACAGGCAAGAAGTCTTAGGAAAATAAGCTCCTCTGCATGAGTTATAGTGAGGCATTAGCGAATTTGGGGCAAAGACCCAGAACGGGAAACAGCCATCAGATTCGTGTGTGAGAAGTATTCAGCCACAGCTTTTTCTTAGGGTCTGTTTGAAAGTATTACATTTAACTTCAGCATGCCTTTCCAAAAGGTATATTTAGAAGCAATTAGGTTAAAAGCTTTGAGCTCCTTGGAGTTCTATCTATACAGATATCTACTGGCCTAGGGGACCTTAAGGTATTGAATTAAATGAGTCTCCCCAGCCTTTTTGTTGAGACAGGGTCTAGCTCTGTCACCCAGGCTGGAGTGCAGTGATGCATGATCATGGTTTGCTGCAGCTTCGAATTTCTGGGCTCAAGTGATCCTCCTACTTCAGCCTCCCGAATAGCTGGGACTACAAATGCGAGACACCATGCCCAGCTAATTTTTAAATTTTTTGTAGATATGGGGGTTTTGCCATGTTGCTCAGACTGGTATAAAACTCCTGGGCTCCAGTGAACTTCCCACCTCGGCCTCCCAAAGCATTGGGATTATAAGTATGAGTCACCACTCCTGGCCAAGTCTCCTTTTAAGATGCAAGAGTCTCCATATATAAAGAAAGCAGCTAGACTTGGAGCACGCAAGCTTTAAGGCATTTAGAAAAGATCAGGTGCACCTCAGTATGAGGGCTACTAAGGAGTTGAGAGCTGTTGCTCTCAGCAGTCATTTTCCCTATGGGGCAGATTGCTCAGGTAGGAGCCCTCTGAAGGTGTGAGACAGGACTCAGGTGTGAGACAGGACTCAGGTGTATCTCTGCCTGCCCACACCCAGGAGGGTCTCCACGAGCAAAATCAGGGGACAGGCAAATGAGAGAGCCCTCCCCAGCATGCCTTCCCCACACCTGCTGCCTGGCTCGCTGAGCTGTCTTGACTGCCTACTTTTGGCTTAGGAAACCAGGCTGAGGCCTAGGCAGCCTACAGACCCTCTGCAGACCCTCTGCAGACCCAAGCCCTATTCAGCCCAAGCTCACCCTTCCCTCTGATCACATCTTCCCTTGGTGCCATTTTTAACTTCAACTCCAGTTACTTCCTGCTCGTTTTCAAGTGTGGGAGTTTTGATCCTGGGGCCTTAAGGATGGACCCTTAAGGGGGCTGAAATGCTCTAAAGTCATCTGCAAAATGTGTGGTTATAAATATGTTTCCTTTGTCCTGAGAGGTGACCCTTTGCTTTCACCAGATTCTCAAAGGAATTTACAGCCACCAAAAGGCCGTAGAAACCAATCCAGGGGGACTGTGAATGAACCGAGGTTGGAGACACTGCACTGTGTCAGCGTTAAGCCACAGCTGTCAAGTCGTGACAGGCAGAAGAGTCTAAGGAGCTCACTGGGCCAGGTACCATGGCTCACGCCTCTAATCCCAGCACTTTGGGAGGCTGAGGTGGGCAGATCACCTGAGGCCAGGAGTTCGAGACCAGCCTGGCCAGCATGGTAGAAATCCTGTCTCTACTAAACTACTAAAACTACAAAAATTAGTTGAGTGTGGTGGCGGGTGCCTGTAATCCCAGCTGCTTGGGAGGCTGAGGTGGGAGGATCGCTTGAGCCCAGGAGGTGGAGGCTGCAGTGAGTCAAGATCGCCTCACTGCACTCCAGCCTGGGTGACAGAGTAAGACTCCGTCTCAAGAAGAAGACGAAAAAAAGAGCTTGCCAGATCCTTCCCTAGCATTTAGATGACATATAGGGACCTTGGAGATCACCTAATCCAAACCCTTTATTGTATAAATAAGGAAACTGAGTCTCAAAGTCACACAGGGCAGGTGTCAGGACCAGCATCTGAATCTCCTCTCAACCCTGCTTCTTGTAATATCACTCATGAGGGTCAAGTTCTTCTAGTTCTGATCCTGGAAATTGTGGGAAGATGTTGCAGGAGAGAGACGAGTTGCATATCTATAGAGTTGTTGTAGAGTAGACTTTATAGAGTTCATGTAAGCAGCATATCATTAGGAGTGTGGAGTCTGGAACCTGAGTTTGCATGTTGACTCTGCCTCTTACTACGTGACCTTAGGGAAGCCATCTCGCCCTATGCACCCAGTTTCATTAGTGTAGAGAGGGAGTGAGAGTAGCAGGCACCCTGCAAGACTGCTGTGAGGATTACGTGTGTGCACTCACAGTCACTCAATACATACAGAGCTGAGAATAAGGTCTGACATATATTAAGCACTCATCCTTCTCCTCGTCAGCCTCATCTATTGGTATATTTCAACAAGCATTTATCAAGCACTTGCTGTATTCAAAGCATTGTGCCTAACACCAAGGATAGAAAGATAAAAGATTCAGTTTAGTCCCTCCTGTCAGGAGCAGGCGGTGGGGAGCCACAGTTAATCAAAATATATTGTGACATGAGCTTCGAGAGTGGTCAGCCCCATGCCCTTGGTAACTGGAGAGGCACTGATTAACATCCAGTCTCTTAAATTTTCCCTGAGACTCAAAATGTAAACCTACGCAGATAAAACATAGTATGCTCTCTGGACCTACCTACCAAGGCACTCTGGAGCGACTGGAGGGTATCTGATGTACCAGCACACAGACATTAGTTATCTGGCAACCCCAAGGACAGGGCTGACAGGTATTGCCAAGTGACAGATTGGGATTGGAGATAAGAGGGAAGTTGGGGCTAAAGGTATGGGGCTGGGAAGTGGCTGCCGGAAGACTAAATACAGCAAAAGTGGCCAGGAGAGCCTGGGATCTAATTATGCCCAGAGTTTGTGGGCCCACAGGAGCAAAGACACAGAGAAGCAGAGATGGATTAAGACATGAGTTGCCTGGGCTCATTTACTCCATACTGGCTGTGTGTTCTGTGTCCCTTTTTGCAAGCATGAGGGTAGGGCCCCAAGCTGACCAACTCTAAGGGTTAAATGCAAAGCTCTCTGTATTAGTCAAGGGTCTCCAGAGAAACAGAACCAGTCGAATGCATACATAGATATATAAAGAGAGATTCATTTTAAGGAATTGGTGCATGCTGTTGTGGGGGCTGGCAAGCCTGAAATTTGTAGGGCAGGCCAGCAGACCAGAAGCTCAGACAGGACCTGATGTTGCAGTCCTGAGTCCAGAGGCTGGAAAGTCGGGCAGAATTTCCATGTTACCATATTAGGAACAATGCCTTCCTCATTAGGGGAGCCTGTCTTTAACATGTTCAATGTGTAATGGGTGACACCCCTATGTCCATTACATCCACCTTATGGTATGGAGTGATGTGCTTTACTCAAAGTCTGCTGGTTTAAGTGTTAATCACATCTAAACACTACCTTCACAGCAACAGTGAGACTGGTGTTTGACCAAACAACTGGGCTGGCCTAGCCAAGTTGACACATAAAATTCACCATCTGACTCCATCATGGACCAAAGACTGTGACTCTGTAAGGGCGCATTAAGTCAGGAGGGAAGGGAGAGGCTTTTACATTTAAAACCGTAGCATATCTGAACCTTTTCTTCCGAACTCTCGGTTCACCTGTCACCTCCCCTAGAAGGTGCCCTCTGATCACTGCTGTGAGTGACACGCCCCTCTTCTGTGAACCTGTCTGCCCACTGCCTGCCTCTGTGACCCTGTTAGTACTGTGTTGTAACTGTGTGCTCATTCTTCCAACTCTGTCTTTTATCCTTGCAATCCGGGCCTAGCTTTCATTGTACCTACTGTGCACAGTTAGTACTTAGGATATGTGTATTTGGTGATGAAATTTCTGCTTTTGGAATTCCACCTGAGCCTCTACGCCAATAAAAAAAGGAATTCAAGTTGCCTGACAAACCTTGATGCCAAGAGAGCCCAGCATCTGAGATGGCAGATGGCCTGTATATTTGTGTTGACATTGAACACATGGCCCAGAAATGAGTACTATTCTTCTACGTAATGTGCTCATAGAAACCTGTATTTTTCTCACTCACCATCACATAGCAGGCATGAGTCATTTTCTCAGGAGCGGGGGTTCAAATTAAGGATCTCGATAAGGAACATTCTAGACCCAGTCCTCTTGGCCTATTTTGCCTTTCTTCCCCCACCGATAAGTATTGATTAGGGGCTGGCCATGTGCTAGGGTCATGGTCCCAGCACTCATGGAATTCATGGCCTAGGGCTCAAGATTTCACTTATATCTTGTTTTAAAAAGGCCAGATTCATTTGATATTTTGCAATAAGGAAAGGTAGTAGATCTTAGGTTTAAAATGACCTTATTTTTAAATCTGACAGCAAGTCAAAGCTTTGGGCTCTGTGAGGCTCTGGGTCACTTCAAATTTTGCTCCATTTTTTTTTCTCTAGCAGAATATGATATATAAGAGTACCCCACATAAGGCTGTAAGTTCTGACCCTGTAACTACTGCCAACTTAGAAAAACCAAAGGCAGCTGAAAAAAAAAAACGTTCTTTACTCCCTCTTTCTCTGGCCCAAACTTCAAAACTGAACTTGGAAAACCAGAGGGGAAATAAAGGCTTCCTCTGTAATTATCACAAAATTAGCATACTGTATAATTTTTAAATTTATTTAATTTAATTTTGTGAGACTGGATCTTACTCTGTTGCCCAGGCTGGAGTACACTGGGGCAACTGTGGCTCACTGCAGCCTCAGCCTCCCAAAGTGTTGGGATTACAAGTGTGAACCACCGTGCCCAGGCTTATTTTTTCTTAGAGGCAGGATCTCTCTCTGTTGCCCAAGCTGGAATGCAGTGGTGCAATCATAGGTCACTGCAGCCTCAAACTCCTGGGCTCAAGAGATCCTCTCACCTCAAGCCTCTTGGGTAACTGTGACTACAGGTGTGTGCCACCATGCCCAGCTAATTTTTATTTTTATTTTTTGTAGAAATGGGGTCCTCTATGTTGCCCAGGCTTGTCTTGAACTCCTGGGCTTAAGTGATCCTACCACCTCAGCCTTCTGAGTAGCTGGGACTATAGACATAAGCCACTGCATCTGGCTAATGATTTTTATTTAGAGATGGGGTCTCGCTAGGTTGCCCAGGCTTGGTCTCCAACTCCTGGCCTCCAGTGACCCACCTGCCTCAGCTTCCAAAAGTGCTGGGATTACAGGCATGAACCACCACACCTAGCCAGCATATTGTGTTATTTTAGATTACAAACTAGAAAAGAAATTTTTCCAGAGTGATGCTTATAAAACCGAATACACTTCAAGGTACAAAAAGTCAGCCAGTAGCATTTTGTATTAATAAGCCCATCTGTGCAAAGATCCCTCTGAGGCAGCCCTCTTCTCCTGGCCGGGTGCCAAAGAAGCGTTGGAGGTGAGTGTTTCTTGACATTGGCTTTATTCCACATGGTGAAATGAAGACATTAACCAGGAGGTTTCCACCTCCATTCTGCTGTTTTCATTCCTATGTATGGCTCAGGAAAACACAGCCACATGCTGCATACAATATACACTATAAAGGAAAGAAACTAGATGACAGATTTTCTTAAGTAAGGTACAATATGAAAATATCTAGATATTTCAAGAGCATTCTAGCTGTAGGTGTTAGATTTATCTGAACTTTTTTTTTTTTTTTTTTTTTTTTTTTTTTTTTTTTTTTGAGACAGAGTCTCGCTCTGTCGCCCAGGCTGGAGTGCAGTGGCGCGATCTCGGCCCACGCAAGCTCCGCCTCCCAGGTTCACGCCATTCTCCTGCCTCAGCCTCCCAAGTAGCTGGGACAACAGGAGCCCGCCACCACGCCCTGCTAATTTTTTTTGTATTTTTAGTAGAGACGGGGTTTCACCGTGTTAGCCAGGATGGTCTTGATCTCCTGACCTCGTGATCCGCCCGCCTCGACCTCCCAAAGTGCTGGGATTACAGGCGTGAGCCACCGCGCTCGGCCTATCTGAACTTTTAAGTCAACAGAATTTGGAAAGCAGTTTTGACAACACGGCAGACTGAGCTAAGATGACCACTTCCCAGTGGTGTGCTGGTAAATGTTTAACAACCAGCTCTTCCAAAATAATGCCATATATTTGTGTGTGTGTGTGTGTGTGTGTGTGTATCATACATTTTATTGATATAAAGGATGTATATAACATACAATTTACAAATAATAATTAAATACATAATCTTTTTTATTGTAAATTCTGTATAGCCAATTGATTCTCACAGAATATTTTTGTTGAGTTTTGCAGAACATTTACTGTAGCCAACCTATGGTTGCAATTTAACCATAATTTGACAAATAGAGCTGCATCGTAATCTGTTAACTCTCTTCCCAATAAGTTTATTGTTATAAAATCTGATATGTGATCTACTGTTAAACTATTTCTTATGCTTATGTAAATTATATTCATTAAGCTGAAACCTCTTTAAGCTTCAGCACTAGATATGACCTACTTTTAACTTTAATCTGAATTATTAACATTTTCTCATCACTTTCTTAATTCTAGACCAGGGTTGACAAACTATGGCCAGTGGGCCAAATCAGGCTCACAGACTGTTTTGCAAATAAAGTTTTATTGGCAAACAGCTGCACCCATTTATTTACCAATGGTTTGTGGCGGCTTTTGCACTACAAGGGCAGAGTTGAGTAGTTATAACAGAAACTGTATGGACCACAAAGCCTAAAATATTTACTATCTGGCTCTTTACAGAATAAATTTGTCGACCCTTAATCTAGTTGATCACCAAAACAACAAATCAAGCCCTGATCCACTGTGTTAGTAGGAAATACTCTCATCGTGGCCAATTTCAAGTTACCGGTGTGAACTCCAGTCAGGGAGAGGTGCTCAGTAGAACACCATTACACACACAGACACAGAACATGCTAATAACCTTCAGAGCAGAGAGAACAGAAAAATGTAGTACAAAAATTTGGAGTGACAAGTTTTGAGTTCTTTTTACCTTTGTTATTATGATAATTTATTGATTTTTGAGTTTATACAATTTAATTTTTAATAATGGCTATGTTCAGCAACTGCCTCCTTGTGGGGACAAAAGTGACTCCATCTTGGATGCTAATCTGCCATCTTGACTTCTGATTAGCCCAGTCCTGTGAATGACTCCTGATTCCTACTTTATTTACTGTCCATAGCATAGGAACATGCAACCTTGATGTTATCACACAAATTATAGGCTGTGATGCACAGAACATTCTTGCCTGTTCCAAAGGATTGCCTTTAATTGTCTCACTGGAGCACGCATACCCTTTCCCTATAGTACATAAGCCCTCAGTGTGGGGAGGAACAGTGTGGAAATCCACCTGTCTTGTGGCCACCCAAGCCCACGCTTCTGTCTGTAAGTTCCCCAATAAAACAAACTGAATTTGTCTGCCTTGTTCTTTGGTTTCTTGGCTCCGTCAGCATTTGAGGACCACTTTGCAAATGCAGCCCTTTCATCGAACACTGACAACATTCCTAAATATTTAACAGTTGGTTCTTGTGAACTGATACTGGCCAATCCCAGTACACCACCGCCACCTCCCAGATAAAAAAATCCACAGCAATGCTGGTTAAACGATAACATGAATTCATAACATTCATTTCTGAGCTTGAAGGAAATAAGATGTGTGACACTGTGATATAATAACAAACACATATTTCGTCTTTGTAATATGGTTCCTGGCTCAGAGCCCCTAAAACCCCTGTAATTCCCTGAGCATTAGTGGTGACAGCAGTGTGTTTTGTCACTTCTCATAAGCCCCCTTTCAACCACACCTTATTATGCTGATCAGGTGACTCTCACTGGGGCCCTAGATAGCTTCTGGATGGGGCCTGGTGTCAGAGGAACCAACCACAGGATTAGAAGGTTGGAACTTTCAGCTGGACAGGAGGGGAGAGGGACTGAAGATTGAGTCCATCACCAGTGGCTGATGATTTAATCAATCATGTCTATGTAATAAGTGGAACCTCCAATAAAAACCCCTACATAGAGGGGTTCACAGAGTTTCTGGGTTGGTCAATACATGCACGTGCCAGGAGAGTGATGCACCCAATACATGCACGTGCCAGGAGAGTGATGCACCCCAACTCCACAGGTGAAGTTACAGACCGGGAGAAGATATTTGCAATTTGTGTAACTAGTGAAACATTTGACTCCAGAAAAATTTTAAATCCTGCAATTCAATAAAAAAAAGAACAAATAAATTAATGATTAACAGAAGAGAAAATGTGTATGGCTATTAAAAAATGAAAAATACGCAGGGTGCAGTAGCTCACACCTATAATCCCAGCACTTTTGAAGACTGAGGCAGGCAGATTGTTTGAGCCTAGGAGTTTGCAACCAGCTAGGGCAACATAGTGAGACCCTCTTCTCTAAAAAAATACAAAAAATAGCCAGACCTGGTAGCAGGTGCCTGTAATCTCAGCTGCCCAGGAGGCTGAGATGAGAGAGTTACAGGAAAGGGGTCCTGATCCAGACCCCAAGTGAGGGTTCCTAGATGTCACGCAAGAAAGAATTCAGGGTGAGTCCATAGAGTAAAGTGAAAGCAAGTTTATTAGTAAAGTAAAGGAATCAAAGAATGGCTACTCCATAGACAGAGCAGCCCTGAGGGCTGCTGGTTGCCCATTTTGTGATTATTTCTTGGTGATATGCTAAACAAGGAGTGGATTATTCATACCTCCCCTTTTTAGACCATATAGGGTAAGTTCCTGACATTGCCATGGCATTTGTAAACTGTCATGGCGCTGGTGAATGTGTAGCAGTGAAGACGACCAGAGGTCACTCTCGTGGCCATCTTAGTTTTGGTGGGTTTTAGGCGGCTTCTTTACTGCAAAATTTTATCAGCAAGGTCTTTATGACCTGTATCTTGTGCCAACCTCCCATCTCATTCTGTGACTAGATATGCCTTAACCCTCTGGGAATGCAGCCCAGTAGGTCTCAGCCTCATTTTACCCAGTTCCTATTCAAGACAGAGTTGCTCTGGTTCAAACGCCTCTGACAGGAGGATCACATGAGCTTGGGGAGTCGAGGCTGCAGTGATCCTAGATAGCACTACTGCATTTTAGCCAGGGGGGACAGAGTGAGACCCTGTCTCAAATTAAAAAAAAAAAAAAAAGGAAAAAATGAAAAATATGTTCTACCTCATTAGTAATCAAGGAAACGCAAATCAGCATAACCATGAGATGGCATTTCATCCCTATCGAACTGGCAAAAATGTTAAAAACCTAAAACCAAGCACAGTATTGGCAAGGATGTGGGTAAATGTGGAGCCTCATTGAGCTCTGGCGGGAATATAAATGGCACCATCACGTGGGAGAGCAATTTGTCATCTAAACAGCAAACATGGAAAATGGAAAGTGCTAATCAGTAGGAAACTGGTTAAATAAATCGTGGTGATATTCATATATTGGAATGTCATACAAATGAACAAAGTAGATGTACATGTATCAATATAGATAGATTTGAAAATACTGCAAAATAGGTATAAAAGGCACATGATGGATATATATAAACTATATATGTGTTTATAAAAACACTGAACAACAGTATATATTTTGAATTTATAAAACCATTGGTAAAAGGCACATACCAGTTTCAGGATCATCACTTCTGGATAGAAAGGAAGGGAAGGAGATAAATGGGTTGAAAGTGAGGACTTCAACTGTATCTATAAAGATTTAGATTGATTGAAAAATGTTAAAATGTGTTCAATGTTGGAGGTCGAAACATGGGCATCTGTGTTTTGTTTCTGTTTTTGTTTTTTAGTGCTTTTTTGTGTGTGTTTGAAGTCTTTTTTTTTTTTTTTTTAAGAGTGTCTAGGAAGTGGTCAGGGCTAATTCCAACCACTTCATAAATTGTAGGAAATTGGAACTAGAAGACCCTTCAGCTCCATCTATTCAGCTCCCTTATCTTAGAAGACAGAAAACAGTAGGGCTAATGTTTATGTTTATCTATCATCTGTCTGTCTATCTATCTATCATCTATCTATCTATCATCTATCTATCTATCTATCTATCTATCTATCTATCTATCTATCTATCTGTCTATCTATCTATCTAATGCAATTTATAGATGGAAAATTTCCTGATTATTTTCTGGCATATATTTTGCACATAGTAGGCAGTCATTCAAATACTTGTGAAATGGAGGCTGGGCGGGGTGGCTCATGCCTGTAACCCTAGCACTTTGGGAGGCCAAGAGAGGCAGATAACATGAGTCCAGGAGTTCAAGTCCAGCCTGGGCAACATAGCGAGACCTTGTCTATATAAAAAATACAAAAATTAGCCGGGTGTGGTGGCATGCACTTGTGGTCCCAGCTACTCAGGAGGCTAAGGTGGGAGGATTGCTTGAGTCTGGGAGGTGGAGGTTGCAGTGAGCTGAGATCCTGCCACTGCATTCCATCCTGGGTGACACAATGAAACCCTTTCTCAAAAAAACAAAAACAAACTTGTATAATGGATAGGCACCCCCAAAAGTGTCCACGTGCTGCCTATTGCATTCATTTGCTCATCACTTACCTTGCAGGTGCATAGACTGAGGCCTGTGGCTTCAAATCATGTCACTGCTCTGATGCCTACGTCTACTCTGAACTAGTGGTTTTTAAATTAGAGTGTCATCTGCGAACTTAATAAAACTGCAATTTCTTTGGTTTTAATGCCAAAGACACTGATTTGGTGGATGGAGGTGGGGTGGATGGAGGTGGGGTGGAGGGAAGTGGGGGAGGTGGGCTGATTTGGGAGGTGGCGATGGAGTTATTTTAATGTGCACTTCAGATGTTGCTAATGTGCTGGCCTGCAGACTGCGCTCTGAGAACAGCAGCTCCAGCGTCTTGGCCACCTTCACTAAATACTTGCCTTGGTTTCCTCTTCTTTAAAAAAAAAAAGAAAAGAAAAGAAACCAGGGGAAAAAGGAGGCCTGGCTTACTGCTGGTGAACATGAAACCTCAGAAACCAGGGCAAGGCTCATCACCCAGCTTCGTGGAAAAAAATACCAGCCTAGTCGCCAAAATGAAAGTAGATTACCTCTGTGGCTAAAAACGGAAGCGGCAAGTTTCCACTGCAAGTGCCAGGGTTGGTAGAGAAATGGTAAGGCAGTGCTTAAGAAAAAGGAGTCCAGTCTTTCTCCCCCCTACCACCCCACCTCCCATCTTGATGGGCAGAGGGAGAAAAACAGGAGGAATCCAGCTGAGAAAGTCCCTGATTTATTAACAACTGTGTACTGATGACTAATCACTTACTAATGTTTGCAAAGTGCTTGGAGCCTTTCTATAAAAAGGGGACAAAATGTGGGCAACATATTCATAGTTATGACATCAAAGAAGAGGCCCAGCAGGAACATGAAGATGGCCGCTGACATGCCACATGCAGAACTTGCTAGCAGGACAGACAGACAGGACAGACTGGTGGCCAGAACTTTGGAATGGCATAATTAAACATTGTGCCACCCTGCCTCCCTCCCCTGCTCCATTCACGTTCCCTTCCCAAAGCCCCAGAGTCTGTAACAGCCAACAGGTCCAGTGTTGTCTTGCTGAACAGCAATGAGAGCTGCGGACCCTCAGGATGAGCACCATGGGCGGCCGTCACCTCTGCAGCCACCCAGAGTGACACCTGATAAGTCTTAAGGGTGCAGTCAAAATGGCCCATTGCCTTTCCCCCTCCTGGGAAGCCAGGGCACAGGCACCGACCCTAGTGAAGCAGAGTCAGGGATGAGAGGAGGAGGCTGTTTTTCAGGCAGTGACAACGATGGCAGCAGGCAGTGATGACGTCCAGAGTCTGGTGTGCACAGGTTCTAGGGTATGGTTTTGGTTGGGGCTGACCTCAGGGCTCCCTTTAGTCCCGCAGTTTTTCAGTCTTCCCAGTGGCCCTGTGAGCTACCCAGTACTCTTTCAGTCCATTTTTTCTACTTGTAACACCCAGAGCTTGGTGTCCATTGCTTATATCTACGAGCCCCAGCTGACTCACCAACGCCTCAGAGGAGGGAAGAGTTCCAGGCAAAGCAAACTACCCAGTTAAAAAAAAATCCTCACAGTTTCAGAGACGATAACGTCAGGAGCTTCAAAGCCTCGTTTGTTATTGTGGTGAATGGGCATCAGAGCTCTCTATACTTTTAAGAAGTGGCACACGCCTTTTGGCACAGCATTTCCCGGTCTATGACTTTATCTCCAGAGACACTCCCACAAGGACTATGCTAGCTGTTGGGCATGACTGCAAGTGAGATGGTGGCACCATTTTCTGAGGACCGATGGAGGGAACCAGTTGGGTGGTGGGGAGGGGGTTGGGGAGATCAAGGGTGACATTTAGGAAATGTTAAATTTCAGATGCCCCTGAAATACCTAAAGAAGTCACCAAGGAAGGATACGGAGGGCTTAAGAGTCTAGATTCAAATGAAAAAATAAATTTGGAATTCATCAGCAAATGGATGGTGTTTAAAGCTAAGAATGAAAAATACATCGACAGAGAAGAATAAGAGGTTGTATCTAGAGGTCAGGGAGAGGGCGACCTAGTGAGGAAGGTTGATTAGAAGTGTCTGGTGGGATAAGAGAAAAATCTATTTGCTGTATCATGGGCAATGAGAGAGGAGAGGGGTCTAAGAAGAGGGGGTGGGCAGTTGTGTTTCACCTTACAGCCTTCTCCTCTGTCAATTTCTTTCTTCTAGGTGTTTTTATAATAGACAAAGTTGGGTTTGACAGCATGGAGCTTATCGATGCCCTTGACACAGAGGTCACTGACACCCTTGACAAAAGGAGTTTCGGGGGAGTGGAGAAGCCAGAAGCCAGACTGGAGGAGACTGAAGAGTAGGTGAAGAAGCAGAAGGAAGGATGGGTGAAGCCAAGATGTTAGTGTGCAGACCGCTTGTGGGAGAAGTTTTGCTATGAAACAGGATGGGGAAAGGGAGGGAACACTGAGAGTCTGTCGAGCCACAGAAAGACTTCTTCTAATGAGAGATTCCAGCACGTCTTTGTGTGTGAGTGGAAATGATTCAGTGGAGAGAAGATCGAGGGTGCAGGAGGAGATAACTGGAGGAAGGAAGTCCTCCTTCATTCAACCAACACCAAGAGCTTCCCATGCCAGGCATCGTTTGGGTGTGAGCCACAGAGCACCAAGTGGCCTGGGCAAGGCTGCCTCTCTCAAGAGCGCCTGTGCTGGAGTGAGTTCAGGTCGGGGAGCAGGGTGCTTGGGGTGTGACAAGACAGATGTAGCTGTGAGTCTACCTGTGCATTTGGAGATGAGAAGAGAATTGCGCTCCCCTCTGATATGTGTATTTACTCAGCTCCATGTGGGGCAGGTCATGCATTCACCATGGGAGATGTGAAGAGAGAGATGCTGCCGGGGAAAGTCAACTCACAATGGAAATGGACAGAGTAGCTAAGCAGTGCCCATTAGAGGTTTGTGGCCATGAACTTAAAGTGAAACCAGTCAGCCCGACAGTGTGACTTTTCCTGTTGTGGTCAGCTGTGCATCCAAGTCAATACTAGAATCAGCCAAGGTTGAGGTTTTGCAGGATAAGTATGACTTAGAGAAGAGAGAAGCAAGGGGTTGAGGAATTCTGCCAGGGAGAGGTTGTAATGAGGCAACTTGCAGTCTGAGCTGAGTAAGGAGGGCAACAATGAGGGAAGGAATGACAGAAAACGCACAGGCAGGGACGTCAGTGAATGAGAGCCCTTGGGCTAGAGTCCTAGAGCACAAGAGAGCTGGGAGGATGTCTGAGATCGATAATTTAAAGGTGGCTGAGATGCTTGTTATGACAAGGTCTACGGTGTGACCATGAGACTAGAGTGGCTCAGGTGGGAAACAGGATAAGGCACTGAGTTCAGTTGAATGGTGGGCTCCAAAAAGATATGTCAGTGTCCTGGAACTTGCGACCCTGTGACTATAATTTTATTTGGAAAAAGAGTCTTGGCAGATATAATTCAATTAAAGATCAATGGATGAGATCATCCTGGATTAGCCATGTGGGCCCTAAATCCAGTAAGTGTCCTTGTAATAGAAAGAAGGGGAGACAGACACACAGACACAGGAGAAGACCAAGTGAAGAGATTGGAGTTACACAGTCACAGGCCAAGGAACCACCAGAAGCTGGAAGAGGCCAGGAAGAGTTCGCCCAAAGCCTCCAGAGGCACTGTGGCCCTGTCCATGCCTTGATTTTGGATTTCCAGCCTCTAGATCTGTGAGATAATCAATTTCTGTTATGCTAAGCCACCGATTTGAAGCAATTTGTTTCAGCGGCCCTAGGGAACTGCTACTGAGACTTAGAAGCTCTAGTGTTGGTCAGCTCCTCCATACGGATGTAAAAATCAGAGGAAATGTGGAGGAGAAGGTAGTGAGGCAGAACTAGAGTTTTTAATGAATGGGATAATCAGAGGTTGGTAAGGACCATCATGAGGAAAGGCAGGATGTGGTGGAGCTGAATGGCACAGCTTCACATAAGCTGTGGGTTCTAGAGAAAAAAGAGAGAGATGTAATTTGGAAATGGCAGTAGGGGTGGGGGCTCCAAGGTGACCAGAGTCCCAGGGAACAGTTGGCCTTCAGTCCACACAGACACCAGGGCCAAGCAAGGAAGGGGCCGAAGAGGTGGGAGCATGCGGACCACAGCAGGGCTGGGTGTGGTGAGAAGGGGCTATGCTCCACGGGGTGGGGGCATGGAGAGAGCAGAGCGGAGCAGGGTGTGGGGACAGCTGGATGGAAGCTATAGGACCTCTCCTGGGACCCCGCCAGTAGGCACGTGAGGCCTGCTGCACCCAGTTCTTCTGTCCTGAGAGGGCTGCGGGCCATGTGCAGGAGCTGTGCTTCCTGGCACTAAGCTTGATTGTTGGCCTTTGAAGACTGCTCCCTCTGACAGCTGATGACGCCTTTTGGGCCACCACAGGCTTTCCCGGCACACCTGCATGCGGGTGCCTCGGGACTGCTCCAGCTCACAGCTGTCTTTACAGCTTCCAATACTGCCCTAAGGGCAGAGCTAAACTAAAGCTTTGGAGCTCGTTTGTCTAGATTGATGCCCAGATTATATCTCAGGATTTATATTAATGCATGTCTAACAATAAGCAATCTGTTAAATAAATTACAATACATTCATATGATGGGAGGCTATGCGACCATTACAAATTATGCGGTTGAAAACCACGGGAAAATGCTCACAACAGATAGTGTCTTGGTTTGTTTGGGCAGCTGCCATGACACCGTGCCATAAACATGGGGGCTTATAAACAAATTTATTTTTCACAGTTTTGGAAGGGGTGGGGGCCAAGATCAAGGTGTCGGCTGATTCAGTGTCTAGTGAGGACCTTTTTCCTGGTTCACAGGTGACACCTTCTCCCTGTGTCCTCACCTGGTAGAAGGGGCCAGGGGTTCTCCAGGGCCTCCTCTCGAGGGACACTAAACCCATGCTTGAGAGCTCTGCCCTCATGACCTAATCACCGCCCAGTAGCACCCACTCCTAATACCACCACCTTGGGGGTTAGGTTTCAACATATGAATGTGGCGGGGACGCAAACATTCTGACTATAGCAGGTAGTTAAGTGCAAAAATCCTACCAGATGATCCCAACCCAGCTAACTAATGAACAAACGTTTATCCACAGGCATACAGACACCTGGAAATAGACTATACATGAAAAGAACAACAGTCCTGTGTGGATACGAGTAAGGGAAATCTGTATGTTCCTCCTACTTTACTGTATTTTCCAAAAGGATGATGAATGTCTGTCACTTTCATGATCTGAAGAAAAAAAGGAAGAAAATTGGTCCTAACGCACTTCTCAAATACTTGTTTCCCCTCTCTCTGATAGGAGTATTTGGAGAGATTCTCATGGTTGCCTCTGGCTCCCAGTAGGTGTGAGACCCCATTCCCCTCCAGCTCAGCCTTCTCATCTCCCAGCTCCCTTCCCACTCCTGCGCTCTGCCCTGCTCAAGGCAGGTGCCTCTCCAATGTGAGCCCTAACTGTCCCTGCAACACCGAATCCAAGGATCTGGGCTTGGAATGACTGTGTGCTCATCTGGCCCAACCTGGGTCAGTGAATCATTTCTACAATGTCCTAGACGAGTGACCTCCTGGACAAGGTCTGTTGCCTTTTGGGTGTGACACCCACCACGTGTGCAGCTTTTTTTTTTTTTCTTCTAAGACTTCCGGCCTTCACCTGGTGCCTTTAAGGGTGTCCAGGGCACTCTGCCATCATTCCTCTGGCTGCTCCTCAGTGGGTGGCGCAGTGACCCACTGGGCCCTCCCTTCCTTCCCAGCACCCTCCACTCCTCTCCAGCTCCCCCATCTCCTCTTGATCCCTGGCCTCAGATGCCCTTTCTGGCACTTCCCCTGTTCTTGGGTCTCAGCCGGTATTAACTTGTCTTGCTCCCTTGGGTTCATCCTTAGTGTCCGGTTCCTTCTGCTCCATCCTACCCCCCACAGGATGCCCCAGCCTCTCTTGGACTCTTTGGGACTGTCTATTTCACCTCCTCCCTGATTGGTCTTTGGAATCAGAGAGATGACCAGGGAAGATTTGGAGAGAAAACTTCTTTTTTTGTGGGGGGACGGAGTCTCGCTCTGTCGCCCAGGCTGGAGTGCAGTGACGCAGTTTCGGCTCACTGCAAGCTACACCTCCCGGGTTCACGCCATTCTCCTGCCTCAGCCTCCCGTGTAGCTGGGACTACAGGCACCTGCCACCACACCCGGCTTATTTTTTGTATTTTTAGTAGAGATGGGGTTTCACCGTGTTAGTCAACTTCTTATGTTGCTCCAGGAATTTGCATTCAGTTCAAACCGACCTACCTTAAAAACTTTTTAAATCTTAATTGGTTTCAAGCCATTTATAAATATGTTTGCATGTTATCTCTGCTTTTTGTAACTTTTATTTTCAGTTCAGGGATATATGCGTAGGTAGTTATGTAGCTAAACTTGTGTCACAGGAGTTTGTTGTACAGATTATTTTGTCACCCAGGTACTAAGAGTAGTACCCAATAGCTGTTTTTTCTGCTCCTCTCCCTTCTCTCACCCTCCACCCTCAAGTAGGCCCCAGTGTCTCTTGTTCCTCTCTTTGGGTCCATGTGTTCTCATCATTTAGCTCCCACTTAGAAGTGAGAACATGTAGTATTTGGTTTTCTGTTCTTGCGTTAGTTTGCTAAGGATAATGGCTTCCAGCTCCATCTATGTTCCTGCAAAGAACATGATCTCATTCTTTGTTATGGCTGCATAGTACGCCACGGTGTATATGTACCGCATTTTCTTTATCCAGCCTGTCATTGATAGACATTTAGGTTGATTCCATGTCTTTGTTATTGTGAGTAGTGCTGCAATGAACATTCATGTGCAGGTGTCTTTATGGTAGAATGATTTATATTCCTCTGGGTGTATACCCAGGAATGAGATTGTTGATTGAACAGTAGTTCTATTTTTAGCTTTCTGAGGAATCACCACACTGCTTTACACAATGGCTGAACTGATTTACATTCCCACCAACAATGTGTAAGTATTCCCTTTTCTCTGCAACCTTGCCAGCATGTGTTATTTTTTGACCTTTTAATAATAGCCACTCTGACATGTAAGATGGCATCTTATTGTGGTCTTGATTTGCATTTCTCTAATGATCAGTGATGTTGAACTTTGTTTTATATGCTTGTTGGCCACATGTATGTCTTCTTTTGAAAAGTGTCATGTCCTTTGCCCACTTTTTTTCTCTCTCTCTCTCTTTTTTTTTTTTTTTGACAGTCTCACTCTGTTGCCCAGGCTGGAGTGCAGTGGTGTGATCTTGGCTCACTGCAACCTTCACCTCCCAGGTTCAAGAGATTCTCATGCCTCAGCCTCCCAAGTAGCTAGCATTACAGGTGTGTGCCTCCACACCTGGCTAATTTTTGTTTTGTGTGTGTTTGTGTGTGTGTGTGTGTGTGTGTGTGTGTGTGTGTTTTTAGTAGAGATGGGGTTTCACCATGTTGACCAGGCTGGTCTCGAACTGGCCTTAAGTGATTTACCTGGCCTCCCAAAGTGCTGGGATTACAGGCATGAGCCACTGTGCCCAGCCTCTTTTGCCTACTTTTTAATGGCTTTTTTCTTGTAAGTTTAAGTTCCCTATAGATGCTGGATATTAGACTTTTGTCAGATACATAGTTTGCAAATATTTTCTCCCATTCTGTAGGTTGTCTGTTTACTCTGTTGATAATTCCTTTTGCTGTATAGAAGCTCTTAAGTTTAATTAGAGCCCATTTGTCAATTTTTGCTTTTGTTGCGATTGCTTTCGGCCTCTTCGTCATGAAGTCTTTGCCCATTCCTATTTGCAGAATGGTATTGCCTAGGTTGTCTTCTAGGGTTTTTAAGTTTTGGGTTTTACATTTAAGCCTTTTATCCATCTTGAGTTGATTTTTGTATATGGTGTAAGAAATCTTCAGCATATGTCTAGCCAGTTATCCCAGCACCTTTTATTGAATAAGGAGTACTTTCCCCATTGCTTGTTTTTGTAAGCTTTGCAAAGATCAGATACTTGTAGGTATGTGGCCTTATTTCTGGGCTCTATATTCTATCCCACTGATCTATGTGTCTGCTTTTATACCTGTACCATGCTGTTTTGGTTACTCATCCATGTAGTACAGTTTGAAGACAAGCAGCGTGATGCCTCCAGCTTTGTTCCCTTTGCTTGGGATTGCCTTGGCTATTTGGGCTCTTTTTTGGTTTCACATGAATTTTAAAATAGTTTTTTTCTAGTTCTGTGAAGAATGTTGTTGATAGTTTGATGGGAATAGCATTGAATCTGTAAATTGCTTTGGGCAGTATGGCCATTTTAATGATATTGATTCTCCCTGTCCATGAGCATGGAATGTTTTCCATTTGCTTGTGTCATCTCTGATTTCTCTGAGTGGTGTTTTGTAATTCTCATTGTAGAGATCTTTCACCTCCCTGGTTAGCTGTATTCCCGGGTATTTTATTCTTTCTGTGGCAATTGTGAATGGGATAGTGTTCCTGATTTGGCTCTTGCCTTGACTGTTGTTGTGTATAGGAATGTTAGTAATTTTTGCATATTGATTTTGTATCCTGAAACTTTGCTGAAGTTGTTTATCAGCTTAAGAAGCTTTGGGGAATGCTCGGACATCCAGGATCATCATGGCAGTGAGAGGGAGGACTAGATTGCAGCTTTGACTTGGATGGACGGAGCAGCATGAGGAGGCTCACATTGTGAATTTTAGCTCCAGAAGAACTGCAGGAATAAACCAGGAATCTTGAGAGGACCCACAGATCCTCTGAAGGAAGCAGACTGCTCCTGCAGGACCCAGGAGACACTCTAAATACTGCGAATGCCCACACTGTGGAAGTGGGAAAGAGACACCCTCCTTTCCCGAACACACACCCCCACTCAGGAAACTGAAGGTCTAGTTTGCAGGAGAAGATTCTGACCTTACCTGGAGCCGAGTCAATTTAGAGAGCCGAGTGAAATACAGGGGTGGAGGAAGCAGTGGGAAAGGCCCTGGGAGCTCGCTGGGTCCCAAGCAGGCCATTCCTGCCTGGCACCACAGGGATCCTTTGGGAGGATGGCCAGCAGTGCAGGGAAAATGCCACAGGGAGAAGGAAGTCTCCAGCTGAACTTTGTAACCTGTTGAGAAGCCTCCTGGCCAGAACTCGGGGGAGGGCACGAATCTGGTGTGCAGACCTGGGGATGGGGGGCGGGGGGACCTAAATAAAGCCTTTTTCTTTTGCAGCCGGGAGGCGTGTAGCCTGAGGCAAGTTCTCAGTTCTGCTTGCCCACTGCCCACTGCCCACTGCCCACTGCCTGGAAACAGACTTGTGCTGCTGGTGGGGACATGATGGAAGTGAGACTGGCCCTTTGGATTGTGTGGGAGCTGGGTGAGGCCTGTGACTGCTGGCTTTTTCCACTTCCCTGATAACCTGTAGGACTCAGCAGAGGCAGCCATAATCCTCCTAAGTTCACAACTCCATTGACCTGGGTACCTCACCCTCATCCCCTACAGCTGCTGCAGCAAGACCTGCCCAAGGAGAGACTGAGCTCAGACTTGCCTAGCCCTGCCCCCACCTGATGGTCCCGCCCTGGTAGCTGAAGACAAAGGGCATATACTCTTGGGAGTTCCAGGACTCTGCCTACTGCTGAGCCCTCACCACACTACCATGCAGATGCTCTCTGGAAAGCACCATCTCCCAGCAGGAGGCCAACCAGCACAAAAATAAAGTATTAAACCACCAAAGCTAAGAACCCTCGCAGAGTCCATTTCACTCCCCTGCCACCTCCACCAGAACAGGTGCTGGTATCCATGGCTGAGAGACCCATAGATGGTTCACATCACAGGAATCTGTGCAGACAAATGCCAGTACCAGCCCAGAGCCTCGTAGACTTGCTCGGTAGCTAGACTCAGAAGAGAAATAACTATCACTACAGCTCAGCTCTCAGGAAGCCACATCCATAGGAAAATGGGGAGAATACTACACATCAAGAGAACACCCCATGGGACAAAAGAAGCTGAACAACAGCCTTCAGCCCTAGACCTTCCCTCTGACAGAGCCAACCCAAAAGAAGCTGAACAACAGCCTTCAGCCCTAGACCTTCCCTCTGACAGAGCCAACCCAAATGAGAAGAAACCAGAAAACCAACTTCGGCAATATGGCAAAACAAGCTCTTTAACACCCCTAAAAAAATCACACTAGCTCACCAGCAATGTATCCAAACCAAGAAGAAATCCCTGATTTACCTGAAAAAGAATTCAAGAGGTTATCAAGCTAAACAGGGAGGCAAAGCCCAGTGGAAGGAAATCAAAAAAATGATACAAGAAGTGAAGGGAGAAATATTGAAGCAAATACATAGCATAAAAAAAAACAATCAAAACTTCAGTAAACATTGGACACACTTGTAGAAATGCAAAATGTACTGGAAGTCTCAGCAATAGAATTGAACAAGTAGAAGAAAGAAATTCAGAGCTTGAAGACAAGGTCTTTGAATTAACCCAATCCAACAAAGACAAAGAAAAGAGGATAAGAAAATATGAACAAAGCCTCCAAGAAGTCTGGGTTTATGTTAAATGACCAAGCCTAAGAATAATCAGTGTTCCTGAGGAAGAACAGAAACCTAAAAGTTTGAGAAACATATTTTGGGGGAAAAATGGAGTAAAACTTCCCTGGCCTTGCTAGATACCTAGACATCCAAATACAAGAAGCACAAAGAACACCTGGGAAATTCATCGCAAAAAGATTATTGCCTAGGCTTAAGAGCTGTGAGACCAAAGTACCAGGTAACATATAAAGGAAAACCTATCAGATTAACAGCAGATTTCTCAGCAGAAATCCTACAAGCTAAAAGAGATTGGGGCCCTATCTTCAGCCTCGTCAAACAAAACAGTTATCAGCCAAGAATTTTGTATCCAGCAAAACTAAGCATTACATAGGAAGGAAAGATACAGTCTTTTTCAGACAAACAAATGCTGAGAGAATTTGACACTACCAAGCCACCACTACAAGAACTGCTAAAAGGAGCTCTAAATCTTGAAACAAATCTTGGAAACACATCAAAACAGGACCTCTTTAAAGCATACATCTCACAGGACCTATAAAACAAAATACAATTTAAAAAGCAAAAGGTACACAGGCAACAAATAGTATGATGAATGGAATGGTACCTCACATCTCAATGCTAACATTGATGTAAATGGCCTAAATGCTCCACTTAAAAGATATAGAATTGCGGAATGGATAAGACTTCACCAACCAACTATCTGCTGCCTTCAAGAGACTCACCTAACAAGTAAGGACTCAGATAAAGTAAAGAGGTGGAAAAAGGCATTTCATGCAAATGGACACCAAAAGCAAGAAGGGGTAGCCATTCTTATGTCAGACAAAACAAACTTGAAAGCAACAGCAGTTAAAAAAGACAAAGAGGGACATTATATAATGGTAAAAGGCCTTGTCCAGCAGGAAAATATCACAATCCTAAACATATATGCAGCTAACACTGGAGCTCCCAAATGTATCAATTACTAATAGACCTAAGAAATGAGATAGACAGCAACATAATAATGGGAGGACTTCAATACTCCACTGACTGCACTAGACAGGTCATCAAGACAGAAAGTCAACAAAAAAATAATGAATTTAAACTATACCTAGGAACAAATGGACTTAACAGATACATATAGAACCTCCCATCCAACAACCACAGAATACACCTTCAATTCAACAGTGCATGGAACTTTCTCCTAGATAAACCATATGATAGGACACAAAATGAGCCTCAATAGATTTGAGAAAATTGAAATTATATCAAGCACTCTCTCAGACCACAGTGGAATAAAACTGGAAATCAACCCCAAAAGGAACCCTCAAAACCATGCAAATACTTGGAAATTAAATAACCTGCTCTGGAATAATCATTGGGTCAAAAACAAAATCAAGATAGAAATTTAAAAATTCTTTGAACTGAATGACAATGGTGATACAACCTATCCAAACCTCTGGGAAACAGCAAAGGTGGTGTTAAGAGGAAAGTTCATGGCCCTAAACACCTACATCAAAAAGTCTGAAAGAACACAAACTGGCAATCTGAGGTCACACCTCAAGGAACTAGAGACACAAGAACAAACCAAACCCAAACCAACCCAGCTGAGGAAAGGAAATAACCAGGATCAGAGCAGAACTAAATGAAATAGAAACAACAACAACACCAAAAAAAAAAAAAAAATTAAAAAACATAAATGAAACAAAAGCTGGTTTTTGAAGAGATAAATAAAATTGATAGACCATTAGCATGATTAACCAAGAAAAGAAGACAGAAAATCCAAAAAACCTCAATAAGAAATAAAACAGGAGATATTACAACTGACACCACTGAAATACAAAAGATTATTCAAGGCTTCTATGAACACCCTTATGCACATAAACTAGAAAACCTAGAAGAGATGGATAAATTCCTGGAAAAATACAATCCTCCTAGCTTAAATCAGGAAGAATTAGATACCCTGAAAAGACCAATAACAAGCAACAAGATTGAAACAGTAATTAAAAAATTACCAACCAAAAAAAGTCCAGGACCAGACGGATTCACAGCAGAATTCTACCAGACATTCAAAGAAGAATTGATACTAATCCTACTAATACTATTCCACAAGATGGAGAAAGAGGGAACCCTCCTTAAGTCATTCTATGAAGCCAGCATCACCCTAATACCAAAACCAGGAAAGGACACAACCAAAAAACTACAGACTGATATCCCTGATGAACATAGATGCTAAAATCCTTAACAAAATACTAGCTAATTGAATCCAAAACATAACAAAAAGATAATCCACTATGATCAAGTGGGTTTCATACTGGGGATGCAGGGATGGTTTAACATACACAAGCTAATAAATGTGATACACCAACTAAACAGAATTAAAAACAAAAATCACATGATCATCTAAATAGATGCAGGAAAAGCATTAGACAAAATCCAGCATCACTTTACGATTAAAACTCTCAGTAAAATTGGCATACAAGGACATACCTTACTGTAATAAAAGCCATCTATGACAAATCTACAGCCAACATAATGGAAAAGTTGAAAACATTCCCCCTCAGAACTGGAACAAGACAAGGATGCTCACTCTCACCACTCCTCTTCAACATAGTACTGAAAGTCCTCGTCAGGGCAATCAGACAAGAGAAAAAAATAAAGGGCATCCAAATTGGTAAAGAAGAAGTCAAACTGTCACTATTTGCTGATGATATGATTGTTTACCTCAAAAACTCTAAAGGCTCCTCCAGAAAGCTCCTAGAACTGATAAAAGAATTGAGCAAAGTTTCTGGATATAAGATTAATGTACACAAATCAGTAGTTCTTCTATACACCAACAACAATCAAGCAGAGAATCAAATCAAGAACTCAACCCCTTTTATAATAGCTGCCAAAAAAGAAAACACTTAGGAATATACCTAACCAAGGAGGCAAAAGATCTCTATAAGGAAAACTACAAAACACTGCTGAAAGAAATCATAGATGACACAAACAAATGGAAACACATCCCATGCTCAGGGATGGGTAGAATCAATATTGTGAAAAAGACCATGCTGCCAAAAGCAATCTACAAATTCAGTGCAATCTCCATGAAAATACCACCATCATTCTTCACAGAATTAGACAAAACAATTCTAAAATTCATATGGAACCAACCAAAGAGCCCACATAGCCAAAGCAAGACTAAGCAAAAAGAACACATCTGGAGGCATCACATTACCTGATTTCAAAGTATACTATAAGGCGTCACCAAAACAGCATGGTACTGGTATAAAAATAGGCACATAGACCAATGGAACAGAATAGAGAACCCAGAAATAAAACCAAATACTTACAGCCAACTGATCTTTGACAAAGCAAACAAAACATGAAGTGAGGGAAGGACACCCTTTTCAACAAATGGTACTGGGATAATTGGCTAGCCATATGTAGGAGAATGAAACTGGATCCTCATCTCTCACCTTATGCAAAAATGAACTCAAGATGGATGAACGACTTAAATCTAAGACCTGAAACTATAAAAATTCTAGAACATTGGAATAACCCTTCTAGACATTGGCTTAGACAAGGATTTCATGACCAACAACCCAAAAGCAAATGCAATAAAAGCAAAGATAAATAGCTGGGACCTAATTAAACTAAAGAGCTTTTGCGCAGCAAAAGAAACAGTCAGCAGAGTAAACAGACAACCGACAGAGTGGGAGAAAATCTTCACAATCTATACGTCTGACAAAAGGCTAATATCCAGAATCTACAATGAACTCAAACAAATCAGTAAGAAAAGAACAAACAATCCTACCAAAAAGTGGGCTGAGGACATGAATAGACAATTCTCAAAAGAAGATACACAAATGGCCAACAAACATATGAAAAAATGCTCAACATTACTAATGATCAGGGAAATGCAAGTCAAAAACCACAATGCGATATCACCTTACCACTGCAAGAATGGCCATAATAAAAAAATCAGAAAACAGTAGATGTTGGTGTTAACTAGTACAGCCACTATGGAAAACAGTGTGGAGATTCCTTAAAAAACTAAAAGTAGAACTACCATTTGATCCAGCAATCCCACTACTGGGTATCTACCCAGAGGAAAAGAAGTCATTACACAAAAATATACTTCATTCATGTTTATAGCAGCACAGTTTGCAATTGTAAAATCGTGGAACCAACCCAAATGCCCATCAATCAACGAGTGGATAAACTGTGATACACACACACACACACACACACACGATGGAATACTACTTAGCCATAAAAAGGAATGGATTAACAGCATTTGCAGTGACCTGGATGAGACTGGAGACTATTATTCTAAGTGAAGCAACTCAGGAATGGAAAACCAAACACCATATGTTCTCACTGACATGTGGGAGCTAAACTATGAGGATGCAAAGGCATAAGAATGATACAATGGACTTTGGGGCTTTGTGGGGAAGGTCGCGAGGAGGGCAAGGGATAAAAGACTATAAATATGGTGCAGTGTATACAGCTTGGGTGATGGGTGCACCAAAATCTCACAAATCACCACTAAAGAACTTACTCATGTAACCAAACACCACCTGTACCCCAATAACCTATGGAAAATTTTTTTTAAAAAAAAGCTTTTGGGCTGAAACAATGGGGTTTTCTAGATACAGGATCATGTCACTGCAAAGAGGGATAGTTTGACTTTCTCCCTGTTTGAATGCCCTTTATTTCTTTCTCTTGCCTGATTGCTGCGGCCAGGGCTTCCAATACTATGTTGAATAGGAGCAGTGAGAGAGGGCATCCTTGTCTTGTGCAGGTTTTCAAGGGGAATGCTTCCAGCTTTTGCTTATTTAGTATGATGTTGACTGTGGGTTTGTCATAGATGGCTTTTATTATTTTGAGGTATGTTCCTTCAATACATAGTTTATTGAGAGTTTTTAACACAAAGGAATGTTGAATTTTATCAAAAGTCTTTTCTGCATTTATTGAGATAATCATGTGGTTTTTGTCTTTAGTTGTGTTTATGTGATGAATCACATTTATTGATTTGTATAAGTTGAACCAACCTTGCATCCCAGGGATAAAGCCTACTTGATTGCGGTGGATTAGGTTTTTAATGTGCTGCTGGATTCAGTTGGCAAGTATTTTGTTGAAGATTTTTACATCTACGTTCATCAAGGATATGTACATCGATGTTCATTAAGGTCTGAAGTTTTCTTTATTTGTTTTGTCTCTGCCAGCTTTTGGTATCAGGATAATGCTGGCCTCATAGAATGAGTTGGGGGAGGAGCCTCTCCTCCTCGATTTTTTGGAATAGTTTCAGTAGGAATGCTGCCAGCTCATCTTTGTACATCTGGTAGAATTTGTCTGTGAATCCATTTGGTTTTGGGCTTTTTTCAGTTAGTAGGCTGTTTATTACTGATTCAATTTCAGGCTCATTATTGGTCTGTACAGTGAATCAATTCCTTCCTGGTTCAGTCTTGGGAATGTCTCTGTGTCCAGAAATTTATCCATCTCTTCTAGGTTTTCTAGTTTGTGTACATAGAGGTGTTTGTCACAGTCTGATCATTGTTTGTATTTCTGTGGGGTCAGTGGTAACATCCCCTTTGTCATTTCTCAATGTATTCATTTGGATCTTCTCTCTTTTCTTCTTTATTAATCTAGCTAGTGGCCTATCTTATTAACTTTTTCAAAAAAACAGCTCGGGTTTGTTAATCTTTTAATGGTTGCTTGTGCCTTGATCTCCTTTGGTTCAGCTTTGATTGTGGTTATTTCTTGTCTTCTGCTAGCTTTGGGGTTGGTTTGCTCTTGATTCTCTAGTTCTTTTAGTTGTGATATTAGGTTGTTAATTTGAGATCTTTTTAACTTTTTGATGTGGCTATTTAATACTATAGATTTCCCTCTTAACACTGTCTTAGCTGTGTCCCAGAGAATCTGGTATGTTGTATCTTTGTTCTCCTTAATTCCAAAGAACTTCTTGATTTCTGCCTTAATTTCATTTCATTATTTACCCAAAAGTCATTCAGGAGCCAGTTGTTTAATTTTCATGAAATTTCATGGAGACCTGTGTAAAAAAGCAGTCTGACCACATTTTTGTAGAACAGCTGTGCTGTGCTGGGGGCCTGCACCAGCCCCAGTTGCCTCAGACTCTCCAAAGCCCGAAGGCAAAAACAGCTAAGGCTGCTAAACAGCTAAGATGGCTGCCACCTCTCTCCCTGGGAGCTCCATCCCAGGGAGATGTAATGTTGTTACCCATGCTGGCTGGAGTTCCAAACTAGTGGGTCTTATCCTGCAAGGTGCAATGGAAGAAGGGTCTGCAGACCATCGCTGCTCAGTCCTCTAGATTCAGCCCCTTTCTTAGGGGTATGTACCAGGTTCTAACCTCCCATTTTACTGGGGTTGCAGTCACTGTTGCCAGGAAGCCCAGATATCTAAAGCTCCTGGGGCTCCACATGTGCCTAGGCAGCTGCTCTCCCAAGACTCCACATAGCTCCACATGTCAGACTGTAGGCCCTGGTGGAGTGGGTTCACAAGGGGATCTTCTGACCTTAGGGTTGCAAAGATCCGTGGGCAAAGGTGGGTCCCTGGGGTTGCTCATTCACTCACCACTTCCCTAGGCAGGGGAGGCTCCCCTGGCTCCATGTTGTTCCTGGCTATGCTGTCATCTTGCCTTGCTTTTCTCAGTTTTCTATGGGTTGAGTTGTTTTCGTGACGAATTCAAATGCATGCACCTGGGTGTTTCATTGAAGGTGCTGTATTTACTCCCCCCATCTATTTCTCCTCATGATAGTGGCATACACACACACTAGTTGCTTCTTTCAGCTATCCTGTGTTTTATCCCCAACTCCCCTTTTGCTTTTGACATAGGGCCTCACTCTGTCAGTCAGGTTGGAGTACAGTGGCACAATCGTGGCTCACTGCTGTCTCAACCTCCTGGGCTCAAGGGATCATCCCAACTCAATGTCCCAAGTAGTTGGGACCACGGGCGTGTGCCACCACACCCTACTTTTTTTTTTTTTGTACAGACAGGTTCTTGCTATGCTGCCCAGCCTGGTCTCAAACTCCTGGGCTAAAGCAATCCTCCTGCCCTGGCCTCCCAAAGTGCTGGGATTACAGGCATGAACCACTGCGCCCAGCCTTGTCTCTGCTTTCTAAGAAGACATTGGTGAGTTTACTGACTAGATCAGAACAGAGCCCAGGTGCAGGTCTCTAGAAAACTCTTGTAAGACCAACACTCACAGAACACAGTAACTGTACCCATCTAATGTCTATGATTCAGTCCACAATTCTCCACATGTTGACAACACCAAGGTTCAAGGCCTTGCTGAAATTGCAGCACAGATACATCAGCACTCCCTGGTCTACCAGGCCAGGCTGCTTCCTCATTCCCTGTGCTGCTGGGTAACTTAGAGCCTTACTCTTCTTGTCTGTAAAATAAAGATGAGGATGACAGCAGGCTCAGAGGCTGCTGTGAGATGATGTATGTAAAGCACTTTGTGGCTCATAATTTAAGAGTGTCACCCAGATGGCGGTGGTTGGAAGTTGAAATCCTACCAAGGCAAGGCTGAGAGTCCGGAATGACCTGTTTGTCATTTGGGTCTCTCCCAATGATCACGACTTTCCATTCTCAGTGCTCACAAATCATCCACTTAATAATCTGTTCTAGAATTTTGCTAGAAATTTATTACAAACTCAATGGCCTATAGCTCATAAAACTCATCCTCTTCCCTCTTTGGAGAACTGAAGTAAAGCACCACACCTTGATCTATAACTGACATGAGAATAATACCCAGATTATATAGAGAACCCCTGTAAATCAAGAGGAAAAAGAGAAACAACCCAATAGAAAAACTGGCAAAGGACGTGAATAAGCAATTCACAGAAGACGAAAACTGAACAGCCCATAAAAATACAAAAACATGCTCAACTTCATTTGTAATCAGGGAAGCATGAATTAAAATCATGGTGAGCAACAATTTCACACCCTTTATGTTAGGAACTCTATAAGTCTGGCAGTTCTGAGCGCTGTGAGGATGTGGAGGAAGGGAACCCTTACACACTGCAGTGGAGTGAGAATTGGGACTTTCTGGCGAACAACAGCAAGTGAAGCTGCAGACCCCACCCCTCAGCGAGACAACGCCCAGGTACACACCTGCGATAAGCTCAAATGTTCCAACAGCGTTGTTTATTAAGAGAAACAGTGCAAACAACTTACATGTTTATCAATTAAAAAATGGATTAAGAAATAATATGTTTATACAATGGAATACTACTTAGCAATTTAAATGAATGAACATGAAAGGGGGTGCAAGGAAAGCTTCTAAGTCCTGGTAACCGGCTGCTTAATTTTTTTAAACAAATAATGTTTCCACGGGTGTAACAACTTTGAAAAATTCCTTAAGCTGCACCTTTAAGATTTGTGAATTTTATTAATGGATATTATGCTCCAATAAAAAAGTGCACAAAAATAAATGAATGTAAAATTCATGTGTCACATAGATCAATCTCAAAACCACAGGGTTCAAAAAACATATGTTTTTGAAGGCATAAATGAGTTACATATGTTGCTGAAGGGATTAAATGAGTTGCATAAAATATAGTACAGCTGAGCATGGTGGCTCACACCTGTAATCCCAGCAGTTTGAGAGGTCGAGGTGGGAGGATCACTTGAGCCCAGAAGTTTGAGAACAGCCTGGGCAACATAATGAGACTCCCGTCTCAACAACAACATTAAAAATTAGCTGGATGTGGTGGTGTGAGCCTGTGGTCCCAGCTACTCAAGAGGTTCAGGTGGGTGGGTGGATTGCTTGAACCCAGGAGTTTGAGACTAGCCTGTGCAACAAGGTGAAACTAGGTACAAAAAATATTAAAATTAGCCAGGTGTGGTGGTGCGTGCTTGTTGTCCCAGAGCTGGGGAGGCTGAGGTGGGAGGATCACTTGAGGCCTGGAGGTTGAGGCTGGAGTGAGCTGTGAGCGTACCACTGCACTCCAGTCTGCTGGGTGATAGACTGAGACCCTGTCTCAAAAAATGTGTGTGTGTGTGTGTGTGTGTGTGTGTGTGTGTGTGTGTAGTACCATTTATATAAAGTTTTAAAACTTGCCCAACTATTTGATATGCCATTTATGAATATACACAGATGTGGCAAAATTGTACAAACAGGCAGGGAGGTGAGGAGGGAGCAACGGAAATGGGTGTAGAAGGGCCACAGGCAACAAATAACTGAAATGTTTACGTCTTAAGCTGGGTGGTGGGTACGCAGGTATGTCATTGTATGATTGTCTGTATTTTTGTATGAATATACTTTATTTAAAGCTTTTTAAAATAAAAAATCAGGACACATCATGTCTCTCTGCAGTCTTCTGCTTCCCTCTGTTTCCCCAGGATTCTCAAAGATGGCCCCTGAAGCTGAGCATTGTCTGCCGTGTTTCTCATGCTGAGCGGAGGTAGTGGCTAAGAACATGAGCTCTGGAGCCAGGCTGCCTGGGTGCAAATCCCAGCTCTGCCATTTGCTAGCTGTGTGACCTTGGGCAAGTGATTTAACCTCTCTGTGCCTCAATGTACTAATCTGTAAAGTGAGGATTATAGCAAGACCTGTTGAATAGGGATGTTGATGGGATTAAATCAGTTGAAATGCCTAAAATGGTGTCTGCCATTTTGTCTACACTAATGTGTCAGCTCTTAGGATGGCCTTGCTAGGCCAGAAGTCTGGACTGTTGCAGAAGCTGAGTGCTACTTCAACGTGAACTTTCCTTTCACTCTTAGCCTGTTCCACCCTCTCCAGCCCTCCTCCTTTTTATTTTTATTTTTCAGAGATGGAGTCTTGCTCTGTCTCCCAGGCTGGTGTGCAATGATGTGATCTCAGCTCACTGTAGCCTCAAACTCCTGGATTCAGGCGATCCTCCCACCTCGGCCTTCTGAGTAGCTAGTACTACAGATGCGTGCCACCATGCCTACATATTTTGTATATGGGGTCTTGCTATGTTGCTCAGGCTTATCTTGAACTCCTGGGCTCAAGCAATCCTCCCATCTCAGTCTCCCAAAGTGCTGAGATGACAGGCATGTGCCACCAGGCCCAGCCTCCAGCCTTCCTCATAATAGAAGGCACAGAAACAAGAAAAAGCAGAGCATTCCCACAGTTCGTTTCCCTCATGGTCCACCCCGAGTGAAAGGCCTAGAGCTTCTTCGCTTGCCTTTCTTCTCTGCCTCACACTCTGGAACCCCACCGCTGTCAACTTAAGGGCTTTACCTCAAGCCTGAGCACACTTGGTGCCTGGACTCCCTGACCTTCTGCTTCAGAAGCCACTCATTGTTTCATTGGGCCCACGTGATGTTTAAAATATTTGAAACAGTTGCCTATGTTTATAAATCAGGAGAGTTCCTATTACAGTCTGGACCTTAGTGTCTCTTGCAAACTGGAAAGATCTGACAACGTCAGGCCCATAGGGCATGTGGCTGAGTGACAGCCCTTGTGAAAGTGAACTCCACAGTCCTCCTTGCTGCCATACCCGGGCACTGCACACAGAGAGCAGGTGTGTCACACGCGAGGCTCCTTGCCATGGTACCAGGGCCTGGAAGGTGCCCAGGCTCTGCTTGCCGAGCAGTGGCCCCAACACGGAGATGCCTGTCTCAGCAGAAGGGCCCCATTGCATCAATGACCCAGAGATGCCATATGGACCTGGGGCAGCTCTGTCTTGTTGCCTGGCCTGCTCTGGGCATCTGAGTTGGCAAGTAGCACTTAAGCTGAAGGTCCCATGGCCTTTTTATTGTGCTGTTCTGTTCTGCCACTCTCCTCCCACCTTTAAAATGTGAGCTCCCTGATGGGCCCTCTGTAAGGTGTATCTATCCTTTAAGGTCCTATGAGGAAGCATCTGAAGGTGACTTTCCTTTGGGGAGAAAATCTCTCATTGAAGTTAAACCTCTCATCCGAAGTTCCCTGAGATGTGAATCATCATCTGGGACACTCCGATGGCACCTGTGCTTTCACTCCTGCCTTCCACACCTGGACAGCCACTCCTACCCCGAGGAGAGCCACCAGGTGTCTGGAGCAGGGGGAGGCTGTGGTGGAGCAAAGGGGACAAGGAAGGAGGGGGCAGGAACAGGGGGCAGCTGACCTTGGTGTCACCTGTGGAAATGGCTGCTCTGAGGCTCTGAGATGTTGGCCGCCTCTGGGATTTCTTCATCATTGCATATGTCTGACCCTCTTCTGTCTTTCTCAGTGAATTGCCAATAAAACACCTTATGCCCAAGGGGTTGGATGCAGATTTGCAGGAGTGGCAGGAAAAAAATTGAGCCTCAGGACTGTCCACCTCAGCCAGGGATTTGGAGGAGAGAGAAACCAAAAGCATAGTGGGTGTAGGTCTGATGAGGACGGGAACAGGACCTTACTCCAGGCCTGCAGGACACCAGGAGGAAGCAGGCCTGATCCAAGAAAGAGAGACCGCAGGGCAGAACCAGCAGGATTCATGTCGGCTTCCAAAGGTGCCCTTTCCCCAACAATAGACCCATTCATATTTCTCTGCTTGGAATTTTATTTCTGAGAAGCTCCCTTTTTTTTTTTCTTGACTCTTCTCTCTTTTAGAATCACAGATCTGGAAACCTGCCATTCTAAATTCAGCAATTTCTAGCCCAAACATCAAAACATCTTGCAGGGCCCCACATGAGGGTTGTGCTATCATTTATTCAGCTGAAGGTATGATTGGGGTTTATATGGAATCAGGTGTCCTGGGAAATAACTCCACACCCATCCCCACTGTCAGGGTCACAGACACTTTACTCCTTTGGCCCAAATTAGATGCAGAGCAGACCTCTCTCCACTGCCTCTGAGAGTCCTTTTACCAAGTCCTCAGTGCTCAGAGGAGCAATGCTTTAACTGAAACTCTGCAAATTGGAGGGAAAAGAGGATCTGGGGACATGATTTCAAGTGGTTCGAGGTGGCATACATACTTAAGTCTCTTTTGCTTCTAAGTTTCAGGTTTAGTGCTTTTTGTACCTCCCATTCAAAAAATGAATTGCAAACCCAGTTATCAGATTTCAGTCAGGCCTGAATACACACTAATGGGCAGCCGTGGGGAGGGAGGCGCAGGCTGAGGAGAGCAGGGGAGGGTGGGAGTGACACACTAGTGAGCAAGTGCGGATGATCTCTACACCCACCCCCAGAGGGTGGCAAAGGGGGAAACTTTAGCTTTCACATATTACTCCTCCTAATTAGGATAAAGTCTGCCTGTTGTTTCAGGAAAAATTAAGGAGAAAAGCTATCTTCTTGATTTTTAAAAATCTGTCAGAATACAGGTGGAAGTACTTATGGTAGAAACATAAAAGGCAATGCAAGTCTGATAATATCCTTTATACTTAATGAATGGACATAAATATGAATGGAAGCACTTCATTCATGTTTCTGCAGCTCTAAATTCCTATGGCTCAGACCCTTTTTCTCCTGTGAAGCTATTCTAGGACAGAAAAGGAATACATTTAAATTCTCTGTCACTGTACCAGAGATATTTCTGGCTCACCAAACAGCCACGTGCCCTCCCCAACTTCCTAGCCCCCTTGCAGTAAGGCAAGGACAATGTGCTGTGAGCACAGTGACAATGTACTGTGTGCTTTTGGACAAAGCACATTGTCTCTCTGCCACAGTGACCAGCAGTGCTCCATCAGCCTGGACTCCTGAGTGACCATATGGAGCAGAGGACTTCTCTACCTCCAACCCGCATTGGCAGGGGCATGAATAAGAAAAAACTACTGTAATGAGTCATTGAAATTTGGAGGTCAATTTGAAATTGTATGACCTTGGGTAAGTAATCTAGCCTATTTAATCTAGCCTATTCTGATAATACAGAAAATTATATTTATCAGTACATATATAGTTATATACAGCACACATATACACTCTCCTTCTATCACCCCCCTGCTTTTCCAAAGTTTAAGAAAACATATACATCTTTCAGGTCCTGTAACTACTTTCTCACAATACTGTCTCTATTGGCTATGACTAGATCTAGTTTTCTTTGTGGGGAAGAAAAAATATCAATGCAGACCGAGGCGAAAGTGTGGAGAGGGAGAATGGAGATGGAATGAAAGCACAGCCAAAGGGCAGGCATTTTGAAAGGATGCCTGAGCATTTTGGGAGTGCTGATTTGCAGGCGTTGACAGTCATGTTGATTCCGAGATCTTTTCAGTGGGAAGCTGGAGTGCAGAAGTAGGTTTTGTAGCGAGACTAGAGAATTAGCAGAAAGGTCTCTGCACCAGCCATCTGCAGACCTGAGTTCCCTGGCTCTATCCTTTCTGTACCATTTACCTTTTAAAGGAGATAATAAGGCTAGACATGGTGGCTCACACCTGTAATCCCAGCACTTTGGGAGGCCGAGGTGGGCAGATCACCTGAGGTCAGGAGTTTGAGACCAGCCTGGCCAACATGGTGTAAACCTTGTCTCTACTAAAAATACAAAAATTAGCCAGGCATGGTGGTGGGCACCTGTAATCCCAGCTACTCAGGAGGCTAAGGCAGGAGAATCACTTGAACCCAGGAGGCAGAGGTTGTGGTGAGCTGAGATCACATCACTGCACTCCAGCCTGGGCAACAGAGCATTACTCCATCTCAAAAAATAAATAAATAAATAAATAAATAAATAAAAGGAGATAATAAAATCCAACACTTCCACAGTGATTTCAATAGGCCTGACTCAATTCAAAGCTTTTTATGTACCTTGGCTCATTTGAGCCTCCCCACAACCCTTTGAAGTTGGCACTATTATTAACAGTTGAAGTAGACTTAAGTAACTGTCTCCAAAAAGATCAGATCCAAATTCCTAGAACGTGTCAAATGTGACCTTATATGGAAAAAGGATCTTTGCAGGTGTGATTAAGTTAAAAATCTTGAGGTGGGGGTGTCACCCTGAGTTATCCAGGTGGGCCCTAAATGCCATCAAGAGGATCCTTATAAGAGAAATGTGGGGCATTACGAATGCACAGAAGAGGAGAATGCCATGTGACCGTGGAGGCAGAGACTGGAGGGCTGCAGCCTAAGCCAAGGAATGCTGGCTCAGCCAGGAGCTGGGCCAGGCAAGGCAAGGATTCTCCCCTTAGTGACTCTGGAGGGAGCGCTGCCCCATCAGCACTTTTTTTTTTGTTTTTTTTTTGAGACGGAGTTTCGCTCTTGTTGCCCAGGCTGGAGTGCAATGGCATGATTTTGGCTCACCGCAACCTCCGCCTCCTGGTTTCAAGAGATACACCTGCCTCAGCCTCCCAAGTAGCTGGGATTACAGGCATGCACCACCACGCCTGGCTAATTTTGTATTTTTAGTAGAGACGGGGTTTCACCATATTGGCCAGGCTTGTCTCAAACTCCTAACCTCATGATCCGCCCGCCTTGGCCTCCCGAAGTGCTGGGATTACAAGTGTGAGCCACTGTGTCTGGCCCCACCTGCACTTTTATTTCAGTCCAATGATAGAGACTTTAGACTTTTGGTCTCCAGGTTTGTGAGAGAATAAATTTCTATCGTTTGAAGCCACCAAATTTGTGGTAATTTGTTACAAAGTTTGTAAATTTATTACAGAAATCACAGGAAACTAGAATACCTCTATTCTATAGATGAGGAAACTGAGGCACAAAAAGACAATGTAACCTGCCTAGGTCCCCCAGTTGATGAGTAGCACAGTCAGGTTTAAACCAGATCAGCATGTCTTTGGGGTCTGGGCTCTGAATGCCTCTGCCTGCTGCTAAGAGGACCTGGGAACTCAGCAGATGTTAAGACAATACTGTTGTGTGTAGGGCAAGCAGCTTTGCTCAGAGGCAGAAGAGTCATCCAGGCTCCACCTCAGCCCCATGTTCTCTGGCAGTTTAGCCACTATCCTCAGGCACTGGTGTTTCCCCAGTCTGTACAGGCCTGGTGGGCTTCAGAGTTTCCTCTGTCAGCTGCAGGTGATTCCCTGGATGGTCCACGTCCTCTACAGATGAGAACCACAGCAGCGCGAGCTGGCACCTGGAGGAGAAGGGTTCCAGCTCCTCCTCACTGCAGCACCTGGAGGCTTCCGGTGGGTTCTGGTCTGGAATGACATCCCTGAGAATTAGATTTATAAGTGATCCGTGGAAGAAAAAGTGAGACTAGACATGAAATTTGGCTCTTCCTTAATAAAGACATAAATGCAAACCTATTGAGCCAGACAGGAGGCTGGTTGGTGCCATGGGGGAGCTGGTTTCCTGTACTGGTTGGTGCCAGGTGAGCATTGCAGGTCTTTGCCCTCTGCTAACACAGGTGTAACTTCCTTTTCTAGACAAGCAGAGAAATTGTGCCAATTCAAAGAACAGTGCCCAGGCTCCTTCATGCATTCGTACCTTTGGCTAATTCCTTATGACAGAGACCCCCAGTATCTGTTCTCCCCTTGTTGCTTCACAACACAGCCCCTGGTGTGTAGCTGGGCGTGTGGCTGCCCAGAATAAAGGCCACATTTTCTAGCCTCCCTTGCAACTAGGTGGGGCCATACAACTAATTTCTGGCTGATGGGATGCAGGTGGAACTGTGTGAGACTTTTAAGAAGCAACCTTAAAGGGAGGGGCATGCCCTTCTTCTCTCCACCCTCTTTCCTGCTGGCTAAAATCCACACATAATGGCTGGAGCCCATGCAACCATCTTAAAGCAATGAGGTGGAAGCCTCATGGTGAGGGTTGGTGGAGCAGCAGGAGAGAAGCAGCTTTGGTCCTTGAAGCATGGGCATAGACTGCCTGCCTTCAGTCTTCTTTCACATGAGACCGCTGCTATTTTGGGTTTAGCCAAAACTGATAACCTCTCTTTCCTCAATCGTAGCCACCCTTATTTGTGACCTTGCTTGACCAGAGATTCATTGTCTCCAAACCCTTCTAATTTCAGCCAGCATCATTGTCCCCACTTAGAGAAAGCAAAGAGAAGACATGTAGTGGGAAGTGTTCTGATTCTGCCTTTATGAAAGACGAAGCCGAAATACAGAAGCTGTTTTAAGATAACTTTAAAGCCAGGCCTATTATGCCTCTGTCACCCATTTGTTGTGACTGAAATGCCTCATTGTGTGGTTTCAGTTCCAAAAGAGGAAAGGGATGCATTCAGATCGCAGGCAAGGCTGCTCTGCGGCGTTAATTGTATGCCTGCGCTTGTGTGTCCACTTGTCATGTGTCTTATATTGCCAACTACATGGTGAATTAGCTTGAAGCCAGGGACCAGGTCTGGAATGAGCCACGTCTAATACATGTTTTGCATCCTGCGTGGAGCTGGGTACATGGGCTGCCTGTTATAAATGTGCTTACTGGGATGATGCATGCAAGACCTTTGCCAGGATTGCTTTAGATATGTCAACCATCTGCACATTTACATGTGGTAGACAAAATTGCAAGTCTCACTTGGTTTTCCTGCTTTGTTTTCCTTCCTCCCGGTTTACTCTAAAAAAATTTCTAATAATCTTTAGAATTTCTCCTTAAAGTAAGCTTTCGTGACTTTTTTTGTGTGTTCTGAGAATTAGATGCAAATAAGTTTTGACTTGCAAATTCTAACTCAGCAGCTGAAGGCTTCAAGCAGAGGCCCTTATGTTCCTTTGCCTTTCTCTACATAGACTCATTCAGAAACATAATTACACTCTTAAAAAACATAACCCTTCTTATTTCAAAAGCATCAGTATTGTAATTGCCTTTATTATGATTAACCTATACAACTGTCTTTGGAATTGCTTTAAAATAACAATCTACTGGCATAATTAAACACACTTTAGCAATGCATACTGTATTTATATGGTATCTTAAAGCTTTTCTTCAATGATTTTACAAGCCTTACACTTCCTGCAAAGAAATTTACTAGTTCATTAAGCTATTTCATTGTCACTTAGGTTTTTAAAAACATGTACTGCCAGAATCCTCAGCTATAGCTTTAATCTTGCTATTTATAACTGGAACAGAAATTGAGTCAGTACTTCCAAAACAAACCTTTCTGATTCAGAGGTCAGCCAATCTTAACTCAGATTCAAAATTTACAGATGTGGCAAGCCCTCCTGTGTACAGGCTGTAGGTAGCTCCAAAACTGTCCACCTGAGACATCTCATCATATTTGGGAAGAAGCTCCCAAAGAAAATGACCAGTAGCCTCAGCCCTCATCCCCAAACCGTTCTTTTCTATAAATGGAGGCAGCATCCAATCTCCAGGGCATAAGCCAAGAGTTTGACACCCAGCCAGTCAGTGATAAACCAGGTGAGCTTGTGGAGTCGGTTTGTGCAACATGCGTTCATCTTAGCTTTCCACATCAACTCACAGGAAGAACCCAAAAAGAAAGTCGTCTAGTTAAAGATGGGAGGCAGTAAAAACAAAATGGAGCTGGGGTCCCTTCTCCTACAGTTAAGGAGATGATCTACATTGGTGCCCACACTCAAAAGCATCTGGGCATATGTAGAGCATATCTAGGGTATATCAATGGCATATGTAGGGCATATATAAGGTTTATCTAAGATATATTTAGGGTGTATATAGGGTATATCTAGGGCAGATGTAGGGTATATGTAGGGCATATGGAGGGTGTATGTAGAGAATATATAGGGTATATCTAGGGCATACATAGGGCGTACATAGGGTGTATGTAGAGAATATATAGGGTATATCTAGGGCATACATATATCTAGGGCATACTAGTTCATATGTAGGACATACCTAGGACATACCTAGGGCATACCTAAGGCATATATAGGGTTTATGTAGAGCATATGTGTGGTATATCTAGGGTATACCTAGGGCATATGTAGGGTATATCTAGGGCATACATAGGGCATACTGGGTCGTATGTAAGGCATACCTAGGATATATCTAGGGCATACGTAGGGTATATGTAGGGCATACATAGGGCATACCTAGGACTTATCTAGGACATATGTGGGGTATATGTAGGGTTTATGTACAGCCTATGTATGGTATACCTAGGGCATATGTAGGGTATATGTAGGGCATATGTAGGGTATATGTAGGGTTTATGTAAAGCATATGTATGGTATACCTAGGGCATAGCTAGGGCATATGTAGGGAACATGTCGTACCCTAGATCTGAGCCTGCTGCACCAGCCCCTCTTGGTGCTGCTTCTACATTTCATTTCATTTCATTCCAGTGAGGTTTCATGGGACTTAGCATGTCCCAGAACAAGCTCTGAAAGGCTTCTTTGATATCCAGTAGAAATTTGTTTAGAAAGTAGACAATAGAGGCTCTCTGTTCTGAAAAGAATAGATATTCATCCAGAAAGAGTTTTCTCCCCTCTGCACGTTGAATTTAACTGAAACAGATAGCAAAATTCACCAAGTAGTGCAGTCGGAAAAGCCCACAACGTGAGGCAGAACCTGAGGCTGATGTTCGAGGTTGCCACCTATCGTTGGCCTCTCTTTATAGACTGTGACACCCCGCTTCATCTCTTCCTGCTGCTAGCTCACGTCGGGATTTTGTCATTGACTGCCCAGTTTACTGAAAGAACCTTCTTCCATTTCTCCGCTCCCTTCAGCCTCCATACTATTGCCACTACGATTGCTCTAGAAATGGTGTTGGCCTAGTTAGTCTCTTATGGAAACTCTTGACACCATTCCATGGCCTTCGGAATAAAATTGAACTCCTTCTCTTAAGCCCTCATGTCCTCCCTGCTCTGAGACCTGCCTACCTCTCCAAACCTCCTCTGGCAGCTGCCTACACATTTCCTTGCCTCAGTCATCCAGAATGAGCCCCAAACACATCATGATTTTTATCCCTTTGCCAAGATCTCTTTCTGCCAAGTGCATCCTCCCTACCTTCCTCTCCTTTCACTTGTTAATTTCTTGGCCTCTAACTCTGTTGCTAAGAGTCAGTAACCTGGGAGGCCTTCCCTGACTCTTCCGCCTCTCTCTGTGCCTGGGAGTGCCTCTGTGCTGACTTTATCTCACTGTGTGGTTGACACCAACTGCAGTGCATCATAAGCACCTAGAGAATATAGACTGTAAGATCCCTGTGGGCAGGGCTGTGCATTATTCATCAGTGCTTGACATGGTGTTTGGCACAAATTATATGCTTAATAAGTATTATTGATTAAATGGATCTACAGCCAGGAAGAAATGGAGTGAAGGCATCATACCCATGATGCCAAATGCAGTTCCAGACACCATGAAGCCATCTTCTCTCTCCATCACTCTCCCATTTTACCCTGTTTCTCCCTTTTTCTCCCCAACTCACCATAGGCACCAGCGTCATCAGCAGGCCCGAGAACATGCTGGGGTTGGGCAATGGCATAGGAAGGGGAATGTTCTAGAAAGTTGTGTTTGTCTCTTTACTTCCATCTACATTTCTATTAACCCCATTCATATTGGATATTGTGTGAGAACCACTTTAAAAGGCAAAGAAGAGCAGAGACCGGGGTTGGGAGAGGAGAGGAGAGGAGAGGAGAGGAGAGGAGAGGAGAGGAGAAAAAACAACAACAACAAAAAACATCACACTTTTTTTGGTAATACCATTAGAAATACAGTATTATAAATGAGCAACCTCTTCAAATTGAGAGAAGCAGAGTTGAATATAAATCACCCAAATATTTTTGGGTGCATATGCATAAGCCGTTGGCTGTGCATGTTCCTCTATGTTCTAAGATCCAGTTCCACCCTGCTCTGTGCCCTGGGAGGAAGGCATCCATAAGCTGCATCAGTTGGGCTCCTTACTCCCTAGCTCTGACTTAGATCATGACCATAGGACACACACCATTAGTAAATTAAAGAGAAGGGGGAGAAAGTCGAGGTATTTGTTTCTTTTTCTCTCTCCTTGTCTCCTTAGCTCCTGGCAAGGCTCACCTGTCCTATTTTCAACAGAACTGCCAGTCCAGTCTCAAACAGGATAAAGGTGTCCACACTTACTTAAAGAATACAGCATCTACAGGAGTACCTGGTCTTTCTAATGTCATTGTTACAAAAACAGAGGCAGCCAGGGAGATTTCTACTGCAAGGGTTCCCAGCTGGTCTTCTGAGCTATTGTGGATAGTGTAAAATGAGACTTTCTCTTTTTCCAGCTCCTCTCTCCTGAGACAGGGGCCACTTCTGACCTCTGCTCACGCCCCTTCCCCTTCCTTCATCTAACAAACATTTTTAGAATACCCAACACATTCAATCTATGACAATGAATTTGAGCCATGTTGGCACCAAAATGTCATTTGCACTCTTCCTTCACTCAGTAACCAAAGTCTAATGTTCCATTCAAAAGCAAAATATCTTTCACGCTTTCTTCAGTGGTCTTTGGAGTCCTCACTCCTACTTTCAGATCTAAATGGGGAATGTAAGGAGTGTCACCCATTGTAGGGGGCATTACAAATACAGTTAAATAGCTCCAGAGTGAAGACAGAGTCATCTAGAGATGTGTCCCTTACCAGGGTCAGGCACAGGACTAAGCACTTCCACATCACCACCTAATTTAATCTGTTTAAAAACCCTTGAGGTAAGGAGCATGATTTCCCTCATTTCATAGATAAGGAAAGTGATTACTGAGAAGTTATGAAACTCCTCCAAGGTTACACTAGTTCCTGACTGCCAAGCCAGGATTCAGACACTAAGACGCCAGAATGCTTGCTCTTAACCACCGTACTCTACCACTCTGAGAGCTCAGACAAGCCTGCCATCATCTCTAAGCCTGAATTTCCTCCAGTGAAAATGACAGCACAAGATTGAATCACTTAGAAAGTCCCTCTTGCTCCAAACCCGGGCAGTTCTCCTCAGGAGGCTGCTTTACCTCCATCTACCACCAGGTGGCGGGCAGCCAGCCGTGCAAACGGGTTGCTTGGGCTGCAGGGCGAAGACCTATTATCCCCCTCAACCCTGTCTGACTGTGGCGTGGGAATGGAGTGGAAACTTGTTCCCAGTAGTAATTGGTGTCGAGCCACAAAACTTCTAAGGTGGCAGAGTCAAGAGTTTAACCAGTTGGTCGAATGCCTATGGGCATGTATTTCCATCAGCTGCAGCTGCTACTGCTTAGTTGACAAGTAACACAGGAGACCCTGGGATCTCACACCACCAGTTCCTGGCGGCTCTGTTCCTGCAAATGGTGTGTTGGAACCAACATTCAAAGTAACTACAGGTAAAGAAGTAGGTGCATGGCATCCCAAGGTGGATGTTGTTGATCAGCAAAGGACTGAACTGCTGCCAATAGCAACACGAACCCACTCCCTGAAGCCCCAGTGAGGCCTCTAACTGGTAGCGCCCAGTTGGATGTGTGAAAATAAGAATGAACTGAACTTGGCCTGGGAAGATGAAGACACGGTTTGTGACAGATGCACAGCCCGGGGCTGGCTTCCCATCGATCCAGCTTTTGAGCCCACAGATGGCATCTTCAGGGAGACGTCACGGAACCATGGATGGTGTTGCCACATGCATGCTCTGACAACCTCAACCAAATGAGAAGGAGCAGGGGCTGTCCTCAGTGTGTTGACTCTTCCCTGCTGGTGGGGTCAGGGACATCCTGGCCACCCCAGCAGAGGCCTGCCTCGTTCTCACACTCTGAGATTAAACCCTGAGGGTGGAAATGAGACAGTGATGCCTCAGGACTTGGGAAATGAAGGGTAAAAGTGGCGATGGGTTCTTCTAGTCCTCTGCCTAAGGGTGAGTGTGTGAGTGTGTGTGTGCATGCAGACTAAATAATAAAACTGGGTGACTGCCCCACATCAAACGTTGCCATGGAGAGAAAGTGAAATGCAGGGAGGTGAGCAGGACTATTTCACCGGGGTACAAGGATTCCAAATTCCAAAGGCATTGTTCTTACCTCTCCCCATACTGCACTGCAAACTCACAGCCGCTCTCCAGATTTTGGAAACGTCTGTGGGGAGATCGAGTCATTTCATTAAACTCATGAAGTGAGAAGTTTTACCTGTCGTAATTCTGGCTAAGTTCAGTCTTTTGGAAAAGCAGTAAAAGATGTTTGCTAAGGAAAATAAAATTATAAAGGTCACTATGTTCATTTAAAACTGAGTTTTCCAAATTAAATTCCTGTTTTCTTAGTGAAAGAGAAAAAAAACCCAATATTGGTCTCCGAAAGAGAATTAAAAAAAAGTTAAACTGAAGTGATTTATTTAGAAACCCAGTGTAAAGAATGAAGCATTTATCTCCCCCTAAAGCAAGGTCACCCAAACCCTCTGAGAGCTAGAAGTCAGCTATGAATCCAGCATCAGCATGCTTGTTGGGAGCAATTAGCACTGAGTCAGGTCCGCATGCATGTTGGGAGCTGATACGACCTTAATTGTTGCATCCCACTGTGTGAAGAAATAAGCACTTATATTAGCTCTAGGTCAATGACTGTGGCTCCCCCACATTTATGAGCTTGGAGTCTTGTCAGGCTGAACAAATAAAATAATACTTGTGGCTCCTTTGGTCCCAGCATCTTCCCAGGGATTGACTGTTCTTCCCGTGAAATGTCAGCTTTCATCAGCAAAGAGAACAAAGCAAGCCAGAATATTAGCTTGAGGAGGACTAAGGCACCATCTGGTGGCCGTTTACTATAAATCTTTGCCTCAGATGCAAATTCCTCGCACAAAGGAGCCCTGCCTTCTGATCTGTAGGCTGCCCGGAAGCAGTCGGCCTGACCTGGGAAAGCTGGAGAATACCCACACTTCCACAGCACAGCAGGCTTCTTTTAAAGGTTTGTCCCAGTGTAAAGTCCTCAGCCCCAAGTTTTATAACAACATCCTCACCACGAAGCCCAGAGAGGGAGCACCCCCTGAGGTCTTCACAGCTTGAGAAAAAGAAAGAGCCATTTGGGCTGTAACATTTTAGAAGGTTCTTGAAAGGAAAAGATGCCCAAGAAATCCTACTTTTTTTCCTCATGAATATTCTGCAGTACATAGAAAAAATATGAAGATCCTGCCTGTCCGGTTACTCTTCTCATTTAAAACCTTCTTAATTGACTAAAGAGCATTTTTACAAGACAAGTGCATTACAGACTTACCCTTCCCCAAGTGCAACCTCTCCCCTTGGGCTCCCTGACCACAGACTGGCCTTTGTCCTCCCTGACAGATGGCAATGACTAAAGTGACCCCAACTTGACATTTTTCAATAAGCAACCACAGAGCAAGGCCATCACTAAGCAAAATTCCCAAGTGAGTGAAGTTCTTCCCTGAAGTCCCTTCTCCCCACTCCAGCCGCCCGTATCCATCCCCTTCACCCCCTTCTCTCCCCAGCCCCGCTATTGACCCATCCTGACCGAGGTGTGGGGGTGTGTCTCAATTCTGGAAAGTCTTGCTTGCTAGGATGAAATGCTCTCTCAGAGGATTTCCACATTACCAGGGAGGGGCTCTGTAAAACCTGTATGAGCCAAAGGATAGAGTTTCCAATCATGTCATCTGGGGAGGGGGTGACAAGTTGTGACACATGACTCTGGGGAGTAGACCCTGCTTGAAGCCCCTGAATGTGGAGAGCCACAGCTTTGCCTGCTGGTAAGGCTGGCCCTACAGAGAGGAGCCCTAAGACCCTGAGCTTCACACCCAATGAATGAACGCGCTTCTTCCTGGTGCCGGCCCCGTGCCCATGGCTCTCGTCTGCATGAGCGAAGAAACTTTACCACTTCTGTCTCCTGCTGTGGTTGGTAGAGCTGTGTTTAGACTTGCCTGGTCTGAAATAAATAGTCGGGCACTTCTCAGAAACGGGCAGTTCACACTAATTAACAGGAAGAAGATGAAACAGGAACCCAGCTCAGAAGAGCTGTTCACCTCACAGATCGAGTAACCTGGTGCAGGAGGGGGCCGGGGTGTGGAGGAAGGAATGGGTGCCACTGAGAGGAAAAGTTTTCTCAGCACGAATTGGCTTGGGTTTCCTTGTTTGGGGCTAGAAAGGGGAGAAAGGAGGACAACTGCTTATCACTCACTTGCCTGGACACTATATTTAACGCTAGAGGGCTCACCAATGAACCCCCATTTGCAAAGGTCAAAGGATGGCACCACTCATCAGTTTGCTGTTTCAAGAGGCCGAATGCAGCTGGACTCCAGTTAATAAGGAGAAAGAGCAGAGTTACACACAGGGTACTGCAGGACTGTTTTGTTTGTTTGTTTGTTTGTTTTTAGCTGGAGTAATCTCTAAGTGCCCAAGGAGAGGCATCCTGGAGGCCACTTGTTGTGCTGCAGCCTTCTGGAATGCAGAGGCCACTGCCACAGACTGGCTCAGAGAGAGGACAAGGGGAAGACCCCACAGTGTGGAGCACTCCATTACCTGGGGCCGGTCCAGGACTCCCCCCCGCTCTGACCTCATGACTTCTCAGATGTCAAGTACTCCCCATAAGCCAGGGAAGTGAGAGTTCATCAATTGTACTCAGCCACTGGAAAGGTTTGACAGAAAAATTACGAGGTATTAGCACCGAGGCACCACCTTGGGAACAGAAACACAACTGGAGGAGAGGTCAGGAGAACCAGAGTGTGGTGGGTTGACTTGTGCACCGCCCCCGCCAAATATATATTGGCTTTCTGGGAGCTCAGCCCTCAAAATGGGACTATTTGGACATAGAGTCTTTACAGAGGTAATCAAGTTAAAAAGAGGTCATGAGGGGGCCCCTAGTCCAACTTGACTGATGCCCTTGTAAAAGGGGAAATTTACAGGAAGAATGCCATGTGAGCATGAAGTTGTCCATCCGTAAGCCAAGGAGAGAGGCCTGGAACAGAGCCTTGCCTCATAACTCTCAGGAGGAAGAACCCTTGGACTGGTATCCTCCAGAACTGAGAGGCAAGACATCGCTGCTGTTTAAGCCAGCAGGATGTGGTATTTCATGATGGCAGCCCTCACAATAGCATACGCAGGGTCTGTGTCTTTGCATAGGTCCCTCCACTGCTCTGGATAATTAGAAGTTCAACCAGACACATTCAGAATCCCTTGCAGCCCAACACTCTGACTTTCTAGCCGCCGGGCCTGGAATAACAACGGGGAGCATCTGGCCCCCTCAGAACCTAAAGAGTTGACAGACTGAGCCCTGCTTTTGTGCAACACATCCCAAATCACCACATTCCAAAGGCAGCTGAGCCTAGAGATGGGCTGGGAATTACTGCCTGGTTCTGAAGCGTTGTTTAAAATAGTATAGAGCTAAATTTGAAACTCATTTAAAATAAGTCAGTAAATCAGTTAAAGAGTTATCTTTCTTTACAAGCCTTGGTCCTCCTCCAGCCATGCTGGCCTTCAGGTTCAGGGTGCATTGTTCGTATGTGCTATTATTGGATGGTAGTAATAAAGAAGCCCATGCATCTGAATGCATCTTGCTAATCACATTCTCTATTACCGCCTCTTTCCACAGCTGCTACCATCAATTGTGTTTGGTTTTGCCTGGGAATAGGCATGTGTTTGGTGAACTCTGAGTGTGTTTGGGTTGCAGGTATAGTGCTTGTTGGATGAGGAGGTGCAGGAGGGGAGTGGTGAGGGTGGACACCAAGGTTGGCACATGACAGCAAGCTGGGGATGTTTTGGAGGGTCTATGGATTCCTGCAGATGCCTTCTCCTATGAATACTTTTCATAGTATCTTGCAAAGGAAAGAATCTTTTCCTTTGCAAGATGTCTATGAAACTGGCAGCAGCTATGGAAGCCAGACCTGAAATTTAACAGATCAATTAAATACCTTGTTTTGACATTTTGGTACCAAGGTTGGCAAGACCACTCCAGGAATGGGTCTAATTGGGAAGAGTCCTGAGCTCTCCTTATCCAGACACTTCCTGGTGTGTAACTGCTCACACCGGTGCCAGAACTCAGAAAAGGGATCCTGGGCACAGAAAAAGCCATACCTGAGGCTGACCTAAGGTAGCTTCACACTCCTGGCTGCTGCTGCTGCTACTGGTGCTGGGGTAAGCCTCTAATGTGGCAGGAAAAGGGAGGGAGGGGGAGAGGGAAAGGGGGAGACGGGAGGCAGGCTCCTTTGAGGTGGTTCCATCTGTGCTGAGTGACTAAAATGAGGGTGATGTAATAAATAATCTGCAGACTTCCAACTGCTATAATTCTGTGTGAATAATTCTGATAATGACCCTTTACTCAGCAAGGGTGGCATCCAGATAAGCAGATTGCTAGAGCCTTCCTGTCAGCTTATGTTAACAGCGCATTCAATTGCCATCTGACATGATGTAACACACCACCGTGACGGACATGTCCCTGTTGGGCCTGCTGGGCCACCGGAGAAATGATGAAACGAGAACCTGTCTACATGGAGGGAGAGCCACCCCACAAAGTGCTCAGGGCTTATTCACTTCCTCTGTGCTCCCAGGGCAATTCCTTCCTCTCCTTCCTTTGGGTGAGCACCTGGTGCCCACCCACACTTCCCAGGCCAAGGGAAGGTCAGATGGACAGAGGCTTCAGTCTTAAGCAGGGGGAGTTCAAGGTTTGTTTCCGGTAAGCGGTCTGTGTGAAGGGGACAGAAGTTGTCATGACAAAATGGCTGGGCTGTGGTTTATTTGTGCATCTCAAAGTCAAAATTCTGACACCATCAAGTGCTCTTATGATCCACATGCAATGAAGTTTTGTGTTAGCTTTTCCAATACCTCTTTCCCCATTTTGGTAAGAGCACTTCTACATCCTCTTGGGGAACCACCCGTTCCTCCATTCCCAGCCCAGCCCAGATGAGCCCTAACAGGGAGCTTGTAGCCCAGCCTGGCCAGTGAGAATATTGCCCTTCCCAGGCATGGCCGATCGGGGACACTCTTGGGATTTTGGTCACAGTCGTTGGGAAAGGGATGCTTTATTTCTGCTAGAGTTGCTAAACTAGTAGGATTAATCTAGAAGGGCCAGGGGCACCTCTGCCAAATTGGGAAAAGAGGCTGACCAAGAATAAAGCCACACAGAATAAAGCCAAACAGAGCTGAGAGGTGGGTAGGGGGGCGGGAGGTTGGGGTGAGATTTCTGGCATCCATTCAAACGTCTAGACCCAACTTTGTTTAAAATCGATACTATATTTTTCAGTCATACAAGTCAGTAAATTATATGTCTCTCTCTTTTCCATTTTGGGTTAGGTTTCCATCATTTGCAACAGACAAAGTCAGGACCAATACACAAAGCCCATCGGCTCCAAAGGCTCAGCATACAGAATCCACCAAGGCCTCTCACATAACCTGCTCTGCCCTTTGGGGCAGCAGGAGATGGGCTGCCTCTCCCAGAGGGGCCAATGGATCTGAATCTGTGCTGGCAATATCCCCTCAATGCCCCTCCTTATTTAACTTTTGTCCTTTTCCTCTACTCCCTGATCCAGTTTTCTATTTTTTTTTTAACCTTCTTTCCTTTCCTTCTTTCTCTTTCCTAATTTTACTGGGTTTTTAAAAGATGCTAAACATCTTATAGAAAGTAAGAAAATGTTCAAAAAAATGATGTCACACAAGGACACAGGAGCAGCTGGAAGGGGCTCCTCCTAGGCAATTCTGGAGCCTTTTGAGCACGAAATAATGAGGTAAGGGCAGTAATAAATTATATTAATAGATTATTAAAAATGGGAATCTATGGGTCTACACCAGTAATAAATACATTAAAAAAATGAACAAACCAACCAACAAATATAGATGCTCTTTGAGCTACAATGGGATTATATCATAATAAACCCGTTGTAAGTTGAAAATATCATGTTGAAAATCCATTTAATGCACCTAACCTGCTGAACATCATAGCTTAGCCTAACTTACTTAAACATGCTCAGAGCACTTACATTAGCCTACAGCTGGGCAAAATCATTTAATACAGATCCCATTTTATAAGAAAGTGTTGAATATCTCATGTAATTTGAAAAGTGAAAAACAGAATGGTTGTAGGGGTGCTCAAAATATGGTTTCTGCTGAATGTGTATCACTTTCATACCATCGTAAAGTTGATAAATCAGTTGATAAATATGTTGGGGATCATCCATAAATAAATAGAGGAAAAGAAAGGGCTTTACTTGCAGCAGGATATCAAGTGCCAGCCAGTAAATGTGGAGGAAATCATTGTTGAAAACGTTTGAAATTTTTTCATGTTGAAAAATCATCATTGTAAAGTCATCATGGTAAAGATTTTGATAGCAATTACATTTAATCTGTAGATCACTTTGGGTAGCATGGACATTTTAACAATATTAATTCTTTTAATCCATGAACATGGGATGTCTTTTCATTTATTTGTGTTTTCTTTAATCTCCTTTAGCAATATTCCATAGTTTTCAGTGCAGAAGTCTTTCCTATGTGTATTATTCATACATGTGTTATTCTTTTTGATGCTATTGTAAGTGGGATTGCTTTCTTCATTCCCTTTTGAATGGTTGGTAGAATATAGAAATGAAACTGATTTTTGTGTGTTGATTTTGTCTCCAACAACTTTATGGAATTCATTTATTAGTTATAACTGTGTGTGTGTGTGTGTGTGTGTGTGTGTGTGATCTTTAGCGTTTTCCACATATGAATGTTTTATTTTTTAAAAAAAGAATGCTATTCTTTGCAAATGTTGAAATTATTAAAAAATAAGAAAAATTATGGAACTATTTCAGAATAAAGAAGACTAAAGGAGCACAGGATCTAAATGGAATACCTGATCCTAGACTGCATCCCATATTGGAGCAGGTAAAAATGGTAAGGGACGTTATTAGAACAATTAACAAAATTGCAGAACAAATTGATAGATTAGGTAAAAGAATAGTATCACTATTTAGTTCCCTGAAGTTAATAACTCCACTGTAGTTCTGCAAGGGAATAGCATTATTCTTAGTAAACATACACAGAAATATTTAGGGGCAGAGAGCTTTGGAATATGTCACCCTCAAATGGTTAAAAAAATAGCTAGATAGAGCAAGAGAATGGTAGAGGGAGAGAGACAGGGAGGAGGAGAGAGATAATGAGCACAAATAATAAAATGGGACAAAAAGGTGACTCTGATAAAAGTATATATGCTGTTTATACACCATATAAATAAATAAACATATAAAGTATGTATGCTACTTACTATTCCTATTCTTATAACTCCTCCGTACACTTCAAACTATTGTTGTTGGTTTTATGATGCTGGTGCTAGCGCAGGGCTGTTTTCCCTTTCTTGCCTGGGGATAGCAGCTCCCACCAGCTGTGCACTTTGCTGGACAACTCCTTCTGCCCCACCAGGCCCTGCTGTAACTACAAGAGCAGCACGTGAGACTTCTTTCCACATGGATTGGTAGTTCTGTCAAGTGGAATTTAATCCTTCCAAATCAGAAGGATTATTTTGGATAAGCCATTAAAATTGTTAATTAAAATGTTAGTGTCTGATTGCCATTATTCTCTGCTTATAAGAATTCTCTCAGATCCTGGTGTGTGGCACCTCTCTTTCCGCACTCCCATCTAACCCAAGTGAAACCCAGGGCCTTGCTATCACCTTCATTCCTGCCTGTGCCTGAGGAACCCTCCAAAGGTGCGCATGAGGCCTAAAATGAAAAGGGCATTTAAAGACACACTCGAAGGTGAAAGAAGACAGAATATTTGGACTGAATATTTCTGGAGCCTCTAGCATATGCAAGGTAACTTTGGTGAAGAAGAATTAGACATGGTCATTGTCCTCAAGCAGCTTACCATCTAAAGTGAGAAAGCACAAAAGTTTAGACAGTCCTAGAAGGTGTATTTGCATAGTTCTCCAGGTGAGAAACATCATCAAGTAATAGAAATTGATTGCCTGTTAGTGAAACAGACTATAAGGACTCCAAATGTCCAGAAAAGGAAAGGATCCCTGTAGGCTGAGTGGTCTGAGGAGACTTTACTGAACCAAGAGGTAAGGCTGGATGGGATTTGAGCAGGATTTGTGACAGAAGACGGGAGTTTCCAAGAGGGAAGAACCCATGAATCAGAATATGGAGATGAGAATGCTCAGGCCTCTTTGAATACTATACTGAAAGGACCGGCTCATCAAGAGTTTGAGGGTTTGGAAAGGAGAATTAGGGGTAAATTTCTTTGAGTAAGTTGGTCACAGTGGCCTAGAGCCCTGAATTCCAGCAGCTTGGCCTGTGTGGGTGATGGAGGATCTGAGAAAGTTTTAGAGCTGAGGTAGGAAGAGCCCTTCAGGCTATTGACTATTAGAGCCCATTATTGAACACCCATTGTGTTCACTCTAATCCTTACAGAACCCTGCAAGGCAGATACAATCACTTTCACCATGGCTTGAAGAACTGCAGTTCCCAGGGAAGGCAAGGGGGTGGGGGGCATCAAATGGAGGCTTATCAGATGCAAGATGAGGCTCTCTCCAACACACCATTTTCCCTCCCTGTTGCTATAGTGGGGCATGAAGCCAGGACGCCTGCACGAGATGTGGAAAGATTAAGAAAGATGTGAGGAAAACATGAAGGAAAAACTGACAAGACCGGGTGAGCAATTACATTTGGGAGGAGACTAAAAAAGAAGAGTTAAATAAAGCTTCATTTTATTCTTTAAGCAAGAACTTACTGTTACTACCATTGTCAGCTCTTTGAAGAGAGAACAAACGACTGTAACATTGTCCCGCTACTCAGAACATTACAGTCAAGTATGAGATGTTATAAATATACATTAATATGTATAATATAGGAAAGAATTAGATAAATGCAATAAAGGCAACATATACCGTCCTGTAGAAGATTAGAAGGAGAAAAATCTAAGTGGTAAAATCAAGCATTAACTGAAAAGAAAATATTTGATCTGGACTTTAAGAAATGGATACAGCTTTGACTGGCAGGGAGAGGAAGTGAGAAGAGGATTGTCTAGCTCAGAGTTTCCCCACCTTGGCACTATTGATATTTTGGGTGGATAATTCTTTGCTGGGGGCGGGGGCTGTCCTGTGCATTGTAGAATGTTTAGCAGCATCTCTGGCCCCTACTTGCTAGATACAGCTCCCAGCTGTGACAACCAAAAATGTCTCCAGACATTGCTGAATTTCCCTTGGAGGGCAACCTTGGTTAAGAACCACTGTTCTAATCTAAGAGGATGATGTGAGAAAGAGAGTATGTTTGGGGAATAAAGAGGCATCTGTATCAGCCTGTTTGAAAATGTATTTCTTGGAACATTAGTGTCTTGTGAGATAAGTGATAGTCCCTTAAACAGGATTCATGGTCAAATAGCATTGAGAAATACCACATACTTTTCCCCTCAATTGGAGGCTCACAATGTACATTAGAATAGTAAAGGCTTTGAGAGATTGTGCAAGAAAGCTGTCTGACTTTGGTTAAATTTAATTACCACAGAACATTTTTATTCAAGAAATAGTATTAGCCTCCTGAAGGGCTCTATTGTATGGCAGAACACAACTTGGAAAATGATTTGTATTCAACCAAAATATAGGGTGTATGAAAGGTTTAAAGCTGAAGAAGTACAGATAGAGTCTAGAACCAGATTCAAAGGGCTTGGAACTAAGCTAAGAAGTCTGAATTTTATGTAGTCAACAAGAGGGAGGTAACCAGCAGGTAACATGATTAAAACTATGCTTTATTCATTCAACAGATATTAAACAACATTAGTCTGGTGGCAGCAAGCCAAATAGATTAGAAGATAGAGAAACAGGAACTAAAGCACCTTGTTACTGTAAAAGCAATAACTTAAGAGTGATAATGACGAAAAGAAGGGGAACATGTAAACATGTAACAAATATCTAGAGATTAACAGAATATAATGTCTGATTTGTTGGATGGTGGAACAAGAAAAGGAGTCAATGATGACTATGACTTTTTAGGCCCAAGTTACTAGGAGCTTCTTGATATCTTTAACAGAGAAAGAATAGTAAGGAAAAGTAGCAGATTTGGGGAGAAAGTAACTCACTTTTGGACATTTTGAGTTTGAGATGTTGGCAGGACATCCAGGAATAGGTATCCAGGGGGTAGCTGGAATTATGAGTGAAGAGTGAAAATTCAATTGCAAATAAATTTTGTGGTGTTACCTTCCTTAAGGTAATAATATAAGTTGTGAATTGAATGTGGTAACTAATGGGAGAAGAGTAGGGAAAGAAGAAAAGGAGAAGGCTCAGAACAGGGACTTGGAGAATATCTACATTGAAAGAGAGAACTATCATATAATAATCTTAATATGCTATGGTTTGGCTGTATCCCCACCCAAATCTCATCTTGAACTGTAGCTCCCATAATTCCCATGTGTTGTGGGAGGGACCCAGTGGGAGATAACTGAATCATAAAGGTGGTTTCCCTAATACTGTTCTCATGGTAGTGAATAAGTCTCACAAAATCTGATAATTTTATCTTGGCTCTCATTCCCTCTTGCCTGCCACCATGGTAGAAGTCCCTTTGCTCTTCCTTCATCTTCTACCATGATTTTGAGGCCTTCCCAGCCATGTGGAACTGTGAGTCAATTAAACCTCTTTCCTTTATAAATTACCCAGTCTCAGTATGTCTTTATTAGCAGTGTGAGAACAGACTAATACATAATAGATGCAGAAAAAGCATTTGATTAAATTCAATATACATTGATGACAAAATAGAAGAGAACTTGCTTAATCTGATAAAAGATATCTACAAGAAAATCTATAGCAAACATCATATTTAATCATCCAATATTAAAATCCTTTCCCTGAGATTGGTAATGACACAGAGATGCCCCCATTACCACTTTTATTCAGCATCATTTCAGAGGCCTTAGCCAGTGCAAGAAGGCAAGAAAAAAAATGTAAAAGGATTGGGAAAGAAGAAATAAAACCACCATTTTTATTTTCAGAAGTCCAATAAAATCTACAGATGAGCTATTAGAATTAATAAATTCAATAAATTTGCTGGCTATAAAGTCAATACATAAAAATCAATTATATTTCAAAATATCCACAACAAATAATTAGAAAGCTAATTTTAAAACTTGATGCCATTTACAATAGCATTAATAGAATCAAACATTTAGGAATAAATTCAACAAATAAGTAAAAGATCTCTATACATAAACTATAAACATTTTCTGACATTAAAGAAAATCTAAATAAATCTAAGAAAATCTAAATAAATCTAAATAATACTTGTGGATTGGAACACATAGTGTAAAAATGTCAATTTCCCTTCAAATTCATCCATAGATTCAATGTAAACCTCAAAGATATCTTGGCAGGCTTATTTTGTTTTGTTTGCATGTGGAATACAAAGGACCAAGAGTGTTTAGGACAATCTTGAAGAACATCACTGAAACACTTACACTAGATAACACAAGTAATAAGAATGCTGGATAATTCAGTCACTGTGGTATTGGCAGAAAGAGAGACAAGTAGATCAATGGAACAGAATAGAGTACAAAAACTAGACCAACACTTGATTTATAACAAAGATGGTATTGTACAGAAGGGAAAGGACAGTCTGCTTAATGAGTGGTTCTGGGCCAATAGATATGAGAATGGAAAAAACCTCATCTTAATCTATCTCACATCATTAAAAAAAAATCCAGCTGGATAGTAGATCTAAAATGTGAAAAGTGAAACAATTACAATTTAAAAGATAACACAGGAGATATCTTTATGATAGTAAGGTATGCAAAGATTTCTTACCAGGACATGAAAATCACCAACCAGAAGAGAAAACGTTTATAAATTAGACTATTTAAAATAAAGAATTTCTGTTCATCAATAGATACCATTTTAAGATAGTGAAAAGGGAAGCAAGCCACAAACTGAAAGAAGAGATATGCAATATATATTTCTAACAAAGGACTCATTCAGAGTGAATAAAGAAGTCCTTTAAGTTACTGAGAGAAAAAAAAAAAAACAGGAAAGGAAAGTATTTAAAAAATGGGCAAGAGACTTAGCATGTACATCACAAGAGATTATCCAGATGGCCAATATGCATCTGAAAAGGTAGTCAGTCTAATTATTCATCAAGAAAATGCAAATGTCAACCACAATTAAATACCATTTTTTAACTTGCCAGAATGGCCAATAGTAAACAATTAAGTATTGGTGAGGATGTGGAACAACTAGAAGTCTCATACTCTGTTGGTGGGTATGCAAACTGGTACAACTTTGGAAAACTGTTTGGCAGCATCTGCTAAAGCTGAACATATGCATACCTGTGACTCAGACATTCTACTCCTAGGTATATAGTCAACAGAAATGCATGCATGTGTACATAAAAAGACATGTTAAAAACTTTATAGGAGTACTATTCATAATAAAAACAAGAAACAACACAAATGTCCTTCAATATTTATAATTTGTTATATAAGTAAATGATAATAAATTTGCTTAATGAAATATTATAAAGCATTGAAAATTAATTAAATATTGCTCTATCCAATAACATGGATGATTCTCACAAAATAATATTAAGCAAAATAGGCTAGAAACAAAATAATATGTATTGAGTGATTCAATTTATACAAAGTTCAAAAACAAAGTGAACCACCTCACACTCATTAGGTGGCTGGTTGCTATTAACAAAAGCAAAAATAAAACAACAACAACAATTCAGAAAATAACCAGTGTTGGCAAAGATGTGGAGAGTTTGAAACTCTTGTGCACCATTAGTGGGAATAAAAAATGGTGCAGCTGCTTTGGAAAACAGTATGGCTGATACGGTTTGACTGTGTCCCCACCCAAATCTCATTTTGAATTCCCACATGCTGTGGGAGGGACCCGGTGGGATGTAATTGAATCATGGGGGCAGGTCTTTCCCAGGCTGTTCTTGTGATAGTGAACAAGTCTCACGAGATCTGATGGTTTTAAAAACGGAAATTTCCCTGCACAAGCTCTCTTCTCTTGTCTGCTGCCATGTGAGACGTGCCTTTCCCCTTCTGCCATGATTCTGAGGCCTTCCCAGCCACTTGGAACTGTAAGTCCATTAAACCTCTTTCTTTTGTAAATTGTGCAGTCTCGGGTATGTCTTTATTGGCAATGTGAAAACGGACTAATACAATGGCGGTTCCTGAAAAAGTTAAAAATAGGATTACTATTGATCCAGCAACTCTACCTCTGGATACCTATCCAAAAGAATTGAAAGCAGGGTCTTGAAGAGATGTTTGTACACCCATGTTTATAGCAGCATTATTCACAATAGTGAAAAGGTTGAAGCAACTCAAGTGCCCATGGACAAATAAAATGTAGAATATACATACAGTAGAATATTATTCAGCCTTAAAAAGAAATACAGTTCTTACACATGCTACAACATGGATGAACCTTGAAGAAATTATGCTAAGTGAAATGAACCAGTCACAAAAAAAAATAAAACTTCTGTATGATTTCACTTATATGAGGTACCTAAAATAGCCAAATTCATAGAGACAGAAAGTAGCATGGTGGTTGCTAGGGGCTATGGGAAGGGACAATGGGGAGTAGTGTTTATTAGATATGGAGTTTTAGTTTTGCAAGATGAGAAGAGTTCTGGAGATTGGTTGCACAGCAATGTGAATGATCTCAACATTACTGGGTTGTAAGTTAAAAAGGGTCAAGATGCTAAATTTTATGTTGTGCATTTTTTACCACAATTAAAAAAAAATTTAAATATATATAGACAAAGGCAAAATGGATGTGATGATTGACATCAGTATAGTGGTTACCTCTGGGGAGGCCCTAGTGACTGGTAGGGACACATGAGGGGTTTTGGAGGTTCTGGAAAGGTTCTATTTCCTGACCTGGGTAGTGGGAACATGAGTGTTTTCTCTTTTGAATATTGATCAAGCCACGAACTTTGACTTGTGTGCTTTTCTATATGCTTCTACTAAATCAACAACAAAAACTACTTTAAAAATAAGTCAAAATAGAACTCATAAAAATAGCCAAGGTTTTTTTTTTGGGGGGGGGGAATGAATTTTATCTGATATCAAAATATATTATACAACTATTAAAAAAGTATGGTTGCTGGCACAGACATAGACAATTAAATCAATGGACAAAAACAGAGTCTAAAAATCAACCAGCCAGGGCAACAAAGTGAGACCCCGTCTCTATAAAAAATAAAAAACTTAGCCAGGTGTGGTGACACACGCTAAGGAGCTACTCAGAAGGCTGGGGCAGGAGGCTCGCATTAGGCCAGGAGTTTGAGGCTGCAGCAAGCTATGATGGCACCACTGCACTCCAGCCTGGGAGACAGAGCCAGACCCTGACTCTAAAAATAAAACAAAACAAAAAACAGAACCATGTAATAAATGAGAATTTAATATGTGGTCAACGAGGCATTTTAAATCAAAGGGGAAAAGATAAATTATCCGTAAATAATACTGAAGCAATTGGTCAATTATTTGGGTGTCAAAGAGCCTAAAATATGCCTTATACACAAAAGGAAATGCTGTTAGAGCTAAGATTTGCAATTTAAAATGCACTGTAACTATTCCATTGTTAAAAGAAAAATGTAAGACAAATGTATTAGGTCATTCTCACATTGCTATAAAGAAATATCTGAGACTGGGCTGGGCGCACAGTGGCTCATGCCTATAATCCCAGCACTTTGAGAGGCCAAGGGTAGTGGATCACCTGAGGTCAGGAGTTTGAGACCAGCCTGACCAACATGATGAAACCTCATCTCTACTAAAAATACAAAATTAGCTGGGTGTGGTGGTGGGTGCCTGTAATCCCAGCTACTTGGGAGGCTGAGGCAGGAGAATCGCTTGATCCTGGGAGGCGGAGGCTGCAATGAGCCGAGATTGCGCCACTGCACTCCAGCCTGGGTGACAGAGTGAGACTCTGTCTCAAAAAAAAAAAAAAGAAAGAAAGAAAGAAAGACCTGAGACTGATTAATTTATAAGAAAAGAGGCTTAATTGGCTCATGGTTCTGCAGGCTGTACAGGAAGCTTAGAGACATCTGTTTCCAGACAGGTCTCAGGAAGCTTCCAATCATGGCAGCAGGCAAAGGGGGAGCAGGCACATCACATGGCAAAGCAAGGGCAAGGGGAGGAGGTGCCACACACTTTTAAATGACTAGATCTCGTGAGAACTCACTCACTGTCATGAGAACAGTACCAAGGGGATGGCACTAAACCATTCATGAGAAATCCTCCCCCATGATCCAATCACCTCCCACCAGGCCCCACCTCCAACACTGGGGATTATAGTTCGGTATGAGAATTGGGCAAGGACACACATCCAAACTATATTAACAAATTACATTTAATTGAGTTTAATTGAGCAAAGAACCATTCATGAGTTAGGCAGTGCCAGGAACCAGCATAGGTTCAGAGAGACTCCAGCGCTGCCACGTGGCTGGAGAGAACTTATGGACAGAACAAGGAAAGTGAGATGCAGAAAATGGAAGTGAAATACAGAATCTGCCGGACTGGTTACAGCTCTGCGTTTGCCTTATTGGAACACAGTTTGAATAGTTGGCTGCCTGGGAGTGGTTGAAGTACGGCTGCTGTGATGGACTGAAACTCGGCTACTTGTTATAAGAGCAGATCATAGTCTGTTTACACATCCAGTTAGGTTAGATTTCACCATGCAAGGAGAAACCTTTAGATCAAGCTTAAAATACGTAAAGAGGCAGCTTTAGGCCAAACTTAACACTGTACTAATAATTATGTCATAGTTCTAACATTTTTATGCATAGGCCCTCAAAACACTAATAAATTTGACCTCTTTAAAAATCAAAGGTTTCTATACTATTGTATTTGTACCAAAATTTAAAATAAACTTCTCTTTGATCCAGCAATGTAACTTGTAAACATTTACCTTTAAGTAAATAACCAGCCAAATATCCAAAGGATGTCCATTGCAACATCGTTGATAATTGTGAACTTCAGGAAAAAATTTATATCAAACCAGAGGTGGTTAATAAATTATGATACATACAACAGAATAGTAAGTAGTCATGAGAATTGGTTCTATTTATCACTTTAGAAAGATATGTTGATGAGTTAAAAAAAAAGCAGTTACAAAAAAACAAGGGTAACATCTCCTTGTTGTAAATCTACTGATAGGTACACGTATACACACTGTTACAGGCTGATACGTGTCCCGTTAAAATTCCTTTGTTAAAGTTTTAACACCTCGGAATGTGTTTATATTTGGAAATAGGGTCTTTAAAGAACAAATTAAGTGAAAATGAGTTCTTTAGAGGGACCCTAGTCCAATACGACTGGTGTTCCTTGTAAGAAGAAGACATGTGGAAAGAGACATGATCGAGAGAGAAAAGACCACATGAAGTGTCAGGGAGAAAGCCCTCTACAAGCCAAGGAGAGAGGCATCAGAAGAAACCAGACCCGCTGACACCTTGACCTCAGACCTCTACCCTCTAGAACTGTGAGAGAGCAAGTTTCTGCTGTCTAAGCCACCCCGTTTTTGGTACTTTGTCATAGTAGCCCTAGCAAACTAATACACATACCTACACAGATATCTGGAAAAATATTCACCAAATTGGAACAGTGGTTATCTCAGAGTGGTAGAGTTCGGCTTTCTTTTTAATACTTTCAGTATTGGAATTTTTTTCCAATAAGTAATACATCATTTTTATGATAAAAAAAAAAGCAATGTTAGTCTCTTGTGAAAAATAAAAGGTCAGGGGACAATAACCTGGTCTCTATTAGTCACAGGCCATCCTGTCACTCTCCTGTGCTGCTTGCTGTCTTTCCAGCTTATCCTCTGAACCTCCCACTGAAATAGCAAACCAAACTGAGAAGGAAAGAATTGGGGGATGGGGGGACCTTTGGAACTCAAAGTGACTCATGCCTTTGCTGAGTTTACAGAGTGGCACACTCAAGTGGTGCAGCACAGTGACTGGAAGGCCTTCTCTGCACCATACATAGTGCAAAGGACTGAGATCCTTTGCTTGGACTCAATGTTTGCCTTCCCTTAGCTGCTGGGGTATATGCCTCCCTTTTAGGCCCCCTCCAGAGGGCCGCAGAGCAGGAAATCAGGTCTGGGAGGTCCTCAAGACTCCAGCTTGTTATTTCTGTGTGGGGAGGAGTTCTGGCTGGGTTGGGGCTTTGCATTTTTATAGGCCTTTCACTAGGGATCTAAGACTTGGGAGGCACTAACCCATTTCTTTTTCTTTTCTTTCTTTTGTTTTGAGACAGAGTCTCACTCTGTCACCCAGGCTGCAGTGCAGTGGCACAATCATGGTTCACTACAGCCTCTGCCTCCCAGGCTCAAGTGATCCTCGCCTCAGCCTCCCTGGTAGCTGGGACTACAGGTGTGTGCCACCACACTCAGCAAATTTTTGTATTTTTTGCAGAGATGGGGTTTCGCCATGCTACCCAGGCTGGTCTCGAACTCCTGGGCTCAAGTGCTCTGCCCACCTTGGCCTCCCAAAGTGCTGGGATTACAGGCGTGAGCCACTGCGCTCACCTGAGCCACTAATCCTCATCTTAAACTCTGGAGGCCTATGAGAGGCAGAAAGGGACAAGTTGATCTGGGTTTTAGGGGAGACATGAGGTTCTACCAACAATCCATATACTGTTTGTATTAGTCAGGCTTCTCCAGAGAAACAGCACCAACAGGATGTGCATATATTTACACTGGGTCCTCCGCATCTGGAACCTCCACATCTGTGGATTCAACCAACTGGGGCTAAAAAATATTTTTTAAGAAAAGCATCTAACTGAACACATACAGACTTTTTTCTTGTTATGTCATTATTCCCTAAACAGTATAGTATAACAACTATTTACATAGCATTTATGTTGTATGAGGTATTATAAGTAATCTAGAGATGATTTAAAGTACATGGAAGGATGTGTGTAAGATATATGCCGATAATACATCATTTTATATCAGGGACTTCAGCATTCATGGTTGGTATCTGTGGGGGTCCTAAAACTAATCACTCATGGATATTGAAGGGCAACTCTGTGTGCGTGTGTGTGTGTGTGTGTGTGTGTGTGTGTGTGTGTGTGTGTACATAGAAAAAGAGAGAGAGATTTTAAGGAGTTGGCTCACATGGTTGTGGAGGTGCAAGTCCAAAGTCTGCAGGGTAGGCTGGCAGGCTGGAAACCCAGGGAAGAGTTGCAGTTGGAGTCCAAAGGCAGCCTGCTGGCAGATTACTTCTTATACTGGGAGGTCAATCTTTGTTCCTGTAAGGCCTTCAGCTGATGGGATGAGGCCCACCTGTGATATGGAGAGTACTCTGCTTCACTCAAAGTCTACTGATTTAAATGTTAGTATTATCCAAAGTCACCCTTATAGAAACACCCAGAAGGTTTCATGTCACTGTGGCCCAGCCAAGTTGATGTATAATATTAATCATCACACAGATGATTGGGTGATGGGTGTTCTACCAGAAGAAGTTTGAAATGTTCAGCCCCACTCATAATCTGTTTCTCACCACATTGACAAATCCTACAGAGAGAGACATAATTTTTACTGTAATCAGCATCTAGGAGATAGTAACTCAGTTAAAAGAAGGAGGCAAGCAAGAGAAGAAAGGAAACATTTGGAATCTGAGCCTCATAAGACAGTCCTTCCAAGAATCACATTGTTTCAACCCAGTGAGTACCACTTTGATAAGAACTTGAATAACTGGAAATTTTGACTTCCTTTCAAGTGGTTCCTGCCAGTATAGACATCTCAGTGCACTGGACATTCTTTACAAGGAACAAAGCTTGATAGGATTTCTAATTTTATATAGCTACAGTTTTGAGAACAGGAGATGCTCAGGGCATTGTCCCCAAAGCCTGAAGAATGGGTACCAGGATCTCCAGACAACGCTCTTCCCGGAGCTGCAAGCAAACACCTCTGCTTAGAGAGCAGCCCCAACCAGGAAGCCAGGCTCGGTCACGTGGCTCACCCCCACACCAACTCCTAACTTGCGCAGGGCACCTCCAGCTAATCTGGAAGTTTGATTGTAAGCCAAGGGGAACGGTTATATAACCCTGAAAGTTTAAACTTGGATAAACACACACATATACACAAACAGGAGCCCAGGTAAAAGGAGAAAACCACAAACTGGATCCCGTTTCCTTAGTTTATTGCCTTGTAAAGCAATAAGATGTATTAATGATTACATCGACCTGTCTTCCCGGCTGTCCAAATGGCCATGTCATCAAACTAATTAAAAAGTGTCTGCTGCCTCCCAGGTCCCTTAGAATGTCATCCCTGTGTGCCGATAAAGGTGAAAATTCTTACACATGTCAGTTGTACTCATCTTTGCTTCTCTTTCTTATGACCAGTACTGGGGGGCGCATCTCCCAACCCAAGGGAGCTCCTGCCTGGAGCCTGCGTGTCCCCAAGGCCCTGAAATTCCATTGTCAGCAGGCAGCACCCCCTTCCCACGGCTCCACGGGAGGCTGAAGGCAGCTGAAGCCACAAGAACAAGCTGAGAGGAGAGGACCAAGATCCGAGAGACATGGCCCAGCCCCTAGAAGCCAGCTTCTGGCCCTGTGCCGCTGTATTCTTCAGCCTCTTTGCTCCAGAAAGCTCCACGGAGAGCCACAGGACCAGGCGGGCCAGCAGACTGGCAGGTAGCAGCAAGGCGGGCCGCCTTCCCAGGTAGGTGCAGAGAGCCAGGAAAGGAAATGTGCGCTTCCCCGTGAGAGACCGGGCGACTGGGCCTCAGGCTAATCCCTGTGAGAACTGTTCTCTGGGGAGAGCAAGGGCAGGAGTCCAGAAGCCAGGGCCCTGGGCTGCCCCATGAGACAGCTAATGCCACCGCCCCGCTCAGAGGGAGAGGGTCGTGGGTAGGCTGGGAGACAGCCAGGAACCAGGCAGGGCACTGTCCCTGAAAGCAAGCCGCCCCCCAACAAGCCGGGCAGCAACTCTCCTCAGTCCTGCTTGCATAGCTGAGTCCGGATCCTACTGTCCTGGGGCTCTGTTTATCACAGTTCTAAAGGGAGATGCGTGGAGGGGGGACAGTTAGCCTGATTAGTGCATTTTGCTTTGACAGAATGAGAAAAATAAGGACAGTGTAGTGAGATTTTCACAAAGCTAAATGAATTTAAAGACTGTTCTTATTCTAATTGCAGGTTAAGCCTGATGTTTTGATTCACTTTATTGATAGGTGATGGTTGATAGGTGATAATTGTTGCTGTTGTTTTTAATGTCCTTACTGGCTAACTTGTTCATCTTTTTTTTTTTTTTTTCAATTTTACTGGCCCATGAAAACTCAAACTTCAGGGGAGAAAAGCCTTCCAAGGATGTTTTTTGGCCTGTTTCTTCTGTGATTAGTTTACCTATATTTCACTTCATACTATAAACTCCTAACATGCATTTCATTTAGTCATTGGGCAGACACTAAGTAAGCATCTACCACATTCAGGATAAATATTTTGTTGATGTAATGATTACTTATTCGGGATAAAAGATTTGAATATTTCAAAAGTGAACAACATAAAACAAAAGTTTTAAATGGGTATCATATTTATCCCTGACACACGGAATCTGTGACAAACTTAACCGTAGTTTAGCCGCTAGCATAGGTTTTTTTTTCTCTTAGCAACATTGTAACTAAACAGTCACAAATCTAAATCTCCCCAAAATAATTTGCTCTCATTGACCTTCTTTTCAGTCGCTACCTGCATTTGACACTCCACGTACTTTACCTAGTGAATGAATGAGGTGGAGACTTCCAGAGACTGGATTTCAAGGTTCATTTGCTGCCTCAGCAGAGCCTAGGCTATCCTGACTCATACCAGGACTTTACCCATTTAAACTTTTTTCCCTCTGAGTGCTGAGTAGGGCCGACCTAACACCTGAATGAAGTAGGTTATTGTCCCAAAATATTTCTCTCTTTGTTGTCTAAGTTTCTACCTAAAGTGTTTTGTGTTTCTTTTTCTTTGTTGTTGTTGTTTTCCGGCAGAGTCTCATTCTGTCACCCAGGCTGGAGTGCAGTGGTGGAATCCTTGCTCACTGTAGCCTGGAACTCCTGGGCTCAAGCAATCTTTCTGCCTCAGTCTCTCAAGCAGCTGGGACTACAGGTGTGCACCACCACATCTAGCTAAGTTTAAAAAATTTTTTGTAGAGATGGGGGTCTTCCTATGTTGCCCACGGTAGTCTTGAACTCCTGACCTCCAGCAATCCTCCCACCTTGATCTCCCAAAGTGCTGGGATTACAGGCGTGAGCCATCGTACTTGCCCCCCTCCACCTTTTTTTTAAAATTATAGATCGCCCTCTCCCTTTAGTCCTCTTTTAAGAGTTAAAACCTCCTAGGTTTTAGTGACTTCTGCAGGGCACTTATTGAGACCTTGGCCTGGCATTGCTGTCTCTGTGGCTTGCACAGGCTTGATCTTAGACATCACTGGAGTTGAGCCCTCAGGCCTTGCCAAGCTTCCCTTTCCTCAACTCAACCTCAGGCAACCTCAGGCCTCTCCAAGCTTCCCTTTCCCAGACTGTGATGTGGGGATAATAATAGTTCCTTTCTCATAGGGCTGTGCTGAAGAATAAGTGATAGAATGTGTGTAAACCACACAGTACTAGCTCAGTGGGTGGCGATGATTATTCTGGTGTGTATTAGTTGACTACAGCTGCCATAACAAAGCACCACAAACTAGGTGGCTTAGACTACAGAAATGTGTTGTCTCATAGTTGAAACTTGAAGTTCAAAGTCAAGGTGTCATGAGGGTTGGTTCCTTCTGAGGCCCGGGAGGGGGGGGTCTGTTCTGGGCCTCTCTCCTAGTTTCTGGTGGTGGCTGCCAGTCCTTGGTGCTCCCGGGCTGTGGCTGCAGCACCCTCATCTTGGCCTCTGTCATCACACAGTGTTCCCCCCGTGCCTCTGTCTTCATGTGTCTTCTTATGAGGATGCCAGTCATATCAGATTAGGGCTCCCCTTTCCCACTCCAGCATGACCTCATCTGAACTAATTCCATCTGCAACAACCTTATTTTCTTTCTTTTTTTTTTTTTGCTTATCTCTATTTTTTTTCTGAATAAACATGGATTTCCCTCAATAAACACATTTTCTTCAATAAATATTTTGAAGAAATATTTTATAATATAAAAAATCATTTAAGTGAATGGCACTAGGAAAAAATAACATATAAACCAATTACTAGACTATACCATATTCACTTTAAAAGAAAAAAAGCAAATGGTTATGCATATTTCTATGTGCTCATATTTTTCAAGCTGAAGTGCTACAGATGTCATCTTTTGCCCTTAGGGCTTTATTGCAGGCAAGAGCTGTCTCTCCTGTGCCATATGGCCAGGTGACATGGGAAGTGCATCCCAGGCCACAGCCTCAAGATTACTCAGGGACAACTGCACCAGCAGCTTTAATCTAGGACTTCTTGAGGTATAGCTGAATGTTCACACAAATTCTAGGTCACGAATTCACCCGTCATCTGAAATGATAAGTCACTTAATGGTTGCTTGAATACACTCTAAATTCATTTGGGAAATATCTTCAGATTTTCTTCTTTTTTAAAGAATATGTACATATATACATATATATATATATATATATTCTATTGGTTCTGTTTTTCTGTAAAGCCTTGACTAACAGAGCTGCTTAGTAAGCCAGATGTTCTCTGTCCTATTTTTGGTCTATATTAGCACAGCATAGTGGGCAATATGAGACTATATCAATGTTTGGGGCATAATTCAATCTGTATGTTTTCTTTTTTGCGTGTATTGGATATGACCCTTACATACGACTTGTACAAAATTATCTGGTTTGAAACTAAATATTCTCTAAAAAACATATAGATATATTTTTCTTTTTTTTTCTTCAACTTTTATTTAAAGTTCTGGGGTACATGTGCAGGATGTGCAGGTTTGTTACGTAGGTAAACGTGTGCTATGGTGGTTTGCTGCACAGATCAGCTCATCACCCATGTATTAAGCCCAACATCCATGAGCTATCTTCCTGATGCCCTCCCTCCTCCCACCTCCCAGAAAGGCCCCAGTGTGTGTTGTTCCCCCCATGTGTTCATGTGTTCTCATCATTCAGCTCCCACTTAATAAGTGACAACATTCAGTGTTTGGTTTTCTGTTCCTGTGTTAGTTTGCTGAGGATAACAGCTTCCAGCTTTATCCATGTCCCTGCAAAGGACATGATCTCCTTCCTTTTTATGGCTTCATAGTATTCCATGGTTTCTATTACCATATTTTCTTTATTCAATCTGTCAATTATGGGCATTTGGGTTGCTTCTGTGTCTTTGCTATTGTGAATAGTGCTGCAATGAACATATGTGTGCATGTATCTTTATAATAGAATGATTTATATCCCTTTGGGTATTATTTACTCAGTAATGGAATTGCTGGGTTAAATGGTATTTCTGCTTCTAGATCTTTGAGGGATCGCCACACTGTCTTCCACAATGGTTGAACTAATTTACACTCCTACCAACAGTGTAAAAGCATTCCTTTTTCTCCACAACCTCCCCAGCATCTGTTTCTTGACTTTTTAATAATAGCCATTCTGATTGGTGTGAGATGGTATCTCATTGTGGTTTTGATTTGCATTTCTCTAATGATCAGTGATGTTGAGGTTTTTTTCATATGTTCGTTGACTGCATGAATGTCTTCTTTTGAGAAATCTCTTTTCATGTTCACTTTTTAATAACAACCCTATTTTTAAATAAGGTCACATTTTGAGGTACTGAAGCTTAAGACTTCAACAAATCTTATTTTTGGGGACACAATTCAACTCATTACCTGGAAGATAAGAAGATAAGATCTTGTCTGTTGTTATGACTATTGTTACTCTTTTCATTATTTTTCTTTCTTTCTTTTTAAAATAGAAATGTTTTCACCATGGTGCCCAGGCTGGTCTTGAACTCCTGGGCTCAGTCGATGCTTCTGCTGCAACCTCCCAAAGTGCTGGGATTACAGGCAGGAGCCATCATGCCCGGCCTCATTATTTTTCTACTACTAACCAGCTTAGCACCCTGCACTAGCAGACCATCACCAAATGCCAGCTGAATGGCTGTTTCATGAGCAGTCTCTGCAAAGGCTTCCACCGGCTGCTCCCATCCATCTGTCCAAGGCACTCCTTGGCCAGAGCAAATTACTCCTCTCCACCACAGGAGCTCCCTCTCCCTCACCGCTCTCCATGTCATCGTCACCATCTCTCTGACTTCTTCCCACCACAGCCAGGGGAGGGGGGACATAGCAAATGGAAGCAGACAGCAGCCTGACCTCACTGGCTTGCAGTGTGCCTAGAACGTAATGAGACTGGCTCAGCAAACCTCCTGGGGAAGTGACTTGCTGCTGTGCAGCCACTCTTCGCACACCCACCAAACCTGCCACATGCACACCTGTTGTCCCTGCTCCCTGAAGGTATCTGCCAGTGGCCCATCCCTCATACAGGAATAACTTGCTTTTGCAAGCCCCTGGCCAATCCTTCTTTTTTTCACCTTCCAAATGGAATCCTATTTTAAATGCATGAGGGGAGCTTAATAATTAAAGAAAGCCTATGATCGTCTTGTTGCCAACAGGATAAAATAATCACTCACTATGGTATTTTTGGTAAATATAGATTTTTATAGGTGGAATTGACTTTGCTTAAAGTGGAGTGCACCAAGGCACGTCTTTGCAGCTGAAAGACTTGGGTGTGACATCAGTGTGAGATGAAGTGATGACAGGCATATTCGGCCCATTGATTTCTGACTTCTGTCAGGGCCTGTCTTGCAGGATTTTTGGTACCTGGGACTCAGTCTCTTCCCTCCCTGGAGGGCAGTCAGTGGGCCCCTGAAACCTGGGGTTCCTACATGGCATCCCAATCAGTCCTCTCCCAGGAAGGAGTGAGGCTCTGCACGTGGAACCCAATCCTTCATTCCAGACTGTCTGCACCTCAAGTCATATCAGAAGAAGCCTCAGGAGTTGAATTTCTGTGCCCAGAAGAATTCTTTTGGTCACACCTGCCACCCTGACTTGGAGTGAAGGGAGAAGGGAAGGAAGGTTCTTAGCCCTCATTTTAGAGTTGCCAGATTTAGCAAATAAAAATACAGGACACTTGGTTAAATTAGACTCCCAGATAACAAAAAACAAAACAAAACTCCTTTTTTTAAACTATCTTAGCCACTTTTAAGTGAATTATAGTTTAGTAGCACTGAGTGTATTCATATAACAACAAATAATTTCTTTTTTTAGATGAGGTCTTACTCTGTCACTCAGGCTGGAGTACAGTGGCTAAGATCATGGCTCACTGCAGCTTCAACCTCCTAGGCTCAGGTGATTCTCTCACCTCAGCCTCCTAAGTAGCTGGGACTACAGGCACGTGCTACCACACCCAGCTAACTTTTGTATTTTTTGTAGGGACGAGATCTCTCCATGTTGCCCAGGCTGGTCTCAAACTTCTGGTCTCAAGTGATCCACCCTCCTCGGCTTCCCAAAATGTTGGGATTACAGGCGTGAGCTACTGCACCTGGCCACAACACAAAAATTGTTAATGTAGTATGTCCTAGTCAATATTTGAGATATGCTTACACTAAAAAGTAATAATTCATTGTTTATCTAAAATTCAGATTTAACTAGGTGTCCTGTGTTTTATCTGGCAACTCTAGCCCATCTGTCCTGGCTTATTTCATTTATTTATTTGTTTGTTTGTAGTGCCAGTTCCTTGTCTCTGCAAAGAGAAGGAATCCTCAGAGAACTGAGGCGGCCCTGCTCTCCAACCCTCAAGGGAAGAAGTTGGCAGCCTGGGGCACACATACCAAAATATTATGAAGTGATTTTGAGCAGTCATAAAATCACATAATCATTAAAGCAGAGGTGGTATATCTTTGGCACTTCCCATCTCTCTGCAGTTTCCACTTGTCACCCTGCCCATCCCTGGGCAGCCTCCTTCCAGATCATTAACTCATCCTAGCTGAGCACTAACTTATAAGTATAAGGTGTTAGCTGCTGATAAGCTTCACATGTGACCTCTTCTCACCCAGACTCACTTTTTTTCCCCCAGTGGATTAAAATAATCAAGAAAGAAGGGTGTAGCCGGACACAGTGGCTCACACCTGTAATCCCAGTGACTCGGGAGGCTGAGGCAGGAGGATTGCTTAAACCCATGAGTTCGAGACCAGGCTGGGTGACAGAGTGAGACCCTTTCAGAAAGATGAAGAAAAAAGAAAAGAAAAGGAAAGAAGGAAGGAAGGAAGGAAGGAAGGAAGGAAGGAAGGAAGGAAGAAAGAAAGAAAGAAAGAAAGAAAGAAAGAAAGAAAGAAAGAAAGAAAGAAAGAAAGAGAAAGAAAGAGAAAGAAGATGGACGGTTGGTGGCCAGAGAGAATGGCAAGTGTTTCTTGTGTGGGTTGTGCCTGCCCAGTACCGGGGGCTGTGTGAGACTATGGAGCCCGTGATCCCCATGACTGCTCACCTCTGCTAAGAATCCTCACCTTGTGGATCTTCTGAGGGAAAGAACATTTTGGCAAGGGAAAAAACAAAAACAAAAACAAAAAACTCCCCAAGAACTCTTTGTGTAATGGTAAATTCAAATCCCCCCGGTGTTCTATTTTTACAATACCTAGATTCCCAAAGTGGAGCTATTCGGGGAAAACCCCAAATGAGAAACCCTTACTGAAGAGCTCCAGTCTAACTGAGTTCAAGTCACTTGCAGCCCAGGTGCAAGGAGGCAGATACAAGGAGAGCTTGCACCTCATTGCTGTGCCAGGGGTTTTGGTTAGCTTTGGAAATATTAACACCTGCTTAGCTTGTGGGTTCTAGTGAGCCCAGATGCTCATTAAGGCAGTAATAGACAATGTGTTAAGCACCATTAGAATACACACAGTGATCCACACATGCACAACCAGTTCCCACCTTTAGGGGCTTTTGTGGCAACTAATTACAATAATACCAGAATAAACCATGTAAACATCTCATAGCTCACTGCAGTCTCAAGCTCCTGGGCTCAAGAAATCCTCCCACCTCAGCCTCAAGAGTAGCTGAGACTACAAGTGTGCACCACCATGCCCAACTAGTTTTTTTGTTCTTTGTAGAGACAGGGTCTTGCTATGTTGCCCAGGCTGATCTCAAATTCCTGACCTAAAGTGATCCTCCCATCTCAGCCTCCCAAAGCACCATCTCAATAGGTTTCTAATGTCAATTCAGTTCCAAACACATTGGGCACTATTACATGCTCGACCATGGGATAGATGCTAGAGTATATGGACAGCTAAGATATACCTCCTCACAAAGGAGCTTATGGTTAATTGGCAAAGATTGACAGCAGAACAACCAATCACAGCACAAAGTGATTTGTGCCTTAACAGAGGTATGCACAGGATGCATGGGAACATAGGGGATAGCTATAACCCAACCCACGTATGGTGGGATTGGGGAAGGGGTGCATGTAGGGGACAAAGAAGGCTTCCTGAAGGAAGCAACTCCTAGCAAGGTCTGAAGCAGCAAGTGGTGATTTCAACAAGGACATCTCTTCTTTGGCAGGGCTCTACAGTAGAAGCCCAACCCAAACAAAGGCTAAAGTTGGGCAGTAGGGACACTGGCTCAGTTCTATCTACCCTACTATTCTGGCCCCTCAGTTTCTTTTGAGTCTGCCTTTTAAAGTCTACCAGCATGAGTAGACAGAGAGGTGGAGTCCCCTCTCTCAAGCTTTCTATTTGTTGGTTTCAGCCAAGCAGTTAAGTAATTTTGGGAGATTTTCAGAGTGATTCTAGTGCTTCCATCCAACTTCAATTACTGAAAAGCTTTACTGAGGTTGTTCTCCACAGCGTTCAGCTTTATTCTTTCTTGTTTTAACGTTGAATAGGCTGTCTGTGAGACCAGCTGCTTAGGAGGGCTGCTCAGTTGTTTTGCTGGTCTCCATTTTCTGCAGCTCAGCTGTAACTAAGGATTTTCACCACCAACTGGGCTTCTACCACTATTTCTGCTCAAGGACCTGGTCGTAAAGGCTGTTCTCAGCTCAGAGACCTTGTCCCACCCCCACTCCTATAGCCACTTCCCTCAATAACCACATCAACATTCATTCTGCTCATTCAACTCAATTTGCACTTGGAGGGCATTACAACTCTACTAAAATGTTTGAAATTGAGTCAATTGTAAGAGTCTTGGGGGAGGATTACCCAATAAAATCTCAAGGGTGAAACTACCAAGGAGCAATATCAGGGAGGAAATATAAACCCAGGGGCTCTCAGTCCAAGAAAGAGAAAATTAAGGGCAATTCCTATATTTGGAAGTGAGGATTTCTTCTGGCTGAGGGAACCCTGCAAGCATTATACTCCCCCAAACACCAGCTACATTTAGTTTGAGAAGATTCACTTGAAGGGCACAGCAACTAGATACATCAAAGGTGAAGGTGAATGACTGACAATAAGTTGGAGTGGGAAGAGGATATCTTTAAACTGAGCATATCTGTTGAGATGTGGGGCATTATACTATCAGTAGCCTCCCAGAAGTTCAAGTGTAATGAGTTCTGCAACAGCCTTCCTCAATTAATCAACCATAGCCATACCCTCTCCTCTCTCACTTCTGTCTCTCCTCTTCCTGCCCTTTACCTCTTCCTCGCCCTCTTTCTTCACTTCCATCTATTACTCTACTACAACTCCCCGTCTCCCCTCACCCCTACTCCTCCTATTGTTTATGGTCTCATTTTACTGTGGCACTTGCTTAGCTTTGATATGATTAAATTTGCCTTTACCCCAATCGATCACATCCTTATCTACCTCACCAAGAAGATAAGACCCAGATTCAAAATCAGAACCTCGGGTTAAAGAGGCCAAATTCAAACCATAAGGCTCAAGGAGATTCTAGAAAAGAAGGTTTTTGTGAAAGCCATCCTGGGCTGGAAGAACTTATCAAATAAAAAAGAAACACTACTTTTCTATAGAGGAAGCAAAAACAAAAAAACAAAAAATGGATGATTAGAAGAATAGGAGTGATAAGGCTAGAAGGATAGGATAGCCAGATGGAGAAGTGGATTATTGGCTCTAGTTTGAAGTCTCCCTTACTCCGAAAGACAAATCCACACCATCCAATGTTCCCTGAAGTGATCATTGTAATTCTTTCCTTCATGTCACTATCAAACTTTCAACTAGGAGGTATAGACTCCATGGCTTCAATTTCCCCACCACCATTCCCTCTTCCTCCTGCGGCCAGATGAACCGGCACTCTCTGGGTCACTCACCCTGTGTTCACATCTAGTCCTCATTTATTTTTCTGTTTTGTTCCCCTTAATGGCAACCAATGATCATAGTCTCCTCGAAGTTGTTTCCTCTCTTGGCTTCTATATCAAAACCATTCTCTGGTTCTATTTCTACCTTCCTGGTGTTTTAATTCTACACACACACTCACTCACACACTTTCAGTCAATATGGCTGGCAAACTGGACTGACAGAGAAAAACCTACTCTACCATTTCAAACACCAATAAATTCTGAACTATTATCAGCTTAAATAGATATCTAATACATTGAAGCTTCCAGAAATAAAGTGAGATCTCAAAGCCAGAACAGGAGTTGAAACATAATGGCTCACAGGGGTGTAAAAACTAAAAAACAGCTTTAACCACTGGAAGCTGAGGTTATAACTCATACATAGAGCGGGAAGTCCAAGCCATATGCCCATTATGGAAGGGGAACTAGAACTGGGCTACCTGAGTAAAATCAAGATTCAAATATATATCCATGAAAAGAGACTAGAAAATCTCTGCCTACTAAGACAGTGTCAAGGAAACTTGCTTTCCACCTGGTCTTGTGTGTAGAAAAGTAATCAATCATAAAATTTAGAACCCTGATCGGTGCCATGCAGGCTCTGACATAGGAAGCCCAAACTGATAAATTAACATTAAAAATTGCTCCAGAATCCATGAATCATGTAGGATCCTAGCAGAGGCAAAGGAAAGACTAGATTCTAAAGATGTTTTCACAACCCAGAGCACATGGAATTTCTACAAAAACAATAACCCTGAAAATTAATTTATATTCAATAGTTAGAAATTACACAGGGAAACAAACTATCATAAGGAGAGTCAAGAATTACAAATAATAGAAAAAAATCTGAAAAATATTTAAGATAAAGGTATATTAAAATAATATTGAAATTAATAAGGCAAGCATATAAAAGCTAGTCTCATATTTCTAAAAATAATGAACTTTAAAAAACTATAACTATTGATATACAAACAACAATGGACAAAGTGGAACAATTGACGGGATACAGTCAAAAAGAAAATTAGTCACTTTGAAGATAAATCTGAGAAAATCATCCAGAATGTAGCATAGAGATGGAGAGAGGAGACCAAGAGTCTATACTGAAAAGCTCTTACATGTTTCAAAGGAGAGGATGGAAAAGAAATAATGTTCAAATAGCTGAGTATACTCCAGAGTTAAAGAATGACAAGTATTCTCAAATTGAAAAGAATATCTGTGTTGTGTGCTGAATAAATAACAAATTTCTCATGCAAACACATAATGTTGAAACTTCAAAACACACACACAAAAATTATAAAAATTACTAAAGAGTTAAGGCAGTATTTTTTTAAGAAAGACAATTAGAATGACAGTTGACTTTTCATCAGTGATAATGTATTCTACGAAACAAAAAATTTTATTTTTGAAAAAGAGAGGAATATTATTTTTTGAATTAGAATTATACACCAGCCGAAGTATCTTTCAAACCTGAAAGAAAATGAAGGCATTTTCAGACATACAAAGATTTAGAGGGTTTACTAGTTATAGATTATCAGTCAAAGAACTACTAAATGATGGACATCAGCAAAAAAAAAAAAAAAAAAAAACAAAAACAAAATTAAAGCCAAAAGAAAGTATGGGATGCAAAAAGTAATCATGAGTAAATAAATGGTTAACACATTTGTTGGAAAGTCAACATAAAACTTTAAAATTTAAAAGGGAAACTCCTTTTTGTAAAAAGGAAGAAGGAATAAAGAAAACACAATCAATCTAAAAGAAGAAAGGAAAGAAAAAACATGATGAATAAAAACTACTAAATAAGATGGCAAGTGTAAGTCTAAATATAGCACTATTAATGATATCAATAATGTTGTCCTTGCCAGTTAGGCCATAGAGGCACTCAATGAAAGAAAGAAAAATAAAGGAGTAAATAAATAAATAAATAATAAATCCAGGTTCACAATAGTCACACAAAATAAACTGACAGAAAAAATTTACAAATAATGGCAGGGGGAAATATATATATCTCAAGCAAATATTAATAAAAAAGATGATACAGTAATTTTAATGTTGGATATTATAGAATTTAGGGAAACAAATAACAATAGAATTAATGAAGAGCACTACATGTTGGTTAAAAAATAAAAAGATAAAGTAAGAAACAATTCACCAGGAAGATAGAATAATCATGTCTATCTAGACCTAACAACATAGCTTGGAAATTTACAAAACAAAAATTCTACCAAATCAGAAGGAGAAAATTCTCTCAGAACTACTAGACTGAGGTAAAGGGGCAACATATCTGCAACTTTGCCCAAATTATTCAGAGAATAAATTAGATCTTGATCTAAACATAGATATAGATACAATAAATCATAAAGTAAGAGTGATAAAATGTTAACATTTTGGAAAACTGGGAGAGGGGATATAGAGATTTTTTGGACTATTTTGCAACTCTTTTGTATGTTTGAAATAAAAAGTTTTAATGTTTTAAAAAATATCAATGCTTGTGCTACACTGATTCCATTCATCAGAAATCCAGATTTAATCATCAGAGATGGGATCTCACCAAGGGCATTTATTTAAATTTCTCAGGTAATTCTGATACTTTTAAACCCTGATAAATCAAACATACAGGACATATGTAATAACAGAGAAGAATTTAATGGCACAATTATCAAGCATAATCTAATAGATATATTGAGCAGACGGCTCAGTCAGAAAAAAGGGTAAGATACTTAAATGGGCACTTCACCAAAGAGGGCAATGGTAAATAAACTGATGAAAAAATACTCAACTTTATGAGTCATCAGATAAATTCTAATTCAAACCATAGCAAGTGACCACTACACACCACCAGAATGGCTACTATGGAAAAGATAATATGAAGTGTTGAGAGAAGATGTGGAGTGACTAGAACTCTCATGCATCACTGGAGGAGTGTAAATTTGTTCATCTGCTTTGGAACACTGTTTAACAGCATCTACTAAAGCTATTTATAATGCATTCCCTATGAAACAGCAATTCTACTCCTAGGTATACACCCAACAGAAAAGCTTGCATCTGTCCATTAAAACACATATATAATAATGCTGATAGTAGCACTAATCATAGTAGCCAAAAACTGGGGCAAAAATGAAATATTCAACAATAGAGTTGATGTGGTTTGGCTGTGTCCCCACCCAAATCTCATCTTGAATTGTAGTTCCCATAATCCTCACATGTCGCAGGAGGGACCTGGTGAGAAGTAATTTAATCATGGAGGTGGTTACCCTCATGCTATTCTTGTGGTAGTGAGTGAGTTCTCACAAGATCTGATGGTTTTATAAGGGGCTTTCCTCCCTTTTGCTGGGCACTTCTTCTTGTTGCCACATGTGAAGAAGGATGTGCCTGCTTCTCCTTCCACCATTATTGTAAGTTTCTTGAGGCCTCCCCAGCCAGGCTGGATTGTGAGTCAATTGAACCTCTTTCCTTTATAAATTACCCAGTCTTGGATATGTCTTTATTAGCAGTGTGAGAATTGACTAATGCAAGAATGGATAAAAAATTATCATAAATTCATACAATGGAATACTATGTATCAATGATAATAAAGAAGCTACAACTACATATAATGGTATGGATAAAGCTTACAGATGCAATGTTGAATAAAAGATGTCTAACACAGAAGAATAAGTGTTACATAGTCATATAGATTTCCAAACCAACACCCTGGGCAGGGTGGCTCACACCTGTAATCCCAACACTTTGGGAGGCCGAGGTGGGCGGATCACCTGAGGTCAGGAGTTAGAGACCAGCCTAGCCAAGATGGTGAAACCCCATCTCTACTAAAAATACAAAATTCAACCGGGCATGGTGGCACATGCCTGTAATCCCAGCTACTTGGGAGGCTGAGGCAGGAGAATTGCTTGAACCCGGGAGGTAGAGGTTGCAGTGAGCCAAGTTGGCACCACTGCACTCCAGCCTGGGTGACAGAGCAAGACTTCGTCTTGGGTTGGGGGTGGTGGGCAGAAATCATTCAGTAGTGTCAGAAGTCAGGGCAGTGGCGAGCGGGGGCAGGAGGGGCTAATAATGATCTGGGTGCTAGACACATGAGTGCATTCATTTTGTGAAAATTCGTCAAGCTGTACATTTATGATGTGTGTACTTCTCTCCAGATGGTATACTTCAATAAAACGTCCACTGAAAATATAAAGTTCACACCTGTAATCCTAGCACTTTGGGAGGCCAAGGTGGGTGGATTGCTTGAGGCCAGGAGTTCAAAACCAGGGTAGTCAACATGGCATAACCCCATCTCTACTAAAAATACAAAAACCAGCCAGGCATGGTGGCGCATGCCTATAATCCCAGCTACCCGGGAGGCTGAGGCAGGAGAATCGCTTGAACCCAGGAGGTGGAGGTTATAGTGAGCCGAGATCACACCATTACACTCTAGCCTGGACAGCAGAGTGAGACTCTGTCTCAAAAAAAAAAAAAAAGAAAAAGGTAAAGTACATATTAGTTTAGCTTTTTATTATTATTTTAAAAAGTGGTTTAAGAGTATCCAACCTAAAAATTTAGGGAAAACTTATCAGGAGGGTGAGGACTTTAATTACTAAAAAATTATACTTTTTTTCTGGGAAAAAAATAATAGCTATGAAGAAGACTTTGCATTCAAGAAATAGAGGCTGTAATCAAGGCAACATGGTATTGACACGAGAATATTTAAATAAATCCATAGAACAGAATCAAGAGCCCAGAAACAAACCTACACATATACAATATGTGACAAATCACATAGTTGATTCATGACAAAGGCACCCTGTCAATAAATGGTCCTGGGTCAAGCATATATCTATATGGGAAAAATGAACTTTCATACTTGCTTAATACTACACATAAAAATTAATTCAAAATGGGTTATAAGTCTTAATGTGAAAGGTAAAAAATACAGCTTCTAGAAGAAAACATAAATGAATATTTTCTTTCTTTTTTTTTTCTGAGACAAAGTCTCCTTTTGTTGCCCAGGCTGGAGTGCAATGGTGATCATGGCTCACCATAGCCTCAAACTGCTGGGCTCAAGTGATTCTCCCATCTCAGCCTCCTGAGTATCTGGGACTACAGATGCGCATCACCATGCCTGGCTAATTTTTGTATTTTTTTGTAGAGACTTTCACTGTATTGCCTAGGCTGGTCTCAAACTACTGGGCTCTAGTGATCCTCCTGCCTTGGCCTCCCAAAGTGCTGAGATTATAGGCATGAGTGAACGTGCCCAACCAAAAAGAATATTTTCATGACCATAGGGGTAGTCAAAGATTTCTTAAGTAGAACGGAAAAGTCACTAACTATTAAAAATTAAGGTTGATCAATGGGCTACATTAAAATTAAGAAACTTCTCTTCACCAAAATATATATTAAGGGAGTGAAGAGGCAAACCACGGACTGAGAGATATTCATATAGATATATCTGATAAAGCATCTATGTGCAGAATATGTAGCGAGCACCTTCAAATGAAAAAAGATAAATAATCAAAATTTCTAAATGAGCAAGAGATTTAAACAGGTACCATCTTAGCCCATTTTGTGTTGCTGTAAAGCAATACTTGAGACTGGGTAATTACCAAAAATAAGCAATGGGGAAAGGACTCCATGTTTAATAAATGGTGCTGTGATAACTGGCTAGCCATATGCAGAGGAATGAAACTGGACCCCTACTTATCACCATATGCAAAAAGTAATTCAAGATGGATTAGAGACTTAAATATAAGACCTCAAACTATAAGAATCCAAGAGGAAAATCTAGGAAATACCTTTCTCGACATCACCCTTGGAAAATAATTTATGCTAAGTCCTCAAAAGCAATTTCAACAAAAACAAAAATTGACAAGAGGTTCTGCACAACAAGACAAACTATTAATGCAGTAAACAGACTACCTACAGAATGGGAGAAAATATTCACAGAACTCTGCATCTGGCAAAGGTCTACTATCCAGAATCTATAAGAAGCTTAAATTGATTCATGACAAAGGGACTCTGTCAATAAATGTTCCTGGGTCAAGTGTATATCTATATGGGAAAAATGAACTTTCATACCTGCTTAATGCTACACACAAAAATTAATTCAAAATAGGTTATAGGTCTTAATGTGAAAGGTAAAAAATACAGCTTCTAGAAGAAAACGTAGATGAATATTTTCTTTCTTTTTTTTTTCTGAGACAAAGTCTCCTTTTGTTGCCCAGGCTGGAGTGCAATGGTGACCATGGCAAAAAACAGATAACCCCATTAAAAAGTGGGCAAAGGACATGTATTTCTTCTCAGAAGACATATATGTGGCCAACAAACATGAAAAAATGCTCAACATCACTAATCACCAGAGAAATGCAAATTAAAACCACAGTGAGATACCACCTCAAACCACTCAGAATGCCCTTTGTTAAAAAGTAAAAAACATAACAGATGTTGGCAGGGCTGTGGAAAAAAGGGAACACTTACACACTGTTGGTGGGAATGTAAGTCAGTTCAGCCACTGTGGATAGCAGTTTGGAGATTTTTCAAAGAACTAACAGTTAACTATCATTTGATCCAGCATCTCATTATTGGTATATACTCAAAGGAAAATAAATTGTTCTGCCAAAAAGAGGCATGCTCCCATATGTTCATCACAGCACTATTCACAATACCAAAGACATGGAATCAACCCAGGTGCTCATCAACAGTGGATTAGATAAAGAAAATGTGGTACATATACACCATGGAATACTATGCAGCCATAAAAAGAATGAAATCATGTTCTTTGCAGCAACATGGGTGCAGCTGGGGCCATTATCCTAAGTGAATTAATGCAGGAATAGAAAACCAAATACCATATGTTCTCACTTATAAGTGGGAGCTAAACACTGGGTAAACACAGACAGCAAGATGGCAACAAAAACCACTGGGGATTCCAAAAGGGAGGAGGCGAGGACAAGGGTTGAAAAACTACCTATTGAGTACTGTGCTCTCGCTTCCTTGGTGGCGAGTTCAATCGTACTCCAAATCTCAGTATCACACAACATACCCATGTAGCAAATCTCTACACGTACCCCTTGGATCTAAAATAAAAGTTGGAGTTAAAAAAAAAAAAGTACAGCACCCAGCCATTCATGAGCAATCTGCCCCCATGACCCAAACATCTCCCATTAGGCTTTATCTTCCAACACTGCCACACCGGGTATCAAATTTCAACATGAACTTCAGTGAGGACAAACAAACCATATCCAAACCATGGCAGGTACTTTGCAAACGAGGATACCCAAATGGCCAATAAGTATATAAAAGTTACTTAACGTCAGTATGCATCAATAGATGCGCAGACAAATCGCAATGAAATACTGTCATACACCCGCCTGAATGACTAAAATTAAAAAAGCAATGAGGCAAAGTGTTGACAAGGTACTGAGTATCTGGTGCACTCATACTTCACTGGTGGGGGTGTAAATTAGTACAATTTGGAAACCGTTTAGCAGTATCTGCTATAGCTAAACTATGTCTACCCTGGGACCAAAAACTCCCACTAGGTATACAGTCTAGAGAAATGAGTTTGCCCTCTAAAAGACATGTACAAGAATGTCTATAACAGCTTAATTCAAAATAGCCAAAAATTGGAAAAAACTCAAATGTCCATCACTAGTGGAATGAATAAAAAATGAGGTATTCATACAATAGAAAACCACAGCAATAAAAAGTAACTACTGCTACACACGACATGAAAGGATCTCACAGACATGTGAGATAAGCAAAAGAAGTCCAAAACTAAAGAGTACATACTGAGGCCAGGCGCGGTGGCTCACGCCTGTAATCCCAGCACTTTTGGGAGGCCGAGGTAGGCAGATTGCCTGAGGTCAGCAGTTCGAGACTAGCCTGGCTAACGTGGTGAAACCCCGTCTCTACTAAAAAAATACAAAAATTAGCCGGGCATGGTGGTGGGCACCTGTAATCCCAGCTACTCGGGAGGCTAAGGCAGGAGAATTGCTTGGACCCGGGAGGTGGAGGTTGCAGTGAGCCAAGATAACACCACTGCACTCCAGCCTGGGTGACAAGAATGAAACTCTGTCTCAAAAAAAAAAAAAAAAAAAAAAAAAAAAGAGTGTATACTGTATGATTCCATTCATACGCATTTCAAGAACAGACAAAATTAATCCACAGCTGACAGAAACCATTAAAGTCATTTTGTCTGGGGGAACAGTTGGTATTATCAGGTAAGGAGCATTCAGAAGCATTAGGAAGCTTCTGGGATGTTGGGAATATTTTCCATTTTGATCTGGGAGGTCAAGTATATACCTTTCTGTGTGTGCATGTGTTGTACAAAAACTCACTGAGTTATGCACTTGAAATCTGTGCTCCTCGTTGTATATATGCTATGCCTCAAAAAAACTTTCTGAGATAGGAATCTGTTTCATCCTAGCTGATACACAGAAGAAAAGTGTGATTCTATTCTACATTTGGATAAATGGGAAGGAAAAATAGAAACATTTTCTGGGAAAAATGTTGTGGACCCAGGAACTGCACAAAGTTTATTTTTAACTTCATTCATGTAACTTGTCTACCGCAGACTTCCACATAAGCACAGCTCTAGATTTGCAGGCAACTCTTGTAATCTACCCACTGGTGGGTTCAAATCATGAAGTCTCAATAGTGAGCTCCAGCTCAGTGAGAGGAAACTTAGTTCCAAAGGAAAATGAGCCTCGGCAGGGAGAAATTTGTGGGGAAATAAAGGAAATGGTCAGACTCCAGCAGAATTTTTCATTGTGGTGATAGGGGGTTACATGTTGGGTGAGGAGGAAGGCTTCCAGGCATCCTCCATCTTTTCCAATATCTGAGCTCCCGTGCCCGACTGCTAAGCCAAGATGGCGGCAAGAAGCATCCACAGGCATTCCAGGGAAGTCAGGTGGAAGAACCCCTCATCTTGCAATAATAGACACATTTGAACTATAGAAATAAGGAAAACAAATGGCAAGAAAATAAAAGTAAAGGGGTAGAATTCTGTGAATCAATTGAAGAGCCTGAGTACTCTCTGCAATAAGCATGTCAGCAAGGATGCCAGGGTATGATCGTAGAGTATGCACCAGTGTGGACGAAAATCCCAAGAGAGGAAAGAAAATTCAGTCTCGAGTCAAGACAGAACTCTCCCCTGGCCACTATTAGCTGAGGCCCTCAAAATATCCTGGTGTGGGGTGAGATTTGGAGTTACCATCACCATCATACAGCATTAATAGCTAACTGTGCTAAATGTTTAGCATACATTTCTAATTTAATCTTCAATAGTCCTACACATATGAAGTAGTACTATTATTATTCCTATTTTACATATGAGAAAACTGAAGAGTAGTAAAGTAACTTGCGCAAGGCCAATACAGAGAGTTAACACCAGAACAATGTCCTAGTTATTTGTATCTGATCTGTTGTTGCAACCCATGTGCAGGAGTTGGTCCAGCCCAGGGGAGGTGTGGACATTGGGGCTGTAGCCAGGTCAGGATCCTGGGACTGAGGCAGGAAGGTAACAGGGGCTGAGAGTGAGAGCAAGCTCATGTCTTGTATTTTAGGTGTCTACAATCCTGACCACTTAAGGTCACCCAGCTGGTTAGTAGCAGGGCTGGATTAAAACTGTTTTATTGCTGTATCTTGAGCTTTCATTAAAGAATAAAAACAAGTGGAAATTTGGCTTTGTAAGGATGGATTTCAAATTGATTGCCCCTGCAGTGTGTACAAAAGGGGAGGCCTGGGCAAAGGGAACTTGGGGGCAGGGGATGAGGAAAGAAAGTATCAAGAATGGGGAAGTGATGACTCGGAGGGGAAACTTTCCTACAGATGCTACCTCAAGTTAGCTGACCACACCTAAAACATCAAACAAGCCCGGTGGGTTGTTTTTGCACTTATGTTGAAAGGAAGAGATGGCTCCAAACCAAATACTATAGTTCCAGAAGAAAATGCATTGTTGCGTGAGAGGAAGGCTGGGGGTACAAGACAGCTTCCCCAAAGTAAATGGATCAATTGTACATTCTCAGCCTCCCAGATCACTGCTTTTAGCCTGGGAAACCATAGAACCCCCACACTGTGGCTTTCTGGAGCATTCCTCAAACCTCTCTCTAAACCCAGTATGTGCCAGTGTGGAACTCAGCCTAGTGAAGTGATGAGAAGAAAACCAAAACATGGATATAAATGATTACCAAGTCAACCAAAACTTTTCCTGAATATTTGCCAGTTCTGTGCCATCAATCACTCAGCTCCTGGATGAATCCAAAACACAACTACCTTTGTCTTCCATGTAGGGAATGGAAAGCAGATTCCAATACAAAAATTATTTAACTTTTTAAAAATAAACTTTATTTTTTAGATTGGTTTTGGGTTCAAAGCAAAATTGAGAGGAAGGTATAGAGATTTCCCATATACTCTCTACCCTACACACACACACACACACACAGCCTCCCCCATTATCAACATACCCCACCAGCATGGTACATTCATTGCAACTGATGAACTTACATTGACATATCATAATATCCAGAGTCCACAGTTTATATTAGCATTCAATCTTGATGTTAAGCATCCTGTGGGTTTGGACAAATTTATAATGACATGCATCCACCATTACAGTGTCATAAAGAGTGGTTTCATTGCCCTCTCAATCCTCAGTGACCTACTAATCTCTCCCACCTCCCATCCCCCTAACCCCTGGCAACTGCTGAACTTTTTACTGTCTCCATTGATTTTCCTTTTCCAGAATGTCATATAGTTGGAATCATATGGTATGTAGCCTTTTCAGATTGGCTTCCTTCACTTAGTAATATGCATTTGAGGTTTCTCCATATCTTTTCATGGCTTGACATCTCATTCCTTTGTATTGCTGAATAATGTTCTGTCATATACACATACCACAGTTTGTTTATTTATTGGGTTATTGAAGAACATCTTGATTGCTTCCAAATTTTAGCAATTATGAATAAAACTGCTATAAACAACCATATGCAGTTTTCTGTGTGGACATAAGTATTCAAGTTCTTTGAATAAACACCAAGAATCATGATTGTTGGATCATATGGTAAGAACATGTTGAGTTTTGTAAGAAACTGCCAAACTGTCTTCCAAAGTGGCTGTACCATTTTGCGTTTCCACCTGCAACAAATGGGAGCTCCTATTCCTCCACATCCTTGTCAGCACTTGGTGTTATCAGTGTTTCAGGTTTTAGATATTCTAATAGGTGTATAGTGATATCACTTATTGTTTTCATTTGAATTTCCCCAGTGACATATGATATATAGCATATTTTCCAATGCTTATTTGTCATCTATATACTGTATCTTCTTCAGTGAGGTGTTTGTTCAGGTCTTTGGTCTATTTTTTAGGTGTGTTATTTATTTACTTGTTGAGTTTTAAGAAGTCTTTGTATATTTTGGATATCAATCCTTTATCAAATATGTCTTTTGCAAATATTTTCTCTGTCTGTGGCTTGTCTCTTCATTCTCTTACAGTTCATTTTTTTCATGTATTTATCTTATAGCAAAATGTATTACTAATCTTGTGCTAAGGTGAAGGTACGTAGAAGGCATGTTACTGATATAACTTCTTTTTTATTACATACAACTCATTAACTGTGGTACTTTATAAACTATCAAACTATCAAATACTCCCATCCAAAAGCTCTACCCCTGGGATGAGAGACAGCCTAGACTGGAAGTGAGTAGACTCTGAAAGGCATCACGTTCTTGCCTTTACCCTACTCCCTTCTCCCCCACCATCTAAGTCTCACCCTTTCCTCAAGGTCCAGTTCCATCCCACCTCTTCAGCAAGGCCTTCCGCAAGGATGGAAATTCAGCATGATTGCCTGTGGTGAGGCCACAGACCCAGAAATGAAAGGTGGGAGAGAAGGTTGAACAGAAGACACCTGGTAGATTTGGGAAAAGGTACACTTCGCTGCATGAATTTTACTTCAATTTAAAAGAAAAATGAATCACAATCACTCTAACTAATCACTTGGTGACCCTGTGATTGTAAACACAAAAGCAAATATAAACCCTACGACCCCACAGCATTGCTGTTCTAAGTGACCGTCAGATGATCTAGGACTTTCAAAATCCTTCTAGAAGTTATAGACCCTTAAAAATATATTTTCAGACTTCCAGGAGTTTATGGACTACAACTTGAAAAGCACTGCCCTGAATCACATTTTAAAAAGTCCATTAGCATTAGGGATTACAGTAGAACTACTTCTCAGAATGGGGATACATTTTGAGAAATGCATTGTCAGGCAATTTCATTGTGCAAACATCAGAGTCCATTTACACAAACCTACTGCACAATTAGGCTATATGGTACAGCCTATTGCTCCAAAGCTATAAAGGTGTATGGCGTGTTACTGTACTGAATACTGTAGGCAGTTGTGACACAATGGTAAGTATTTGTGTATCTAAACATAGAAAAGGTACAGTAAAAATACAGTATTATAATGGCACTACCATCTTACATGCAGTCCATTGTTGATGGAAACATTCTTACAAAGTACGTAATTGTCAATAGTGTTTTAGGTCATCATTATGTTTAGATAGATGATAATGTGACTGGTGCCCCAAGAGCTGTGCAGTGTGGTAGCTCTACGTTCCCCCACATTCCTACTCCATTTAGTTTTTTGGTGGGATCAAATGTCTTCTTGTGGTGACACATCCATCTCATAGGCAGTTTCTTTATGCTTTCCCTTTTCACAATTTCCATAGCACTCAACTGGAACAAAAGCTCTCTCATCTAATTCCACACAAGGAAGTAAAAACAAGCCAAGGCCACATTGTTATGTGGGCCTGATGAGAGACAACTTTGTCTTACCTTCAAGCTTGGGAGTCTGAATTGTGGTAATAAAAGCAATTTTAGGCCAGGAGTGGTGGCTCACGCCTGTAATCCCAGCACTTTGGGAGGCCGAGGTGGGCAGATCACAAGGTCAGGAGATTGAGACCATCCTGGCTAACACAGTGAAACCCCATCTCTACTAAAAATACAAAAAATTAGCTGGGCGTGGTGGCGGGCGCCTGTAGTCCCAGCTACTCGGAAGGCTGAGGCAGGAGAATGGCATGAACCCAGGAAGTAGAGCTTGCAGTAAGCCGAGATTGTGCCACTGCACTCCAGCCTAGGCAACAGAGCAAGACTCCGTCTGAAAAAAAAAAAAAGCAATTTTATCTCCTCCAAAGTATTGCATTCCTCAACAATTTTATGCCTCTCTAGGAAAAAGCCAAGCAAAGGAAAAAGCATTTCTCCCAATATTTATGCAGGGTATCTATGCCCAGGTACCATATTTAGCATTTAGCTTTAAGTGTCCTCCCAGCAGAGGGATCATAGGACCAAAGATCCAGTAAGAGGCCAGAGAGAACTAGACCTTCACCCCATGCAGCCAAGAGTGAGCACTTTGGGAATTCACCAGTCAGTATATTCCACTGTTGGAGAGGGAAGAAAAATGCTGTCTGAGAAATGTCTTTGCTTGTCAGCAAAATGATGATGCCACAGTAGCCATGGTCAGATCCTAAAACCATGGCTACTTATTACACCTATGTCACAACCATTGTCACTCTTCTGTGTAACCATGTATGCACACATACACACATGCTCATGCTCAGACTTTCTAAGTCTGACTTTATAAGATGAGATAAGACACAAACATTCTCAAAATCTTTTTCAATGACCTAGATGATTGAAATACTTGAGAGAATCATTACAGTAGAACTAAATAGTGTTTTGGCTGCTATTAGCTAAGAGTCTTTGATCCTTTGTGTTGTAGTTAGAAAGACTTGGGCAGGATCTCCATAAAAGGTGTAGTATGCACTCAATATACTTAGTGAGAAACAGCAAGCCAACTCCTTGGGATTTCCTGGCTCTTCAACATAAATGTACAAATACACCAAAACGGTGATTGTAGAGAGCTGTGTCTGACCCTGATATCTGGGGTAATGACTTTCTAGCCAGGGAGATGAGAATACAAGAAACCCAGCTCCTTAGCAGGGATGGAGCAGTTTTATGCAGGTGCTTTCAGGTAATGTTCCAGGCCCAACTTAGAAAACAAACAAACCAGATAAATCTCTGCCTTGAGAGGTCAGGATGTGGGCATCTCTGCTTCAATCTAGAATGATGGCAGGACAGAAGCCAATATGGTTTGACTGTCCCCGCTAAAACTCATGTTGAAAGTTAATTACCAATGTAGCAGTATTGGGTGGTGGGGGCTTTAAAGGGTGATTAGGTCATGAAGGCTCTGCCATCACGAATGGATTGCCATTGCTATCAGGGGAATAAGATAGTTATGGTGGGAATGAGTTCCTGATAAAAGAGTAAGTTCAACTCCCATTTTCTCTCTGTTTTGAACACTGGTTTTCCTGTCCACCCTTCTGCCGTGGGATGATGCAGCACAAAGTCCCGCACCAGATGCTGGCGCCATGTTCTTGGACTTCCCAGCCTCTAGAACCATGAGCCAAATAAACTTCTTTTCTTTATAAATTACCCAGTCTGTGGTATTCTGTTATAGCAACAGAAAATGGGCTAAGACAGAAGCCGTGGCAAGGAAATGGTAGTGTGGGAGAACAGCTTGGCTGCACTGCAATTGTTATGGGGAGCGCTGGCTGAGCATAATGTTTCTGTCATTATTCTAAATTCTGGTGATAGGAAATAGAGAGAAACATGCTACAATTTTAGAAGTGGTTAAAAGAGCAGAGGATCTGGGCTCAAAAAGAGCAAAATTAGTATTCCTACTGTAAATAGGCCCCCAAATACATTCAAACACTGCATATAAATTAGGTGATCAAATGACGTACATGTTAATAAATAGCTTTAGGTCTATAGTTGTGATTTTTAAAATAGATTCTCAGTCTATAATAAATGCCCTTGTACAGATGATAAATTCAAGAGCAACAGTTTGTAGAATAAGTGCTCACACAATAATCAATACTTGCATATTCGTTTTTCTCATCAAAAACTAATACACAAGAAAATAGATAATAAGAAAAACTAAAGCCACACCACCAGATTTCCAGCTCTCTCTTCTCCACTTCCTTCCTGGCCAACCTGGCTATGCCCCACAGAATTGCATCAGTATCCCCAGCACTATGCAGAGTGGGCTGTGCTGATCCCAGGGCCCCAGACTGAAGGGTCTGGTGGACATTGTGGGCGCAACTTGAGTGCTTCTCATCTCTGTCATCAAGGCTGTGTCAGAGTTCTGCACAGGCCTGCCTCTCACCACAGCAAGATGGGCCTCAGATTGTAGCAGATGACTGTGGCTTCTCTGATCTCCATAAAGAAAGGCTTCTTTGTAAAGGGGATTTTGATCCCAAATTCAAATTGGCCAACTCCCTCCTCTTTCCTCACTCCCTCGCATTCTTCTGTCTCTCCCTCATTCATGTTTTAAATCACGCTAACCTGCTGCATCAAGTGAAAGGGCTCTCTCATTCTCCAAACCCTCTTTGATATTCCTCCAAACAAGAGGCTACCTCAGACAGTGTGGTGAAGGGTCTGGAGGACAGGTAGGGGAGTCAGAAATATCAGAATTTAAACCTGACCTTTTGCTGTGTCAACTTGAGTGAGTCCCTTAACCTCTCTGAGCCTTTGTTTCCTTACCTTTAATGTAGGGTTAATCATTGTGAGCTAATGTGTGTTCAGAGCTTAGCACCTTGTCTGACACTGGCTTCAGGGAATGGTAGTTATTAAAGCAAAGTGAAAAACAATGCATGGTCCCTTGGTATCCCTGAACTGTTCAGCTTTGAGTTTAGGCAGCATTTCTTGGCTTTGGCCGCACATTGGAATTATCTGGAGAACTTTGAAAAATCCAGATGCCCAGACCTTACCCCTGTCCCATTACATCAGAATCTCTGAGGGTGGGACTCGGGCATCAGTCTTTTTTAAAGCTCCCCTGGTGATTCCAGGGTATGGGCACCCCGGGTAAGGAAGCACTGGAAATAAAGCCAAGTGATAAACCTGCTCAGGGCACCTTCTCTGTTTGCCGCAGTACTAATTACAAAGGCTCGCGGGAGACACCACATACAGCCCAGAGTCAAGATGCCCAAACACCAGGTGGCTGGGAGCAGAGTAGAGAGCACTGCCAGCTGCAAAGGGGACCCAGCCCCGCCTGGGCGCTGTGTGGCCTGTGCATCCCTCCCTGACACTCTCTGTGGACAAATGGAAGTGCTCGGCTTTCCTCTGCCCTGGCAGGGAACTTGGAAGCCCTGGTCTGCTCCTTCTGTTAGGGTCACAGCTGTTTGTTTCTAGCAATGAGCAGTCCGTGTTCCCCATTACCTTAGGACACCTCACTGTGCAAATACTTCTATTTGCAGGCCATTGAGCTGCATTCATAAATAACCTCTGGGAAATACTGAGTAGTCCCCAGTGCTATTTACCTTTCCGCTCAGGAAACAGACAGGGAGTTCAACAGACCCGATATCCAGTGGGCCCCACAGGCTAATTCTACAGATGACACATGTTAAAAAGAAACAGGAAAAAGAACCAGGCTGCACTCAGTTCAACAGGGAGCCCAATGGTGGGATTTTCCAGAGGCCACCAGCACCCTGCCCTCTTCTGCTTTTCTGACGCTGGGAGTTGGCTCTAACCCTATGAATCCAAGGGGAGTTCCTGGAGATGGAACTTGGGTGGTGCTTCCTTAAGGGACTGTGGCAGAGAATAGGGTTGGGGGTTGGGCGGGAGGAGTTGAGTAAGAAGAGCAGTAAAAGAGAACAAGGCTTTAAAAGTATAAAGAGTATTTTGGCTTTTAGAATGGGATATGTGAAAGAAAGTATGGAAAACAAATTAATTGAAAGGGAGAAAGAATGTGGAATGGAAAAGTTAAAATACAAGTGAAAAGATGCTGAAAATGATCATTTTTTGGTAACTGAGTAACAGGACATGGGTAACTTTTTTTCTACTTAAAAATTAATCAATGCAGATTTTTTTTTTTTTGACGGAGTCTTGCTCTGTTGCCAGGTTGGAGTGCAGTGGCACGATCTTGGTTCACTGCAACCTCCACCTCCCAGGTTCAAGTGATTCTCCTACCTCAGCCTCCCGAGTACCTGGGATTACAGATGCATGCCACCACACCTGGCTAATTTTTGTATTTTTAAAAGTGATGGGTTTTCACTATATTGACCGGGTTGGTCTCAAACTCCTGACCTTGTGAACTGCCCCCCTCAGCCTCCCAAAGTGCTGGGATTACAGGCGTGATCCACTGCGCCCGGCCAATACAGATTTAAAAAAAAAAAAACCAGACATTTTTAACTTAAAAAAGATGATGATTCCAGGTAAAATCATAAATTGGTATCATCAGCCAGGCACAATGGCTCACGTCTATAATCCTAGCACTTTGGGAGGCCAAGGTGGGAAGATTGCTTGAGCTCAGGAGTTCAAGACCAGCCTGGGCAACATGGAGAGAACCTGTCTCTTTAAAAAATAAAATAAAATATAAATAAATTGGTGTAACCCCTTTGGAAACCAGTACGACTACCCATTCAGCATTCTAATTTTAGGTATATCTGTAGTTGCAGATGTTGTCCACAGACATGGGGAAGAATGCTCATGAAGCACCTTCTATTTACCCACAAAAATTTAAAATAAAAAAGTTTTTAAAAGAATATTCTTGAAGATACTGTTCATTAGAGTCAAAACTCAGGAACATCCCAAATGTCCATTGACAAGAGAATGGGTAAATTGTGGTATGCAAAGGACTAAACAGTACTGAAAGAATGAATGACAGCTGCGTGTATTAGAAAAAAAGAATCTCAAAAGCAGAATATTGAAAAACAGCATCAGTCACAAAAGGCTATGAAAAAGAATATACACAGTTTTATACCATTTATACCAAGACCCTCTGCAAGAAGGCAAAATACCGTTTTGTGATATCATATGTGATTTTAAAAAAGTGCTAAACCCACAAAATTCAGAATAGTGGTTATTACCTCTGGGAGGAGGGATACTGGGAGATGCAAATCAAAGTGGGAAGATTATAATCTGAATATTCTATTTCTCAAGCTGGGTACAGCATGTTTATTTTGTTATTCTTCTTTAAACCATACACATACATTCTATGCCCTCTTTCTAAGTGTTGCATTTTATAATAATATTCTCAAAGCCTCAGGGGGGAGGATTATGAAATAACAAGGAAAACAAGGAAGGAATAGAAGGAAGATTGCATGTGAGAAAGAAAATGATGACTAACAGAAAGTCATCCTGTTGAAAAGGCAAGAATCAGGCTTTGGTCTGAGCTGCCACAATGTTTCCGGGAGTTGTTAGGGTCTGTGTGCTTCTGCATGGGAAGCTGGTGGTGTGGGGACCCACAGGTCTTACCTGTGGCTCGCTGTTCTTCTGTACCTTTATACCGTCCTCGAGTGATTAAGCATCCTCACAGGGGGCTGTGGCTGACACCTGTAGTTCCAGCACTTTGGGAGGTTGAGGTGGGAGGATCGCATGAGCCTAGGACTTTGAGACCAGCCTGGGCAATGTGGTGGAGCCCTGTCTTTAAAAAAAAGAAAAAAAAAAAAAGAAAGAAAGAAAATCCTCATGGTTTTGACAACCATTAATATGCTGATTACAACCAAAGTTTTACCTTAAAATAAGTCAATAAGTCCTTTTGACCAAGTCCCAGGCTCCTCTTTCTAACTGCTTAGTGGACATCTTTACTTCTCCATCCACATAGGCATTCAGGCTCAACATGCCTGGAAATGAGCCCTGTCTTCTCTTCTATGTTGCCTTCCTCTGTGATCTCTTCCCACTACAAATGGCACTGCCACTCCCGCAGTGATTGGAATCATGAGTCGTCCTTGTCTCCTTTCCTCGTCCCCTTGCTCCATATTACTATTTATCAGCCCATGAATTTTTTAATGCTCCTTTCCATCTCTCAAGTCCTTTGTGTATTTATTCCCATTGCCACGGTCACTCCCAGATTTCAAGCCTCTCTCTCTTTCTTAGATAACTATAACAACTTTTTAACTAGACTCCCAGACTTTAGGCTTGGTGGCCTCAACTCTCCCTCCATCTACCACCCAAAGAATAGAAATCTAACACGAGGCTCACCTGCTTAAATCTTGAATGGCCGCTTACCACCTACAGGATCAAGTTCAAGCTCCTTACCGTTGTGTGCAAAGCCTGCCAAAATCTGCCCCATTCTGACCTCTCCAACCTCACCTTTACTCTTGTTGACTCAAATTTTATACCACTACCACAAAGAATCACTTGTAGTTCACCACACACATACAAATCCTCCTCTTTTCTTATATTATACAATCTGTCTCTAATGCCCTCCCACCTCGCCCCCGGCTTCTCTTCCTTCCAAGACCAACTCATTATATACTAAGGAAGCTACTTCTTAGGGCTAGCCAGTTGTTGCTCAAGTTAAAATGTGGGCCCAAGGTTACCAGATATTCCATTTTGTTCCTAAGGGACATAAAACCATCTCAATTTTAATAAGAAATCAACCTACGATTTTTTATGTGAAATTTCTGAATATTTCAACATTTCAAATTTTTGCAAACATAGATACTCAACAAAACATATCTAGAATCTGGATTTAGATTGTGAATCACCATGCTGCAAATTTTGGTGAAGGTATTACACCCTAACATATTTAGATTTGCTTTCTAATAATTTCAACTAATTATCACATACTTTTATTTCTCTGAGAATAAAGCTCATAGCTTTCCATACAGATTCAATCAATAGATTGCTCAAAACAGCAGAAGCCAGATTTAGTCCACATTTTTAGGAGAAAGTATATTTTACAACCAATTATAATACTTAAATATTTAGAAATATGCAAACATAGTGGCATATATTGGATTCTCTGTTATAAAATATTAAAGAATGTTCTCAAATCATGAGAGTAATTATACATGAAAGAAGAAATTTGTCATAGCTCAAGCATCCTTCACCTTCCCCTCAACCTTGGTGTTGTGGGAAAGTTGAGTCACACGTTTCCTCCCATGTCCCCATAATTCCATGGAATGGCCCCATCACTGCACCTGCCATATTGTTCCACATTCATCTGTGTAAGTGCCTGTCTCCTTCAAAAGACTATAAACTCCTGGCAGGGTCTAATAAAGTTCCTACAGGATTGTGAGGAGATTAAGTGATATCATATAGTAAAGTATCTAGAAGAGTGCCTGGCCTATAGTAAGGAATGCATAAGTGCTTTCCTAAAAATTATTTTTTGTTGTCTAGCGTAGTGTCTATTTTATAGTAGTTGTAATGACTGAGTGAAAAAAAATAAATGAATGAAGTCAACTTGAGCAAAAAAATCTAGCAGCAATGATATATATACCCCTAGTAGCAGCCACAAACCAAAGTAAAATCTTCTATTCATACATTCCTCAGGGATTCCCAAACGCAAATCCAATCTCATTAGAACAAACCTGGGGACTGTGTAATTGCTGTTGTACGTAGGCCACCAGCTGGGGCTTGGAAATGTTTTATTGTGTAGAGATTCATTGTTGTTGCTAAAAGTGTTGTAATTGGATTTAACTAAGAGCTCTTCTAAAGCATGCGTACACTCACAAAACCCATGAGAATGAAAAGAAAATGTATAAGACAATAATCTCATGTCCATATTTTTCCATTGAGAGAGCTACAATCTATGCAGCAATTTCCAACATGCCTCAAGGGACTGGAGCCCTTGGCTTCTGATATGGCATAATACCAAGAAGACAATTTCTGGTTTTAAAAACTGTCGTTTCAAATTATTTCTAATGGCATACTAGCCTTGTGCCTGAAGTAAGGTCCTAAGGGAAGAGAGAAGAGAGGCATTTTGAGACATGATTTTGATCCATCCCGAACCCCTTTGCTTGACAAATTAAGCTTAACAGAAAATAATTGAGGAAATTCAGATAAAGCAACATCACACACAACTGAATTTCCCCCTCTGTGGAATCCCAGAACATTTTTCCATAGAGTTCTAGAACAACCTGGAATGGCAAGCTCCTATCTACCTACTTTACAATGTCTCAGTGTCTAACTAGCTAAATGTGATCTGTTAAAATTCAACAAGAAATGAAGCACCAATTCTGTGCGACTTACTGTGCTAGCAGTAGGGATGTCGAGTCCGAAAGCCACAGCCCCTTCCTACAAGGAGTTCTCAGAGGGAGAAACCAGCAGGTAAACAGGTCGTTATGGTACACTATACCCATGCTCCCTTAGGGATAAGCTAGACAGAGTGAAGTTGCACTTCTTGTCTATAGTTATAAGTGAAAACTCAGCAGGGCCTTCATAAGAATTTACACAAATCCCTGCTTAGATTTGCCCAGAGTGTTTCAGAATAATGCAAACCTTTTCCTTAACAAAAAGAATAAAACTAAAAACCACACCTAATCATCTCTTACTGAGATGTCATCCCAGATTTGAGTTAGAGACCATTTAGTGTTTCAGAGCAAATGGGTTTGAAAGTTTGCTATGGTTTTCCCTGTTTGGACAGTGTCTGATCTTGTTTTTATCCCTGCTTAGTTATTTGCTATAATAATATCTTGTGGCAGCGAGTTCTTCTGGGTTACTATTCACTGTGAAAGGGAAAGAACTATTTGTTTCATGGATTTAGACTCACAGGGGAACTTTTATTCTCTTGTTGAGAGAAGCGAAGTTTAAGCTGGTAACAGCAGCTGCAAAGGACCATTCATGGCTCTGCTGGGGATATGAATGGGGAAGAGAGGGTCAGGGATTCTGGCACCTGGTCTCCATTCGGGCTTCCCTGTACAAGCCATTTTAATCATTCAACATCTTCATCTATGAGAAGAGAATAAAATGTCTTTTAAATATGCTTAAATGTCACACAGTGCCTGTGTACTGACAGAACAGTCCTTTCCTCTTTAAGGAAACACTACAGCATCATGGCACACAGATCACCGTGGGGCGAGCTTGAGGAAACACCGAAGAGGCAAAGGCCATGCATTCTACCTTATGTATTTTCACTTTTACTTCTTCTAAGGAAGCCTTTTTCCCCTACCTGTAATCACTCCATTTGCTCAATCTTTGGATAGTCTTTTGAACAAAGGGTTTTGACATTCCATCAGCAAATCAATGCATTTTTGGGTACTTATATCAGGTCTCAGACTAAGAACTCTAGGGCAAGGCTTCTCAAAGAGGGGTCCAGGAACACAAGGCCAAAAGTAAATAGATAAGTGGATTTTAATGTAACAGAGTATGAAAAGCTTATCGATATAGTTTCAGATTGCAACTTGCAAGTAATCTTTAAAAGAAACTATCACTTCCATATTACAACTAATCTTTTTTTTTTTCTTCGGAGTCTTGCTCTGTCGCCAGGCTGGAATGCAGTGGCACAATCTCAGCTTACTGCAACCTCCGCCTCCTGGGTTCAAGCGATTCACCTGCTTCAGCCTCCCAAGTAGCTGGGACTACAGGTGCACACCACCAAGCCCAGCTAATTTTTTGTGTTTTAGTAGAGATGGGGTTTCACCATGTTGGTGAAACCAACCCGTGATCTGCACGCCTTGGCCTCCCAAAGTGCAGGGATTACAGGCGTGCATAACTAATCTTAAAAAGAAGTATCACTTGTCAATTTTTTTGTGTAGTATTAAAAAAGAATATCTACAACAATTTGAAAGGCTAATACAATGCTCTTCTCTTTTCCAACTACACTTCCGAGTGGGGTTGAGTTGTCTTAATATACTTCAATTAAAACAACATATTGTAAGAGATAGAATGCAGAAGCAAATTTGAGAATCCAGCAGTCTTCTATTAAGCCAGACATCACAGAGATCTGAAAGATGAAAAACAATGCCACTTTTCTCACTAATTTTTCTTTGTTTTGGAAAACAGTCAATTTCCTAAATATATGCTATTCATGTTAATATATATTAGGTATGATATTACATTGTTATTTTCAAATGAATTAAGTACATATTTTTAAATGTCTCTGTTTTGGTTTTCTGTTGTTTTTTTTAATGAGACAACGTCTCAGTTCTGTTACCCAGGCCAGTGTGCAGTGGTGCAATCACAGCTCACTGCAACCTTCACCTCGAGCAATCCTCCTACCTCAGCCTGCCAAGTGGCTGTGACTACAGGCAGGCACCACCAGGCCCGGCTAATTTTTTTTTTTTTTTTTTTTTTGAGACGGAGTCTCACTCTGTCGCCCAGACTGGAGTGCAGTGGCTCGATCTCGGCTCACTGCAAGCTCCGCCTCCTGGGTTCATGCCATTCTCCTGCCTCAGCCTCCTGAGTAGCTGGGACTACAGGCGCCCGCCACCACGCCCGGCTATTTTGTATTTTTAGTAGAGACAGGGTTTCTGCATGTTAGCCAGGATGGTCTTGATCTCCTGACCTTGTGATCTGCCCACCTCAGCCTCCCAAAGTGCTGGGATTACAGGCGTGAGCCACCACGCCCAGCCATTTTTTATTTTTTGTAGAGATGGGGTCTCATTATATTGCCCAGGCTTGTCTCAAACTCTTAGACTCAGATGATCCTCTCCCCTCGGCCTCCAAAAGTGCTGGGATTACAGGCATGAACCAGGGTACCTGACTTCTGGTTTAGTTGATCTTTTTTATTTTTTGAGACGGAGTTTCACTCCTGTTGCCCAGGCTGGAGTGCAGTGGTGCGATCTTGGCTCACTGCAACCTCTGCCTCCCGGGTTCAAGTGATTCTCCTGCCTCAGCTTCCCGAGTAGTTGGGATTACAGGCATGCACCACCACACCTGGCTAATATTTGTATTTTTAGTAGAGATGGGGTTTCACCCTTTCGTCCAGGCTGGTCTCGAACTCCTGACCTCAGGTGATCTGCCTGCCTCGGCCTCCCAGAATGTTGGGATTACAGGCGTGAGTCATCACGCCTAGCCTGGATTAGTTTTTAATACACTAAATATCAATAGATATAATCAATGTAAGTAAGCTCTTTGCTGTTTCCAATAATTTTTAAATTAAACTTTTTATTTTGAGATAATTATAGATTCATGTGCAGTTATACGAAGTAGTACAGAGAAATATTGGACACCTTTCACTCAATTTCCTGAGTAACAATGGTAACATCTTGCAAAACTATAGTACCTTATCACAAGCAGAAGATTGACACTGATACAGCGAAGATAAAGAATATTCCCATCCCCCACAAGGATTCCTCATGTTGCACTTTTACAGCCACCCCCACTTTCCTCCCATCCTGATCCTTTCCCTAACCCATGGCAAACACTAGTCTGTTCTCCTTTTCTATAATGTTGTTATTTCAAGAATGTTAAACAAATGCAATTATACAATATTGCATTTTGGAATTGCAATTTTAGAATTGGCTATTTTTTTTTAATTCAGCATAATTCTCTGGAGATTCATCCAGGTGCATATATCAACAGTTTATTCTTTTTTATTGCTGACTAGTATTCCATGGTATGGATACATTATGGTTTGCTTAGCCATTGGCTTATTGAAGGAGGTTGTAGGCAAGGTGTCATTTTTCTGTGGCTGCTTTCAAGATTTTTTTTTTTTTTTAGTTTTCAGAAGTTTATGATGCGTCTTGGCATGGATTTATTTGGGATTATCCTATTTTGGGTTTGCTTGGATTCTTGAATCTGCAGGTTTATGTATCTTGCCAAATTGAGACATTTTCAGCTATTATTTCTTTAAGTTGGTTTTCAGCTTTCTTCCCCTCTCCCTCCCGCTTCCATAACTTCAATTACATAACTCTTAAGAGATTTTGTGATAGTCCCATAGGCCCCTGAGGCTCTGTTCACTTCGTTTTCAGTCCATTTTCTCTCTGTTTTTCAGATTGAGTAATTCCCATCCCTCTGTCTTCTGGTTCATTGATTCTTTCCTCTGTTCTCTCCATTCTGCTGTTGAGCCCATCCACTGAGCTTTTTATGTCTTTTATTGTATCTTCCAGTTCCAAGATATCTACTTGGTTCTTCTCTGTATCTTTTCTTTCTGCTAAGGCTTTCTTTTTTTCATCTGTTTAAAGCGTGTTCAAAATTACTTGTTGAAGCATTTTATCATGTCTGCCTTAAAATCTTTGCCTCATAATTCTACTTTCTCTGTCATCTTGGCATTGGCATCTATTGACAGCCTTTTTTTTTTTTTTCATTCAGCTTGAGGTCTTCCAGGCTCTTGGTATGATAAGTGATTTTTTTTTTATTAAACCTGGACTCCTTTGCATTATGAGACTGTGGATCTTACTTAAATCATATGTTTTGATTGGCTGTCTCTGACGCCACTCTGACATGAAATAAGGGAGAGTAGCACCTCATCACTACAAGTGGAGGAAGCCCAGGGTTCCCACTCAACTCAGTGACAGCCGAGGTGGAGATGTCATATACCCAGTAGGGGTGGGAGTTCTAGCTCCCAGTGGGTCTCCACTGACACTGTGGTGAAAGTGAACTCATTATCTCTAGGCAATGAATGCTGTGATGCTCTAGTAAACTTTCTCTGACATCACCCTATCAGGGAGGGAGGAGGGGTTCCTGCCTCATTGCTTCCAGGTCAGGGTGGATGTCCAAGTGCCGACATGGTCTCCGTGTGTGTGTGTGTTTGTGTGTGTGTGTGTGTATGGTGTGTGATATTGTTTGAATGTCTTGTCCCCTCCAAATATGTTGAAATGTGACCTCCAACGTTGGAGGTGGGCATAGTGGGAGTTGTTTGGGTTATAGGGGCAGATCCCTCTTGAAGGGATTGGTGCCCTCCTCGAGGTAGTGATTGAGTTCTCTCTCTATGACTTCATGTGAGGTCTGGTTGTAAAAGAGTGTGATACCTCCCTGCTCTCACTCCTGCTCCCTCTCTCACCATATGACATGCCTGCTTCCCCTTTGCCTTCTGCCATGGTTGTAAGATTCCTGAGGCCCTCACCAGAGGCAGATGCTGGCACTATGTTTCATGTACAGCCTGTGAAACCATGAGCCAAATAAACCTCTTTTCTTTATAAGTTACCCAGCTTCAGGGATTCCTCTACAGGAACAGACTAACACGGAAAATTGGTACCAAGGAGTGGGGTGTTGCTATAAAGAGACCTGAAAATGTGAGAGCAGCTTTGGAGCTGGGTAATGGGCTGAGGTTGGAAGAGTTTGGAGGGCTCAGAAGACAGGAAGATGAGGGAAAGTTTGGCACTTCTTAGAGACTTGTTAAGTGGCTGGGACCAAAATGCTGATAGAAATATGGGCAGCGAAAGCCAGGCTGATGAGGTTTTGGAAGGAAATGAGGTAGTTATTGGGAACTAGAGCTAAGGTCACCTATGTTATACCTTAGCAAAGAACTTGGCTATGTGTGTCCATGTCCTAGGGATCTGTGGAAGGCTGAACTTAAGAGTGAAGACCTAGGGCATCTGGTGGAGGGAATTTCTAAGCAGAAAAGCATTCAAGAAGTGGCGTGGCTGCTTCTAACAACCTGTGATCAGATACAGGAGCAAACGAATGATTAAAGTTTGGAATTTATATTTAAAAAGAAAGCAGAGCTTAAAAGTTTGGAAAATTCAAAACAGGCCATGTGATAGAGAAGGAAAGAGCATTTCGGGGTGAGAAACACAAGTGGGCTGTGGAGTAATCACTTCCTAGAGAGATTTGCATGACTAAAAGGGAGCTAAGTGCTAATAGCCAAGACAATGAGGAAAAGGCTTCAAAGGCATTTCAGAAGTCTTTGGGACAGCCCCTCCCATCACAGGCCCAGAAGGAAGAATGGTTTCTGTGGCCAGGCCCAGGGTCCCACTTCCTTGTGCAGCCTCAGGACACAGCTCCCTGCATCCTCACTGCTACAGCTCCAGTCATGGCTCAAAGGGCCCCTGGTACAACTCAAGCCACAACTTCAGAGGACACAAGCCATAAGTGGCAGCTACCACACACTGTTAAGCCTGCAGGTGCACAGAATGCAAGAGTGAAGGAGGCTTGGCAGCTTCCACCTAGATTTAAGAGGACACATGAGAAAGCCTGGGTGCCCAGGCAGAAGACTGCCACACTGCCACGCCCCTGCAGACAGCCTCTACTAGAGCAATGCCAAGGGAAAATGTGGGGTTGGAGACCCCACACAGCTGGGGGCTCTTGCACCCTGAGCCTGGAAGAGCCACAGGAACTCAACTCCAACCCATGAGAGCACCCACAGGGGCTTCACCCTGCAAATAAACAGGGACAGAGCTGCCAGGCCTTGTGAGCCCACCCCTTACATCAGTGTGCCCTAGATGTGGAACATGGAGTCAAGGATTTTGTTGAAGCTTTAAAGTTTAACGTCTGCCCTGCTGGATTTTGGTCTTGTGTGGAGCCTGTTTCCCCTTTCTTTTGGCTGACTTCTCCCTTTTGGAACAGAAATGCTTACCCAATGCCTGTGCCACCATTGTATCTTTGAAGTAAATAACTTGTTTTGATCCTACAAGCTCTTACAGGCTTAAAGGAACATGCCTTGAATCTCAGATGAGAGTCAGAACTTTCGACATGGGACTTTTGATCTGATGCTGAAACAAGTTAAGACTTTCGGGAACTCTTGAGGAAGGCTGATGGTTTTGCAACGTGAGAAGGACATGAGATTTGGGGGCCAGGGGTGGAATGATATTGTTTGGATGTTTGTGCTCTCCAAATGTCATGTTGAAATGTAATCCCCAATGTTGGAGGCGGGGCCTGGTGGGAGGTGCATGGGTGATTGGGGCAGATCCCTCATGAATGGCTTGGTGCTGTCCTTGAGGTAATGAGTGAGTTCTCCCTCTGTGAGTTCACACAAAATCTGCTTGCTTAAAAGAATCTGGAACTTATTCCTCTCTCTCTTGCTCCTGCTCTTGCCGTGTGGTATGCTGGTCCTCCTTCACATTCTGCCATGACTGGAAGCTTTGTGGGGCCCTCACCAGAAGCAGATGCCAGCACTATGCTTCCTGTACAGTCTGCAGAACCATGAGCCAAAATAGATCTCTTTTCTTTAGAAATTACTCAGCCTCAGGTGTTTCTTTCTTTACAGCAGCACAAATGGACCAACACTGTGTGTGTGTGTGTGTGTGTGGTGTGAGTGTATTTGTGTGTGTCTGTGTGTATATATGTGTGTCTGGTGCACGTGTGTGTATGTGCATATGTGTGTGTGGTATGTGTATGTGTATATGATGTGTGTATGTGTGTGCATATGTGTATGTGTCTGTGTATGTGTGTATATGTGTTTTGTGTGCGTATGTGTATGTATGTGTATGTATATGTGTATGTAGCTGTGTCTGGTGTGTTTACGTGTGTATGTATGTGGTGTACACGTGTGTGTATATGTGTGTGTATATGTGTGCATGTGTGTTGTGTGTATGTGTGTTGTGTGTGATGTGTGTATGTGTGTGGTGTGTATGTGTGTGGTGTGTTTGTATGTGTAGTGTAGGTGTATGTGTGTGTGCACGTGTGTGTAAGTGTGGTGTGTATACGTGTGTATATGTGTGTATGTGTGTATGTGTGTGTATATGTGTGGTGCATGTGTGTGTGTGTGAAAGAGAGACTCAGAGGCTGGCAGAGATGATATCCTGGCTCCCTTTGTGGCCTTCTCCGACAGTAGCCCGCTGAGGGTGCTGAGGAGCCTCGTTACAGCCTCATGAGAGTACAGGCCTAGGCTCCCCACCTGCCTCTGCTAGCCTGGGTTTGGGTGTGGTCATGGGTTTTGGCTGGCCTAGGGTGATTATTGTCTACAAGTTTTCCGTCTTGTTTTGCTACCCCTTTCCTGGGCTTCTGGCTGGAGAGAGGAGGTTTTTGTTGGGGCTTTTCTGGTCTGTGCCCATTGATATTTCCAGGTTGCCTGCTTCTTCAGCTCCAAGTCTGGAATATACGGGACAAAAAATGAACCCAGGAACTTACCACTGTGTGACTCCTTGGGTCCTGCGGTTCCTAGCCAATCTGGCACCTTCTGTTCACCTTTCAGAGTTTTCTTATGTTTGTTTCACACAGAATGTCCAGAGTTTTTAGCTGTACATAGTGGGAGGAATATGGAATTTTGTCTAATCTATCTTCCCAAAGGAGAAGACTCATTAATAATTTGTTAAGAGTGTGAAGACTTTAGCTGGGCACAGTGGCATGCACCTGTAGTCCCAGCTACTCAAGGGGCTCAGGTGGGAAGATTGTTGAGCCCAGGAGTTCCCGGCTGCAGTCAGCTGTGATCACATTGCTGCGCTCCAGCCTGTCTCTTAAAAAATAAAAGTGTGAAGAGTCTTGAGTTTGAGAACCTCTGCTCTAAAGGATACAAAGTGCAGTAAGTCACAAATTCTTGCTCTTGGGTTTATAATCTTGCTGTGAATGTGACATATTAGAAGTTTTTAATATTTAGCACTTTATGTTAAATGATATATTTTTTAAATAAAATAAGCAATATCCAATTATAAATGGTCCCAACAATCTCTCTCTTTCTGGTTACATTATTATTTTACAGGCTTGCATTTCTGTTTTCTACCCAGCATACCACACTGTAACATACCACCCTGTAATGACAGGATTAGCAACAATTCGTATTTGCATAGCCTGTGACACTTTACAAAGTGCTGCCATGTTCATTATGATATTTGATCTTTACCACAGCCATATAAGGTCAGCAGAACAAGTATCATGATTACCAGGGCTGACATTCTCCTGGCACACACCAGTACATTTGTACTGGCTGCTAAAATAACAAGATGCTTCTGTAAAAGCTGCCACCCTGAGCCCCAGGCACCCCCTGCCACTCTGTACTGCCATCTCCTCATGACACTGCAGCTAAAAGGTTAATACAAGGCCCAAACAGGGACCTCAGCCAGTATCAGATCTTACTGGGTGGTGCCCGTGCTGCTACTGTTGGTCACATGTTTGGACTCTCACCTCTTAGCCTTCTGCTCATGAGACACTGAGGCTTCAAGAATAAGTGACCTGCTGATGGTCTCCAATCAGAGTTTTCAGGAATCAAAGGCCCTAATCTTTTAAATTACATTTTATTTTTTTGAGACAGACTCTCACTCTGTCACCCAGGCTGGAGTGTAGTGGCACAATTACAGCTCGCTGCAGTCTTGACCTCCCAAGCTCAAGTGATCCTCCCACCTCAGCTTCCCCAAGTGTGTGCCACCACACCCAGCTAATTTTTGTAATTTTGTAGAGATGAGATTTTGCCTTGTTACCCAGGCTGGTCTCAAACTCCTGGGTTCAGGCGATCCTCCTGCCTTGGCCTCCCAAAGTGCTAGGATTACAGGTGTAAGCCATCTTGCCTGGCCCCCTGATCTTTTCCTGAACCAAGGAGTAGAATGACAGCACAGTTGCAGCCCCTCCAAGCCTCCGCCCGTGTTCATTTTTCCTGCCTCTGTGCCTTGGCACCTGCTGTTTCCCCAAATGACCTGGAGCACCCACCCATGGAGCCTTCTCCTGGAACCTGAGCCCACGCCACTCTTCCCCCTCTAAACTTCCCTTCAGAACACCTCACCGAGCACTGCATACATCAACTTTACTTAGGGGGTGCGCTGGGGAGGGGGCTCCATAGTGAATCACACATGTAACTTTTCTATTTTCCCCCAAAGATCATATGCTTCTTGAGGAGAAGGACCATGTCTTAAAATCCCAAATCATGCCAATGTGGTGCACATAATGGGTTCTCCAAAACCCATAAAAAATACTCACTGGTGGCAGGTTATCAGATGCAGAGCACAGGATGTCTCGGGCAGGAAAACGCAATCACACAACAGTTTCTGCTCTCTTTTTTCTCTTGTTGGTTTTCCACCCACATAAAGTTTCATACACATGTACACACTCGTGAAACAAGATCTGCATGACTCCAAATTTATTCCTCCGGCGCCCTTGAACATTTAAGGAAAGGCTTTCATTTGACAGTTATATGATTGGTGTGTGCTCACTCCCCATACAATTTCTTTGAGTATAAATATTTTAAAAAGAATAAAGAGGAATGGCATAACTCTGACGAGTTAATGGGAAAGGGAGTTTCTAAGTGGAGCCCTTCACTCTGACTGAGAGTATCTGGTTGGAAAGTCACTGGGACAATAAGCCACCTGGCTGCACAGCGTCAAGGGCTCTGACTGGCACTACCATGTCCGCCAAGGGCTCTCCCGGGACAACAGAACCATCTTCAGAAAACATCACTTGAAATCCTCTCCATCTATGGTGGCAGACGGTGTGGGATGACCCTGATGAAATGAGATGGTTTCTAATTTCTGAGACCTGACAGCCTGAGATAACGCGGACCACAGCCGCGGCTGGGAAGATCTGCGGGGACACGCTCCAGATGGAAGAATTTGTCTGGGCCTGATGCAGCTGCATACAGAAACTGGGGATCTTCAGGGGGGTTCCTCGAGCTCACTGCTCCTCTGGAGCCTCTTTCTATTCTGCAGCAGGGGCTGCTCTTTTAAGAGTCTTTGGAGGAATAAACCATTTCCATCCTACTTGATCCGGAAGCTAGCTGTTGGTGGCTGGTGGTGCACTTTGACCCGCAGTTTGCTTCTCTCTTGAGAAAGACACTGTGAGAAGGTGGACAGGAAAGTGAGACGATTAAAAATGACAAAGACGGGAGAAAGGGGGAAGAGGAGGCTGTGAGAAACGGAAGTGAGCAAGAGTTGCCCAGCCAGCACAGAGGAGTCCTGGGCCTGCGGGGACATGCAGGCACCTGGAGGTGCAGACAGGATGGCTCAGAGGTGCTCTGTGGGTCCAGCACCTACAGGTTTGCTTTTCAGGACTGGAGGCAAGAAAACAACCTGAAGCATAAAACTTGCTGTCCCTTTGCTGATGTCAGAATGGAGAAGTTGTAGGTGTGAGCATATGTGCTCTGTGGCAGGGCAGAGACAACAAGAGCTGCAGGAGTGCCAGCCCTGAGGGGCCCAGGGTCTTCAGGCCACCTCTCATCGACAAGCCTTGTGGCTGGTGCCTTCTCTCTCTGCATTTCTCTCTCCCCCTCCCCACCCCCACACGCAGAATGCCATGCCACATACCCCCTTTCCTCTGTGCTCCACTCTTGCCTGAAGGTCTCAGATGAGGCACTCCACTAAATTTAAAAACTCATCTCAAAGGCTCTGCCCAGGTAATCTATGTCTTAACAGGCATTTTAAAGACAGGGCCACACCCCTAGCAACACCAGCCCTTGAAGCAGCCAGCAGTGGAAGCAGCCTGGGTTTAGTGCCCCTAGACCCCACCCTGAGGGCCTGCACCTGACCCTCACTCGTATGCTCGGGGTTCTGGTCTTTGCTCTTTTCCTGGAGACTTCAGTTATGAGAATTTGCTTTTATGGAAGTGTGTTTTTTTGTTTTGTTTGTTTGTTTTTTGAGACAGAGTCTCTCTCTGTCGCCCAGGCTGGAGTGCAGTGGTGCGAGCTCAGCTCACTGCGACCTCTGCCTCCCCGGTTCAAGCCATTCTTGTGTCTCAGCCTCCCAAGTAGCTGGGACTACAGGCATGCACCACCACGCCTGGCTAATTTTTGTATTTTTAGCAGAGACGGGGTTTCTCCACGTTGGCCAGGCTGGCCTGGAACTCCTGACCTCAAGTGATCCACCCGCCTCAGCCTCCCAAAGTGCTGGGATTACAGGAGTGAGACTTTTACATAACTGTGATTGTGGGTGGCTCAATTGTCTAAAGAAAAACAAAACAAAACAAAATCTCATACATTTCTTCCTTTGTCAACATTTTATCCCCCAAGGGTCGGTGAGCTCTGAGGAGAGTAGCTTTCCCAGAGATAATTACATCTTTAAGAAAACTGCAGCACTGTGCCTGAATGTGCAATGCCCAGGGGTTGTTTATTTCATGGGAGCCACACCCACTGTCTCGTTATCCAGTGCACCCCACCATTCTGCTGCCCAGGAGGCACCCTGCTACCCTCCACACAGGGCAAGCACAGCAGCTGCTCGGGGTGTGAGCCATGACAGGCCCGAGTGGGAGAGCTCCCTGGAGTGGGGACCCGCTGTTCTACCTGCCCAGGTGTGGGTGGCTCAGGTGGAAAAACAATGCCGTCTTTCATGGGAGGCAGGTGGCTTTGTTTCGACATAGCATGAGAAGAGGCAGGCCAAACTGTGAGAGGCTGTTCTGGTAATGGAAGGAAATGCATTTCCAGAGGGAAGGAGCGGATCAAGTGCTGTCGACGTGCCCAGCCCTCACGCCACTTTAGGGCTGAGAGCCAGCAGGGATACTCCGGACCAGCTGAACCGCTTGTTAAAACAGTGAAATGCTTTGGTTCCGTGTGGCAAATAGCGGCTGTCTGGAGCCCTCCCGTGTCCCAGTCACCTGGACCTACCTCGTGAGGTGCCTGGACCTTCCCAAGCCCAGCTGCTGAGGATTCCTATCAGGGCCCTCCAGGAACTTTGCTCGTCCCTGATGGGTCAGGCCTGTCAATCTATCACATGATTTTTAGCAGTGCCTCCTTCATAAAGCCTCCCCACTCCCCACCCAAATCCGAATTCATTGCTCCTCAAGAAGTCAGATAGCATGTTGCTTACACACTGGGCCTTCACCACATCCTTTCATGTTATTTATATGCGGTGTGGCTATTTACTTTCACATCTGTCTCCCTCTTTAGAGAATGCACTGTTCCCAGGACCCTTGTGCCGTTCGCCACAGCACCTAGCACAGACTAAATGCCACATAAGTGTTTGAGATACTGGTTTGAATTAGGAGTGGCCTGGAGGTGGGAAAGCAGGATGAGAACGAAGCCCCACTGGGACAAGCGACGTGTCCGTGTGTGCGTGTGTGCACATGGCGGTGGTGAGCAGGCATTTCTGCCATCTCTGCCCATCTGAATGTAGGGAATGAAGATGAGTGCTGGTTGGAAGTGGGGAAGCCATGAAGCAGAGCAGCTTGGGCTAAGGGTGGCCACGCTGCAGCCACGACAGGCCTCCCCGGGGCTCTGGCTCTCATCACATCAGGCTCTTTGGCTCTATTCAAACAGAGGCTGCCGGCTGGAACTTTAGCTTCTCACTGGGACTCTGAAAGAATGTGAGTCTATGCAGTTATCCCCAAGGCACTTGGCTGGAAGAGACCCCGGAAGGTTTCTAATTCAGTCTTTTCCCTGACAAATGGATAAAGCAACCTAACACTGAGCTCTCTTCCCATGGCCTCCTGATGGTGATACTGTCCACAGAGCAGGGATGCCGCAGAACCCAAGCGGAACGTGTGGGTCTGCCCTGAGGGGGCTTCCCAGAGCCCTGCTCTGGCTCTGCTGTGCCCTGGCAGAGGGGCCTGGGCTGGAGCTCAAGCAGGGCAAGGACTGTGGATCCAGATCCGGGTTTTGGGGAGTCCAAATCTTACCCAGTTGGGGGGAGCATTTTTTAAGAGAAAGCATACAAAATTGCAAACACAAAATGAAGTACAGGGCTTTGGAAGGAGCCTGCACAAGGAAGGATCCGAATCTTACACTTCACAAGCTTCACAATAAACTAACCTCTGGGGCAACCTAATGAGCTAGGAGGGTGTGTTGGTTTCCTGCCTATTAGCTGCTGTGCCACAGTACTGCAAATCGGATGGATTAAAACAGAGGAAATATATTTTCCCACAGTTCCAGAGGCTTCGAGACTTAGGTCAAGGTGCTGGCAGGGCCATGCCGCCTCTGAAAGCCACAGGGGAGTCCTTCCTTGACTCTTCCTAGCTTCTGCGGGCTTGCTGGCAGTCTTTGGGGTTTCTAGGCTTGCAGCCTCGTCACTCCAGTCTTTGCCTTCGTCCTCCCGCCATGTTCTCCCTGTGTGTCTGTGTTCACGTGGCTGTGTACATATAAGGACACCAGTCATCTAGGATTAGGGGCTCCCCCTACTCCAGTATGACTCCATCTAACTGACCACATCGGCAACAACCCTCTTTCCAAATGAGGTCACATTCTGAGGAATTGGGGTAAGAGCTTCTCTATTTCAACATATCTCTAGTTTGGGGATGGAGCACACAATTCAAACCATAACAGGTGCAGGAGGAGAGTGGGGAAGGAGGGGAGTGGGGCAGTAGTGAAGCGGTAGAAGCTGGGGGATCATTCTGGAGACAGGGTTGGGAGGTCACCAGTGGCTGTTCCACTAGGCTCTCTGGGTGAGGACAGCTTCCATCCCTTCCTGGGGCCACCTGGAGGACACAGAATCTCAGCAGACACCCTGCCAGCCGGCGCTGCTGCTTCATCTTTACTCCCACAGACTCGCAGCATCACATTGCTGATCCCAAGGAACCTTGGTGATTTCCCTTGGAAGCCTTACGCATCCCGGTGAAGGCAGGCCCATGCGTGTGGGTGGAGCATGTGCTGGAGTGAGGTCCACTGAAGCTCTGGTCCCCAGCAATTGAGAGTTCACAGCCTGGTGAAACACCAGGAATGAAGATCTGCCAACAAAACCACGTGTCGAAGCTTCCGGAGCCACAGAGCCATGAAGGTCAACTCCAAAATACTCACCACGCTCAGTGAAAGGGCGGATAAACAGGTGGTTAAAGCAGCAGGTAATTTTGGCTGGTCTGCATCACTGTTTATGGTTTTATTTCCTCTAAGAGATTTGCCCTCTTAATTATGTTTTGCTTAATCTCAAAAATGAATTTACGTTCCCTGAGCAGCCTGCAGCACAGGGGTGGGAGAAGCCCAAAGTGTTCTGGGTGGCAGGGAGAAGCCAGATGGTATTAAAAACAGACAGATCATAACAAAGTGGGTGCTCCACATGCATTCAGTAAACACAGCCGGCCCAGCAAGGTCAACCATGGGCTGGTCTGGTTGCTTCAACATTCTAATTAACTGGGTGCCAGAGACGCCGTGCCATTTTCAGAGAATCAAGTTCCAGTGAAATACACCCAAGGTTAAAGTGCTCCAGAACACGGCCCACCCGTGCTGGTTTGTCGACACCTCAGAATCCAGCAGGGGCCCAGGGACATCGCCCTGCGTGTAAATTACCCATGGATACAGTGCTGCACTTGTGAGCCATGTGGGGGACTGGCTACATCCTGCTGGCCCTGTGATATAACATAGAAGCTGCCTCTTAGTCACACCAGTCGATGATAGGAACAACAGGCTTTGGGGTCGTTTGGATTCTAGATTAAAAAGCAAGGTTAAAATGGAGAGTTGATTGCATTTGTATTTGAGGTCATGGAACAGAGCGCACTGGTTGACCAGTTGTGTTAAGAGCATGTTTGAGCTTGCCAAGCAGGGAAAGGCAGGCTCTGTGTGACCCAGCCCCACCCCCACCCACACGCAGGAGAAGAAGAAGGACAGCCTCTCTGCCCCTTGGATGGTGCCATTTAAGGCTCTTCTGTGACTCTTTAGTTGGCTTTTGTGCCACCCTGCTGTGGGCTCATGGGCTTTCACTCAAAGAATCAAAACCTCCGTCCCCTCTGCCTTTTAGTCCCCCAGACCTTAAGTCTCACTTTTCTGTAGGGTGACAGTTCTCCTTCTCCCACACTTGTGCTCAGCAGCCATCTTTCAGAAAGCAGGGCTGCCCTTCAGAGTCCACTGCCCACAGCAACCTCCTGACAGTCCTGCTCTCAGCTCCAGCCCCAGGAGACCCACAAAACAGCAGCTCACAGATATGCACAGTCTGCCGCCTTAAAAGCATGAAACAGGTTGTGGCCCATGGGAAAGCTTTTTTTGCAGCTGTCACCAAGCTGGCATGAGATGAGTGCTTGCAGTATGGTGGCTGAAAGCTGTTTAGTGTTGTCTGCTTTGTGTATGTCACCTAACTGTGGCCTTGCATTTATTCTACTTGGTGACTGCCAAAGCACTGCAAACTGGAAACATCTGCTAGATAATTGATATGTGATCAATAGGGACCATGTCTATGTTTGCTCTCATTCTAACCCCCAGTGACTGGCATAGTGCCCCGCACAGAGGAGGCCCTTTTAGTTAAATGAATAAAAGAGTAAATGAACAAATGACATCGAAATGAGAGGCATGGCGATCAGAACAGAAAAAACCCAGGTGAACCAAAGAAACTGGGCAAGGCTCCATGAAGGAGTGTGATCCTGTTTGGCTCTGCATCCCCACCCAAATCTCACCTAGAATTGTAATCTTCACGTGTCAAGGGAGGACCTGGTGGGAGGTGATTGGATCATGGGGGCGGTTTCCCCCGTGGTGTTCTCCTGATAGTAAGTTCTCATGAGATCTGATGGTTTTAAAAGTGTAGTACCTCCCCCCTACCTCCTACTGCCATGTAAGATGTGTCTTGCTTCCCTTTTGGCTTCCGCCATGATTGTAAATTTCCTGAGACCTCTCCAGCCATGTGGAACTGTGAGTCAACTAAACCTCTTTCCTTTATAAATGACTCAGTCTCAGGTAGTTCTTTATAGCAGTGTGAAAATGGACTAATACAGAGTAAGACCTGGGCTGGGCAACTGAGACTAGTGGGATTTAACCCAGAAATGAGACGGAGAAACCAGAGCCATTTCTGTCAAATATCTTCCAGGGAGAAAAAGGCCTGTGCCACTAGGGATGTTGGGGGCTCAGTTAGTTAACAACCCTCCTTCCCTAGTCTCAGGGTGGTTATTTCTCCATGGGACCAAGCTAGATCCTGACATGGAAGCTTTAGGAATTCGAGATCATACAGCACAGCCAGCTGGTAGAGGCCAACAAGAGGCAAGGAAGGCAAAGAGATATAATCGTCCAGTGGGGGACTCTGTCACTAAGGTATTGGTAGTTAACTAGTCATCTGTGCTACCAGAGTCCAAAAGATGCCTCCACTCCAGACCCCAAGAGCAATAGTGGGTGCAAGCAATGAGTGTGAATTCATGTTGTGCTTAGGCAATGGGGCCCTGAGTGGCTGTGCTCTACGCTCTGGAGGAGAAGGATTAAGGAAAGTCTACATCATCCTCCTCCTTAGTACCCTGGACTCTTAACCACTTGCACTGACAGGTTTTCCACTCGGGCTTCTTGGATTTCCCCTAAGGAAATTTTTCAACAGCACCACCTACTCCCAGTGTCCCATTTTGGTTCTCACACAGGCTCATCCATTCACACATACTTATCCAGCACCTGCCACGTGCAAAGCTCTCTCCCAGGAACGGGCATGGTGCAAACCAGGCAGGGTCCCTGCCTTCATAGAACTTACAGTCTACAGCAAGGAAAACAGAGAACAAAGAAGGAGAGGGAAGGAAAGAAGGAAGGAGAGAAAAGGAAGGAAGGAAGGAAGGAAGAGGATGGGAAGGAAGGAGGAAGGGAGGGAGGGAGGGAGGGATTAATTGCTGGTGTTTGCTGGTATGAAAGGCACAATAAAGAACATCAGCCAGGACAGCATGACAGAGCATGTAATAACGTGCGTGGCAACTTTAGATACGGTGGTTGGTAAAAGAAGGTAGCGCTGAAGAAGTGACATTTGAACTGAAAGCCATAGGTAAAGAAAACTCATGCCAAACGTCAATAAAGAAAGATAGGGAATAAAGTTTTGAAATTATCCCAATTAGACACTGAGATGTATTGTTATTAACAACAACTAACCAAAGCGGCTTAACTAAGTTAGAGGCTTATTTCTCTCACATAAAATAAATATATAAGTAAGCAGCCCTGAACTAGTACAGCAGCTCATCAGGGTCCTAGCTCTGTCTAGCCTTCTGTTTCACTCTTTCTAGTACCTGGCTTCAAGCTTTACATTCACATCATGGCTCAATATAACTGCTAGAGCTCCAGCCATCACATCTGTATTTCGGGCAGAAAGAAGACAAACGGTAAGGAGAAACGAGGTCACTGCCCAGTTATGTGTCTTCCTTTGAGGGAATTTCCCTGAAAATTCCATCCAGTGAATTCTCATTTACATATCTTTAACCAGAACTTAGTCTCATGGCCACAACAAGAGGCAAGGAAGGCAGAGAGATATAATCTTCTAGCGGGGCACTCTGTCACTAAGATATTGGTAGCTAACTAGTCACCAGAGTCTAAAAGATGTCTCCACACCAGACCCCAAGAGCATGAGCTTCCGTTGACAGCACTGATGGGATAGAATTTAAAATAGGCCCCTTCCCCACAGGTGGGACTGAGGATCTAAATCAGAACTCAGAGGTGGGCTGCTCCCCCACCCTACAGAGCCCACCTTCAACCTTCCTGAGTTCATCTCCCTGTATTAACCTCATTTGGACACATGCTGTTCTTTCCCCCGAAGAACAGAGAATGAGTTGGGTTTTTTTTAAGTGCTTGTAGTAGATTTAATAGTGACCACTCAAAGATGTCAAGTCCTTATCCCTAAAACTGGTCAATGTTATCTTATTTGAAAAGGGGGTCTGTGCAGATGTGGTTAAATTAGGGATTTTGAGATGAGATTACCCTGGATTATGCAAGTAGGTCCTAAATGCCCTCACAAGTGTCCCAATAAGACAGAAACAAAGGGAGTTTTGAGAAACAAACAGAAAAGAAAAGGAGGTAACGTGGCACGGAGGTAGAGATTAGAATGATACAGCCACAAGCCAGGGAACACCTGGGGCCACTAGAAGCTGGAAGAAACAGGAAACATATCTTCCCCAGAGCCTTCAGTGGGAGCAAGCCCTGCCAGCACCTGGATTTCAGACTTCTGACTTCCAGAATTGTGAGAGAATACATTTCTGTCGTTTTAAGCCACCCAACTTTTGGTACTGTGCTTCAACAGCTCAAGTAAACTAATCTGGTAGTATGCCAGCCTGGGGAAATACTAACTTAGAGGTACATCTTCTACTATAGACTGGTGGGTTAAATTTTTCAAATAAAAAAAAATAAATCACAGAAAAACTGGTAGACAATGGAACATATATCAGATTTGTGAGAATATAACAAAAAATAAAAGAAATCTCTAAGAAAAAAGGTACAAATGTAGACATAAAATTATAAACTTCTATAAGAAAAATGATGAAAATATTTGAAGAATATGTGACAAGACTATAAAACTGGAGTATATGAAGAATGCATTCAAGTTTGTGAGCAAAACAGCTAGATCCTAACATAGAGACAGAAGTATATGAGTGGTTGTCACAATGGGAAATTCAGTGAATGAGCACAGGACATCATAATAAAAATAGTTGCTTTTCATTGTGTCAGATTCCATGGTAGACTCTTCAAAAACACCATCTCAAATCGCTACACAAATCCTGCAAGGCAGATGTCCTCCCCATTTTATAGTTGAGTAAACTGAGGCCCAGGAGTATGAACAAGGCCTAGGGAAATGGAAGTTGAACCTAAGCCTGAGAAAATAATTTTCATTGCAGATAATCATTCATTGATTTATTAAATATTTCCATTCTACTCTGCAGAAATGGGCACTGTGGTAGAATTGGGGATGTTAAAATTGATAAGATGCCTCTCTTTTCCTTGGAGACCTGAATGTAAGGGAGCAGGTAGAAAAGTGAGCTCTCAAAGACAACAGTGAGAACATGAGAGAACCAAAGCTGCACACTTGGAGATGCCCATTTGCATCCAGACTGATTTTCAACGGTAACATCCAACAACAACCCCGGTTTCGGAGAGCAATTTTGCAATTCATAGCAGAAGCCACAAAGATATGCATACCCTTTGACCTAGTAATTCACCCCTGGAATTTTATCTTAATAAAATAATTCAAAAGAAATAAAAAAATCCTATGACACCATATGTTTATTGTAACATTGAAAAAAATCACAATAAGAAGCTGAGAAGAGGCAAGAGGCATTTTGAGACATCCTAGGACAAAAGCTTGGGCATGTGAGACTGATTGATAAACAGGAGGAAAGGCAGTTCAGAAGGGCTGGTCAAGCTATTCTGTGACCCAGTGCCTTGGTGCCCTGATTCCCCTGGACTTGCCCATTGCTTCTGCCTGAGTCACAGATTTAGCCTGTCCTGATCTCAGCATGTGTCTCTGTGAGCAGCCTCAATTCTGGCCTAGTCTGTGCACACAGCCAAGATGGCCAACATGAGGGACATATGTTTTAACAGATTAGGGAAGATAAACATGATGAACTATCATTCAGCCATTTCAAAAGACATAATCAGGAAGGTTCTCTTGAAACATGGAAAAATGTTTCACAGCAGAGACAGCCTAGATGACCATAAGGGGAAGGACTTAATGGATTGAGGTGAATCAACACAATGGAACATTATGGCAGCTATTTTTTAAAAGGTAATTATGAAGACCATGTAGGGAGGTGGAAAAAATGTTTGCTATTGTAATAAGTAAAAATTGCTGAATACAGAATTATATAGGAACAGACTGTAAAAGGCTTGTCTACTTCTCAAATCTTCCATCATGTTATACAACTTTTATCATCATAAAAATGGAATGTATACAAATAGAAAGTGGCATGCCAAAGTTTCTGAGTTAGGGTGGAGTAAGTGAATGGAAACTGTAATTTTTCATTAGCATTATTTCAATATTTTTTCAGTAAAATGAACAAAGCATTGAAAAGACAATTCATTTCAAAATTAAGATAACTCTTCAAAACTAGCAGATAAATAAATATTTTTTGAGTGACTTCAGAAACATTGTTGTAGGCTCTTGTGGTAAAGGGTTAAGCAGCCAGACAAGGTGCTCACTCCCTTGTTTTTCTGTCCCCAGCTTCGTGGCTAAAGAGCTGCAAAGACAGCACCCACAGTTCCTCCTGCTCTCCTGCATGCTCTTCCCACCAAGATGTGGAGATGACTTGGCCTCCTCTTACATCTGGGCTGGCTTATAACTTGCCTTGGCCATAGCACGTGGTGCAGGTGACACTGTATGACTCTGGGCCTTGGCGTGTGTTTCCTAGAAACACATGCTTCTGTTTTCACCCTCATGGGAGCCAACTGCCATGTACACAAATCCAGCTGTCCTGCTAGAGAGAGAAACCACATGGAGAGAGAGATGCTGAGGGGAGAGAATTTGACTCAGCCAGCTCCTGGGTGCTCCAGCCACCCTGCAGAGGTACCAGACTTGTGAGCAAGGCTATCTTGGATCCTCCAGCTCTGGTAGAACCACCCTCACCAACACTATGTGGAGCAGAGACGAGCCATCTGCACTGAACTCTGCTGTAATTGCTGAACTGTAGGCAAATAAATGTTTGCTGCTATTTGCAGTCACTAAGTTTTGAGATGGTAGCAATAGCTAACTGAAACAGCTCAAATCTTGAATAGACTGAAGGACTCCAGGACCAGCGCCAAGTCTCCCCTGGTTTTACATTTCCTTTCCCACACAGAGCCTGGCACTTTATAAATGTTGGATGGATGGATTCAGGTGAGAAAGAGGAGGGAAGCAGAACAGGCATAATAATGCCAAACTTTTACTAGGCACATTAAAGCTCCTTTCTATGTATTGACTCAGCTAATTCTCACCACAGCATGGTTGAAGAAATATGGCACAGAGAAGATAATCAACTTATTCAAGGAAAGCACAGTGATATCTGGGATTCAAACTCTGGCAGTCTAGGCCCCATGCATACAACTATTTTGTTATGTTAAATAACATGATGAAGATTAAGAAGTCTAAATACTGGCTCTTAACAGGCGTCTTCTCAAATAAGTATAGAGAGAACCAGAACAGGATAATTATCAGGCGAGGGCCTGTGGCTGGGCTTTAGGAAGGATGTTCTTGGCATGGGGAGCCTGTGCCTGGTTCCACAGGGTAATTCTGCACACACACAAAACCCTGGGCAGGCTCCCCACCGTGCACCTGCAGCCTCCAGATTTCTGGAATTCAGGGATTCCTACAGGCTTACCCATGCAGGTGGGTGAGTTAAACAATCCACACCACCCATTAGTTTCCATTTTATATAAACACTATGCTGGAGAAATGGTGAATCTTAACAGGCCTGAACCATCCAGTCCAGGGATTGGAAAAGTATAGCCCAGGACCCAAATCCTGCCCACCACTTGTTTTTATATGACCTGCAGCTAATAACGTTTTTCACATTTTTTAATGGTAAAGTGGAGGGAAAATAAAGAATAATACTATTTTTTGACATGTGAATATATTACATGAAATTCAAATTTTAGTGCCTGATATAGTTTGGATATTTGTCCCCACCCAAATCTCATGTTGAACTGTTGTCCCCAGTGTAAAAGGTGGAGCCTGGTGGGAGGTGTTTAGGTGTCATGGGAGTGGATCCCTCATGACTTGCTGCTTTCCTTGCAATAGTGAGTGAGTTCTTGTAAGATCTAGCTGTGTGCATGTATGGCACCTCCCCCGCCCCAACTCTCTTGATCCTGCCACGTGATGTGCCTGTTTTCCCTTTGCTTTCCACCATTTTCAGTTTCCTGAGGGTTCTGCTATGCTTCCTGCACAGCTAACAGAACCATGAGCCAATTAAACCTGTTTTTTTTTAAATAAGTTACCCAGTCTCAGATATTTCTTATAGCAATGCAAGAACAGCCGAATACAGAAAATTAGTGCCAGGAGTGCAGCATTTCCAAAATGTGGAAATGACTTTGGAACTGGCTAACAGGCAGAGGTTAGAAGAGTTTGGAGGGCTCAGAAGAAGACAGGAAGATGAGGGAAAGTTTGCAACTTTTTAGAGACTAGTTAAATGGTTCTAACCAAAATGTTGATAGTGATATGGACAATGAAGTCCAGGCTGATGAGGTTTCAGACGGAAATGAGGCAGTTATTGGGAATTGAAGCAAAGGTCACATGTGTTATGCCTTAGCAAAGAACCTGGTTGCGTTGCGCCTCTGCCCTGGGGATCTGTGGAAGTTTGAACTTCAGAATGATGATTTAGGGTATACAGTGGGAGAATTTTCTAAGCAGAAAGCATTCAATATGTGACCTGGCTGCTTCTAACAACCTATGCTAAGATGCGGGAACAAAGAAATGACTTGAATTTGGAATTCATATTTAAAAAGAAAGCAGAGAGTAAAAGCTTGGAAAATTTGCATCCTGGCCATGTAGCAGAGAAAGAAAAAGCATTTTCAGGGCAGGAGTTCAAGCAGGTTGTGGAGCAACCACTTGCTAGAGAAATTTGTGTAACTAAAAGGGAGCCAAGTGCTAACAGCCAAGACCTTGAAGATCTTTAAAGCATTTCAGAGATCTTTGTGGCAGCCCATCCCATCACAGGCCCAGAGTCCAAGGGGGAAAGAATGTTTTTGTGGGCCTGGCCCAGGGCCCTGTTGCTTTGTACTGCCTCGGGACACTGGTTCCCACATCCTAGCCACTCCAGCTCCAGCGATGGCTCAAAGGGGCCCACATACAGCTCAGGCTGCCACTTTGGAGAATGCAAGCCATAAACCTTGGTGGTTTCCATATGATGTTAAGCCTGCAGGCACACAGACTGCAAGAGTGAAGAATGTTTGGCAACCTCCACCTAGATTTCAGAGGATGTATGGAAAAGCTTGGGTGCCCAGGCAGAAGCCTGCTGAAGGGGTGGAGCCCCCAAAGATGCCCTCTACAAGGGCAGCATGGAGGGGAAATGTGAGTTTGGAGCTCCCACACAGAGTTCCCACTGAAGCACTGCCTTGTGGAGCTGTGGGAAGGGAGCTGCTGCCCTCCAGACCTCAGAGTGGTAGAGCCATCAGCAACTTGCAATATCAGCATTGAAAAGCCATAGGGGTGGAGCTTCCCAAGGCCTTGGGTGCCCACGCCTTGCACCAGCGTGCCCTGGATGCAGGAAATGAAATCAAATGACTATTTTGGAGTTTTGAGATTTAATGACTCCCCTGCTGGGTTCTAGACTTGCGTGGGGCCTGTATCCCCTTTCTTTTGTCCAATTTCTCCCTTTGTTTACCCCAATGTAAACATTTGGGTAAAGAACTACTTACTCCCTTTGTTTCTCCCAGTGTTTACCCAATGCCTGTACCCCCATTGTATCTTGGAAGTAAATAACTTGTTTTCATTTTATAGGCTCATAGGTGGAAGGAGATTAGTCTCAGATGAGACTTTGAACTTTTGAGTTAATGCTGGAATAAGTTGAGATTTGGGGGGACTATTAGGAAGGCATGACTGCATCTTGCAATGTGAGAAGAACATGAGATTTGGTGGGGGCCAGGGGCTGAATGATATAGTTTGAATATTTGTCACTGCCCAAATCTCATGTTGAATTGTAACCCCCTGATGTTGGAGGTGGGGCCTGTTGGGAGGTGTTTGATCATGGGGGCAACATAGCTTGGTGCTGACCTCGTGATAGTCAGTGAGTTCTTGTAAGGTTTGGTCGTTTAAGTGTGTGGCCCCTCTCTCCCCACTCTCTTTCTTGCTCCTGCTCCCACCATGTGACATGCCTGTTCCTCTTTTGCCTTCCACCACAATTGTAAGTTTCCTGAGGCCTCCCCAGAAGCAGAAGCTGCTATGCTTCCTGTACAGCTTGCAGAACCACAAACCAATTAAAACTCTTTTTTAAATAAATTACCCAGTCTCAGGTATTTCTTTATGGCAATGCAAGAACAGCTTAACGCAGAGCCCATAAACAAAATTTTATTAGAATATAGCCACACCCATTTACTTATTTATTTGTATTGTTGCTACTACAAAGACAGAGTGATAGAGACTGCATGGCCCACAAACCCAAAAATATTTACAAAAATCCTTTTACAGAAAACATTTGCCAACGCTTCATATAGATAACACTTCCTTGGCTCTTAGCCTGTTTTCTATCTAATTATAAATAACTCAAAATATTATGGTATTGACAAAGCCTATGGGTAGGCAGGCTAACTACAAAATGTTAGAGAGATGCTTTTCCTGGTACTAGGCTGAGGATCTAAAGAGAAGGGTCATAGCCTGAGCTGGGGTATTATTGCATGACCTTAGCTGGATCTTTTAATCTCCCTTAGCTTTAGTTTCTCCATCTTAAAATGTAATGCTAGCTGCGGGGCTCGTATTCAGATGTTTGCACAAGTAAAGGGAAACTGCTTGCTGAAAATGAAATACTTTGGTAGCAGTTGGTGGATAGCTGTTGTCTTGAGTTCCCAGGAGGCTCCCCAGCAGCCCTGGGCCTTCCCACTTTCCTTCATCTCCCCCAAATGTTTGCTGCGGCTGAACTCTCCAAGGCCCCGCGCCTTTATTAAGACTGGCCAGGGCCTGGACCTCCTGGGTTATGAAGTATTTTCAGTATCACCTCTTCCAAGCGCTCTACGCAGTTTTCTATTAGTAGGATGCACCCATTTTCCTCTAAAGCACACTTTCAGTCCTTGGGTTTAGCCTGACTTCTAAACTCGGCATAATCATAAAGTTCTGATCTTTTGTCAGACCTCAGTCCCCAAGTGAGCAATTAAAATAAAATAAAAAAAGAAAAAAGAAAAAGAAAAAACCACTCTGACAAACAAAATAAACCTCCAAAATTGAGTTATGGGAAGGAAGGCAAGAATGTGAATATTCGCGAACTTCCGGCCCATTTGGATTTTGTGCCGCACAGGGCCCCAGGCCCAAGAGGAAAATGCTGACTAACCTGGTTGTCTGGAGACAGAATGGATTCTGACAAGTCCTCTCCTCAGAATCCTCTGCGTTTGCTCCTCCAGAAAACTCCAAGTTAATGCATCTTCTAGAACGTGCCAGCCTGGCACCTAATGATTTCCCTGGGAACGGGGGTGAGAGAGAAGTAGTCCTCACCAACATAGAGCTTGGCCAGCTGCTGTCAGCGAGGATTGGGCACATACTCGCGAGGATTGGGCACATACTCACCCGGATCACCGTCTTGCACCAAGGTGAACTGTATACAACCAGCAGTCCCTCCTTCTGCAATTCGAACCTGCCCAGGGAAAGTACCTTATATAGTTGCCTCTCTTAATTAATCACTGTTTGTTTGCATGCAAATAACCCCATTTCCTCTGCAACTCAAGTTTTTTAGGAACTGAGATGTACCACTCCCACTGCAGTTTTAACCCTCACCTGGTAGGAGCCAGGAGAACAGGGTTCATATCTGGGTTATGACGCTTGAGCTGGGTAATTCAACCATCTGTAGGACGGGGTTAGTGTTTATCCTGAAACCACAGAGGTCTGTTTTGAGGATGAAATGAGATGAAGCGCGTAAAAGCTCCTGTACGCATAGAGCCTTCGTGTTGTTTGTCTTTCACATTCTCTTTCTCTCTCTTTTTATTTTTATTTTTTTTAAATTGTTTTAGAGAAAGAGTCTTGCTCTGTTGCCCAGACTGGAATGCAGTGGTATGATCGTAACTGACTACTGCCTCAAACTCCTGGGCTCAAGCAATCCTTCTGCTTCAGCCTCCCAAGAAGCTGGGACTACAGGTGCATGCCACCACACTCAGTTAATTTTTTTATTTTTGTAAAGTCAAGGTCTCACTATGTTGTCCAGGCTGGTCTTAAACACTTGGCCTTAAGTGATCCTCCCACCTTGGCCTCCCAAGATGGTGAGATTACAGACGTGAGCCACTGTGCCCAGCCCCACATTCTCTCTCTTAGGTTGCTCATTTGGCTCTTTTGGAAGGGAGTGAGAAGTGGCTAGGGCCTTTCCTGGCAGAGGAGGAACAGAAGGGTGAGCCATCTCTCACTCCCCTCTAAAGGGAACAAATGCAAAGCTGATGAGGATATGGCTGAAGTGAATAACTCCAAGGGACTACAGCTAATCTGGCTTAATGTTTTAGCTAACTTTTCTTTATTGAGAAAAGTTCTTATTGTAATGCATCACCTCCTGTGCTAGACCCTGAGTGGACTGCCTATTCTGTCTGTCCAGATGTGGAAACTGAGGCTTAGAGAAGTTCACTGACCTGGGTGCCAGCATCCATGACACAAGGCCCAGGCTGCCGTTTGGAAACAGCATCCTCTTCTCTTTCTAATGGGTACGTTTGATGAACCTAGACCGGAACATAAGAAAAAACCTGAGCAGTTTCCCAGAGTATATTCCTACAAACACTATTCTTGGCATCTCCCAAATAAAACATGGAAGAATCTCATTATCCCAGTGTAGCCTTTCTTACCCTTTTCCAATCAACTCCTACCCACTAATTCAGTCACTGTTCTGATTTCCAGCAGGCTAGATTGGTTTCTCCTGTTCTTGGGCTTCCTATGAAGAGCATGATACAGTAAGTGCCCACTGTATCTGTTGTTCATGTACCTGTGAGGCTCATCCATGTGTGCACATCTGTAGTTGGCTCCTTATTTTTATTTATTTATTTAGAGATGGTGTCTTGCTCTGTCACCCAGGCTGGAGTGCAGTGGCATGTGATTTTGGCTCACTGCAACCTCGGCCTCCCAGGTTCAAGCAATTCTCCTGCCTCAGCCTCCTAAGTAGCTGGGAATACAGGCTTCTGCCACCACGCCCAGCTAATTTCTGTATTTTTAGTAGAGACAGAGTTTCACCATGTCGGCTAGGCTGGTCTTAAACTCCTGACCTCAGGTGATCTGCTCACCTTGGCCTCCCAAAGTGCTAGAATTACAGGCATGAGCCACCACGCCTGGCTGTTGGCTCCTTTTTATTGCTAAGTAGTATTCCATTGTATGAATATGCCCACTTTGTTTATCCATTCTTTTGTTGCTGGAAATTTTGGGTTGTGTCCAGTTTTTTGCCTTGTGAAAAAAGCTCCTATGAACATTTTCATATAGATCTTTGAAACATACGCTTTCATTTTTCCTGGTAAATACCTGGCAGCAGGATTGCTGCAAGATAGGGTAGATATATGTTAAATTTTATCAGAAACTGTCAAATAGCTTTCCACAGTGGTTTTACAATCTCTTTCCAAAGTGGCAAGACCGCTTTGAAAAATTGTTTGGCAGTTTCTCAGAAAGACCTCAGTCAGAGCTTTGAGTTTTCATCTTTTAGAAGCAGAGGCAGGACATGGCTCTCCTCTCCCCTGTATTCTCTTTCAGAGGGCCTCCTGCGGCAGCGTGTGCCGGTTCTTGCTGCCCGTGTTCTTGATGGCACTTGGTATCATTCATCCTTTTAAGTCTAGCTATTCTAGCAGGTATGAGGAGGGATAAAGGTTATCTTATTCTTTCACCAGCCTCGTAGGCCCTGAGCTTTTGTAGTGATTTCTGTACCACCCTGACCACTTCTCAGGGAGGTACCTCAGAGATTCCTGTCTTGGTCACTTTCTGGGTCCCCAAAAACTTCACTTCCCCATAGTCCTCAGAATAAGACCTGAAATCCTTTGCTGGACTTTCAAGACCCCATGGTCCGGCCTCCACCCACCTTCCAGCCTCATTTTTCTCAGGCACCTCACACCCACCCTGCCCGGCCCACAGAACGGCTGCAGCTTCCTTTGCTTCTCCGGAGTCCCCTCTCAGAGGCTTTGAGGGTGGGGGGAATTATTAACCTGATGTCACTGCACTTATCTCACGCATAGAGCAGCTGCCCAGCCCTGCCACCCACCCTCTCCTCCTCCACTGGGCGTGAGCTGTTAGAAGTGGGTTTCACAGTTGCGAGGTGAGTGCAGGGGCCCTGGTGCTCTTGGGTGCTTTTGGAGGCGGGGTCTTTGCGGCATAACAATCGGTGTCCCTCACCCCTTTGCCCTCATCTCCTACTCCTCCCACTTATCTGCCAGATCCATCCTGAGCTAGGAATTAGGAAGTGACACTCCCTGGCTCAGTGTTGTTTTATTTTCAGCTCACAGCCACCAGTTTCCATGCTGCCTGCCTCGGCCCCTTCCTAGAGCTCACACTGGCCACAGTTTCTGTCTGGAAACCATGGAGAGTGCAGCTCACAGAGCCCTGGGTGAAGCATGAGCTGCCTGGCGGCTGGAGAGAAGAGGAGCCAAGGAGGCTGCCTCCAGACTGTGTGAATCTGCCTTCTGGGAACTCTTGTCTCAGGCTGTCCTCAAGGCCTCTGGCTCACGCTGCTGCTGTTATTGTTTTTAAGCAGACTGATTAGGGAAGCTTTTCCCCATCCCGTGGTCCCTGCTGCGTGTGTTCCCAGCTCCACGGCAGAGCTGACAGGAGACCCCAGCTCCAACACACCTCCAACCCTGGCATCATTTATGGTACCATTCCTGAAAACAACACTAGAAGGTGTTCCCCAGGCATCTGCAAAGTACCTGTAATGCATCACACCCAGGGCGGGCGCTGAGTAGACCACCTACTTTGGCTACACAGATGTGGAAACTGAGGCACAGAAACATTGAGTGATTTGGGTGCTAGGACACACGACACAAGTCTCAGGCTGTGGTTTTGAAACAGTATCTTCTCTTTCTAATGGGTAGATCCTGATGAAGCTACAACAGTGTTTCCCAGGGTGTGTTCCTGTAAAGAAATCCCTGCCAGATGCCCAGTGTAAAAAAAAAAGTATCCTTTGGTCAAATATGGAAATCATCGCACACAGATTGTTTCTAGTAAAGGCTCTGAGAAGTTCTGAAGTTGAGAAAATGTTTGGCACAGGTGTATTAGTTTGCTAGGGTCGCCGTAATAAAGTGGCATAAACCAGTGGCTTAAACAACAGAAGTGTATTGTCCCCCAGTTCCGGACTCTGGTTCCTCCTGAGGCCTCTCTCCCAGCTTCTGGAGGCTGCCGGCAATCTTCAGCATCCCTCGGTTTGTAAAAGCGCCGTCCCGATCTCTGCCTCTATCTTCATGTGGCGTTCTCCCTGTGTGTGCCTGTGTCCTAACTTCCTCCTTCATAAGGACACCAGTCATATGGGATCAGGGGCCCACCTTGTTCCAGAATGACCTTAACTAATTGCATCTGCAGTGACCCTATTTCCAAATAAGGTCACATTCTGAAGTACTGGGATAAAGATTTCAACATAGGGAGGAGGGGGACACAATTCAACCCATAACACGAGGAATTCCCACGTTAATTTAGCCTTGATGGAATTGGAAAGAGATTAATGATATAGCTCAGGGGAAACCAGAACACACACTCCCAGGCTAGAAAGACAAGCTTGTCCTTCTGAACCTTCCCCAAACTCAGGTGTCACTGGAAAGTCAGCCACCCCCCTGGGATGCCCATGAAAGCATTGCCTATGAAGCATTGGGTCTCAGCCCTGATGGGGCAGAATGGGGGCCGGCTGAGGTGAGCGGTGACTCCAAGGGCTCAGTGATGGGCAGTCCAAGTCCCCGCCCAGAGGAGAAACAGAATCACTCCACACTGGCTTGTTCTCTCCCTGGGTGTTGGGAGGAGGCTGTCCATCATAGGACCTGCTCCAGAGTAAGCAGAAGAGAGATCACTTCTCTCAATATTCAGCAGACCCTGCACCATCACAGTTTCCAATATTCAAGGGGAAGTAGAGCTCTGGGACAGGTAGGAATTCGTCTTTTGTCTGGAGCATGAATTTGACACCTTTTGTCTGGAGCATGAATTTGGCACCAGTCTCTGGGGCTGATGCAGCTAAGAGCCTCACTGGCTCCCACTGACATAAGTGCCTGGGTGTGGCCTTCCTCCTCCTCCCCACACACTCTGGGGGAAGTGCTCAAGGCTTTCTTGCGGAAGAATGGCCCTGCTGGAGCTCTCTCTTCTGATTATCTCAAGGAACAGAGGAGGAATAGAAGGCTTTTTATTAAAAGTGAATGCCCAGCTGGCCCTCAACAAATCACCGAATTTGACATGAGCATCTTATTACCCAGAGGTTCACTTAAATACCACAGTAGGGAGGCTGTCCTGAGATATTATTGGCACAAAGAGCCACATTGAAGGGGACTAGGGGGTGACATTTAGATGAGCCCAGAGAATCAACTAGGCCAGACAAGAAGGAGGGAACCTCAGTTCTGGAAGGTGGAGGTCGAAGAGAAAATATGCTTCAAATGTAAGACATCATGCACATCTCAGACAAGGAAAACATTTTGGAATACTTGAGCTAACAAGTATTTCCTTGAGACTTGGAGAAAGTAGCTACAGAACAGGTAAAAGCAAGTACTACTTTTTAAACAGGTGAAAAAGAATTCATTAGCCCAGGATAGAATACAGGTTGATGATATTATAAGTAAGTTTGAAGAGTTTAAATCAATAGACAGCTGATGACTCCATCATGGAATATCGATTTAGCCGCAGGAGGGATAGCTGGGTTCAAAATGTACAGTGGGAGCCACTCTAAAATTTTACAAGCTGGCCTTGAGCCCAAAGCTGAATGCAAGTCCTTAATATTTACAAACATGATTCTAACTTTTGTTTGTTTGTTTTTGAGACAGAGTCTTGCTCTGTCACCCAGGCTGGAGTGCAGTGGTATGATCATAGCTCACTGCAACCTCGAACTCCTGCATCTCAAGTGATCCTTCAGCCTCAACCTCGAAAGTAGCTGGAACTACAGACCCACACCACCACACTGGGCTAAGTTCTTCATACTTTTTGTAGAGATGGGGCCTCACTATGTTGCCCATGCTGGCCTCAAACTCCTGACCTCAAGTGATCCTCCCACCTCAGCCTCCCAAAGAGCTGGGATTACAGGTGTGAGCCACTGTGCCTGGCCTGGTTTGATGAACCTAGATCAGAACATAAGAAAAACCTGAGCAGTTTCCCAGAGTATGTTCCTACAAACACTATTCCTGCCATCACCCAAATAAAATATAGAAGAATTCCATTATCCCAGTGAAGCTCTCTCCTGTCCTTTTTCAATCAATCCCCACCCACAGAGACAAACACTGTTCTCATTTCCAGCATCCTAGGTTAGTTTTGCCTGTTCTTGAGCATCATATAAATAGGATCCTACAGTAAGTACCCACTTACGTCCAGCATTGTTCATATGCCTGTGAGGCTCATCCAACTTTTAGAGGATGCTTCCCCCTTACCCTCTTCTACTCTGGCAACTGATTTTTTCTTTATATTTGTAACCACAGGTAGCATAACATAATGGAAGGAGGGTGACAGGCTTAAGCGTAGGAAGGTCAGTTTAAATCCCGGGTTTCCCTCTCGTGGGCATGACTTTAGGTGAATTATTGAACTTCATCTGTTTAATAAGGATCACAATCAAACTAGATTCTTATGAATCAGTGATATAAATTATGTGATGTGCATGACACACAGTAGATGCTGAATAAAATTAGCTCCTTCCTTCCCTCCTCTGGATTCTGGAGAGAAACCAGCTTTTCTGAACCAGGACAGACAAAGCTTACATGCTGGCTAGATGGAGTGATAGAGAAAATTCATCTAAATGTGCACCTTCCTCCCACTTCCTTGCTTCTCATTTCCCTGATTTCTCTCCCTGTATAAGTGGAGCTCCCATGGGAACTGGAGGTGAAGCAGCCCCTCCTGCAACATCCATCTCTTGAGAAGACCCTGACAATGACCTCAGGCTACATTCCACTTGGCCAGAAGGCCTGACCAAAGTCAACATTTTTAAGAGAAGGAAATTGTAAATAAATAAAAAGTTTTAACATCTTCTCCTTCTCTCTCTACGTCACTTGTCCTCAGAGGCCACCCTTGTTAAAAGCAGTCTTCTTTTTTATTTGTATAATCCATGAACACATGTTTACATGCCCAATACCAGGAGACAGCAAGGGGCAGGGAAAACACAGTCCCTGACCTCGTGGAACTCACAGTCCAGTGGAGGAGTGAACATTTCCTTTGTGAAAAACCATCTTTCCCTTAAACATTTAAGAACTTCTTGGGCAGGGAGAAGGCATGGGGCCAGGGAGCTGCCTAGGCCCTCCTTTATTCCTCAGGACACGGAGATGGAAGAGAAAGAAATGAAAGTGGGGTAAAGAGTGGAGGAGAAAGGGACTTATTTATCAGAGGTTGAAGAGGCCAGGGAGAAGAGAACAAGCAGGAAAGCCAGGCAAGAGAGCAGATGCCTGCCTAGAGCAGGAGCCTTGGGACCCAGCCGCAGGCTTGCCCAGTGCCAATTCCACAGGCCACACATTGGCCACGGGCAAATCATGGCTCAGGCAGGAAAAGGGGAGGACGCACGGGACCTCCATGTGACTCAGCCCAAAAGAGTGCTGGCTGTTCCCACCAGCCCCCAAAGGAAGCTGTGTGGGGTCCCCTAATCCTTTGCTTCCTGGTGGCAGACCGGAAAGAGCTACTCTTTACTTTCATGAGGGTACAGCTGTCCAAGGCCCCCTCCCTTGAAGGTGGAGATTTGAATGAAAAAAGGAGGAAACAGAAAGAAAAGAAGTCTCCCAGAGCAGGCCCCTGACCTGCCTCCCAGCTTTCCAGCACCCCACTGAGCGGCCTCAGCCTGCCCCATCCACCCATGTGGGGTTCTGTGGCCCCGGTGGCAGTGAGATCAGGTTTGTTGTTTTAAATGTCCTCATGAGCCGTATTTCTTCATCCTAGACGCTGTTCTAGGAGTGACCGTCCTTAAGCAGCATGCCCCAGCTACCCCCAGGAAGACGAAAGCTGCTGGAGTGGCTGATATGTGGGGTTTGCCCCAGACTGTCCTGTCTTGAGCATGGAAAGCCCCATGTCCCCAAAATCACTAGGTCCTCAGTCACTCCAGAGCTTCCTCAGGGCCACTCCAGCTTTGGTTTTTCCTGAGGAGTCCCCTAGGCAGCCATGGGGTCCTAGCCCCTCTCACTGGTTTTGCCTTCTGGGACTGCCCCAGTACTCCCTGGCCATGGCAGAGAGAGCTCCTGGGGGTGGCCATCGTAGCAGACTCTGCCACAGCTGCCTTTGCCAGCAGACAATTCTCTTTGTTGTCCTGGCCCACGTGCCTGAGGGAAAGAAGAGGACGGCTTGTATTGGGGGCTTTACCTACCGGACATATTGCATTATCTCATGATCGTCCCGACCCTCCTGGGGAGGTGAGAAAATGAGCAAAAAGCAAGTGGTGGATCTGGGATTCAAATCCACATCTTGCAAACTCCGGAGCCCGTTCTCTGAAACATAAGAACTAACAAAAAGAACTAACATAAGAACTAACAAAAAGTTTGTGGGGTCAGGGGTGGTGGTAAGCCATCAGGCCAGTCAATGAGGCCTCCCAGGAACACTTCTCCAAATATCCCACTCTCCCCCATCCCCTCATCCCCAGAGAACTGGAAGAGGTGGTGGAGGTGGCAAATCTATTTTTTAAAATCTCTCCAGGTTGTTCTGACACATCGCCCACCCCCATCACCCTGTTGAGGACCACGCGGAAGGACCTGGCTCTTCAAAACAGAAGGATGGGAAAGAGATGGAGTTGAGCTTCCGCAAATGCGTGCAGACCTCCAGATCTATAATCTCTCAGGAACATTCTCCAGCTCCCCTAGGGCCACGGCTCCTCATTTTATACAGCTCCTCCCAAGGAGGGAAGAGGCAGGGAAGGTGGTACATTTTAAGGACGGCTGTTAGTAACCTTCTCAGAAACTCGGCGCTGTGCGACCTGAGCTTCTCTCTGGGTGCAGCTTGAAGTGGTCGCCTTTGAAAATAAACCAAGCCCCAAGGCCCATAAGAAATCCTAGTGAGACTTTCAAAGTCAGAGTTAAGGCCTTAGTCTCCCAAACTCAGTAATATTTTTTCTCACTCTCCCTGTAAATGTATCAATGCTTGACTGACAAATTTTTAGAGGAGCTTGGAACGTATTTGCTGCCAGCAAAGGCAAAGGCTTAGGGCATGGCCAGATGGTTCAGGATCTCAGGCCAAAATTTCCCAGGAATCTCCATCTATTTTAGGTACAAAATCAGCACATCTCCAGTCCTTACTTTAAGTCCAGGGAAGCATTTCTTTCATATTGCTTAATGTCTGTTGGTTGTAAAATGGAGAAATCTTTAGTCCTTTCTACGATTCCAAGGGAGTGTTTCCTTGGGCTGTGGAGAGGAGAAAAAGGAAGCGGTCCCTTGCTGGCTTGTGGCTGCCCTTCGGACTTTCCCATTGGACTCCTGGGTCATCCTAGATCTGGGAACGTCAGGACTTTAAGTTGCGTTTATTGCACTTTGTACTTGGCACTGGGCACCTGCCAGGGGCCTTCCCAGGTAAATGCGTCCTTGAGGTCCACCCATGCCAGCGTCTTATTTGATCTGATATTTGATTCCTTGAGCCTGTCACAGTGCCTGTCACATGGTTGGCACTCAGTCTTACTGTGTCTGACTATTATACTGAGCATTATTTCACTCCGCTTTCATCAAAACCCTAAAATGGGCATCTCCCCCAAGTTGCCTCTGCTTCTTGCCATCTCAACTCCCTGTGAAGAGCCACAGGCCTCAGTAGCTTGAATCCTTGTGTCAGTGTGACAGATGGAGCAGTGATATATGAGACTGCCTGACTGGCTTGCCTTCTTGCACTAGTATGTTATTTGCGGCTCCTAAGCCTGCTGCATTATGAATGAGCATGAATCAGATAGGACAGACGGTTTCCGGGGGCCCTCCTTTCTTCCCCTAAAGGAAAAGCACCACTGCCATCTTCTCAGCTGAGTGTCATTCCTGTCAGGCTGAGGTGGGAAAATCTCATCATTGATTAAACTTCACAATCCTACCGCTGTTGGAGTCCATAATGCTCAGGGTCAAGTCCCCAGGCACTGAACCCACTTTCTAAATGGCACGTGAACCTGTGAATTTAAAAAAAGAAAGAAATTGTAGGAGTCACTTTCCTTTGAGGGAGGGGAAGGCGGAGATCCTCTCCACTCCTTCCTGCCACCTCTGGTTCTCCAGGGCTAAACTGGTCCTGTTTGCAAAGCAGGATTTTCTTGGTGGTGCCTGAACTCAGGTCCCCTTTCGGGTTGGTCCTGGGAGTGTTCAGCAAACGAGATCTGCTGGCCCTGTTTGTGGCGGGGCCGTGCCATGAGGGATTAATGTGGTGGAGCTGGGAGGTCACACGTGGAAGGGGAGCCTGTTCAGCTGACGGGGGTTGTGGCAGACCCTGGTTCCCAAGGGCCTAGGAAGCTCCTGCCATCCTCTCCTCCAGCGCCGCCTCCCTCCACCTTCCTCCCCAGGTCTCGGGCCTCTGCCTTGCCCGGCAGTTTCTGGCCGTGGGAGCCTAGCTTCCCAAACCTGGAGAATCATCTGACTTTCCTCTCACTTGGGCTGGCAGCAAAGGCCCAGAGAGCACAAAGTTGCTTTGAATTTATATAAAATATATTGGTCTCAAGGCTGGGTTCCTCTTCCTGCTGTTCTGTGTTCTCTAGAGCTTTGGCCTTTGGTTGAAGGACTTTTAATCAATATCTCCCTTCCTAGAGGCTGCAACCGTAGAACAGGAACTCTGGGAAGAAATAGTCACAGAACATTGTGTCTGCACCTCCTGTGTGCTTTTTCTATGGCTAGAAGGTGGCACCAGGTGACTGGGTCCAGCGCTGTCTTTGTGCAGCTGAGGAAAGTGAAATCCAGGAGAGGGGAGAGTCGTGTTCCATGTCACACAGTTCTTGCTGGATGGAAGCTGGACCCCAAGTCTGCTGATTCTGTCTGCCCTTCAAGGGACCATGATCTCACCCGACTGTATTTTCTGTAAGCAGTGACCAGTGTCTAAAGGTACTTACATGTTTACCTGACTCTTCTCTGTCTTTCCCCCACCAGCATGACACATCCACCAACATGACAGAGCTTTGGGATGTTGTTGCTCTCGTCTTCAGCACAACCCTGTGCCTGAACAGTGTCTGACGCATAGTAGGACCTCAGCAGATACTTGTGGACTGACTCTGTCCAGTGCCCTTTTCTGCGACTCCGGTCTGCTTTAAGAGCCCTGTGAACTCAGTGTTTAAGAAGAAACACTAAACCAGAGACTCACTCAGGTAAATAAAAACGCTCATCTTTCCTGGACTCTTACTTCAGTGAACCAGGCTGGTCCCAATTGGACAAATAAGGAGAACAGCTCTGTGAATCACTCTCTTCGCTCCTGCCTTTGGCACCCAGAGAGGTTACCTCACTCACCTCGAGGCAGAAAGAGCTGCTGGATTACTCACCTGCTGGAGAGCTTGTCACCAGCTGCAAGCTCTCCCTGCGTGTCCACGAGGCAGTGTCGAGAAACCAAAGGCAGTGGCAGAACAACACGTGGAGCGTGACCCCACTGCAAAATGGCACACACGGAGAGTCCGAGCATCGGTGCAGAGGAAAGGGCCTCAGGGATGCACCGCTTGAGAGTGGGTGTCCTGAGGGGAGGACTTGGTTTGGGGCTGTCATATTCAGGGAGGGTGGCTCTTACTTTGTACACTGCACTTTTTTATAGCATAAATGTTTGAAATAAAAACCACTATAAACAATTTCTTAAAAATGAATTCTTACAGGGCACGGTGGCTCACATCTGTAAACCCACCACTGTGGGAGGCTGAGGCGGGTGAATTGCTTGAGCTAAGGCGTTCAGGACCAGCCTGGGCAACATGACGAAACCTTATCTCTACAAAAAATATGAAAATTAGCTGGGCGTGGTGGTGTACACCAGTAGTCCCAGCTACTGGGGAGGCTGAGGTGGAAGGATTACCTGAGCCCAGGGAGGTTGAGGCTGCAGTGAGCCATGATCAACCACTGCACTCCAGCCTGGGCAAGAGAGCAAGACCCCATCTCACAAAATAAATAATATTTGAGAATCCAAAATAACTGCTGTCCCCACATCCTCTCTCACTCCCTCTATATTCTCTCTCTTCCTATTTTACCTGGGCTGTAGGTAGACCCAGGAATTCAAAACTCTGGCTTAAATCATAGCAAAATGGTCTAATTCAAAGATGTGGAAGAAAGTCTAGGCTTCAAACTTTTAGACCCTGCAGGAATGAGGTCAAATGTTTTATTGACCGAAGGGACAAATAGTTCACTGGGTTTCATGGACACAAATTGCCCCACCAGTCCCAGACAACCGCCTTCTTTTTTCCTACCCACTTTCCCAGGCCTTTTCTCTCCAGAGACTCAGGCCCAGATTTTTCATCTAAATGACACGGCCTCCCGCCACAGCAGGCAGTGCACTAGCAACATGTGATAAGGTGGAGCTTCCCAAGCTTTGTGCTGTATCCGAATCCTCCTGGGCAGCTTTCGCTAGGATTTGTACCCCACTGAGCCTCCTAGGGGGTCTTCCTGCAGCCCAGGTAGGGTAGGAAGTGAGGGAGGACAGAAGGAAGGGCTGAAGGAGGCCAGGAAGGAAGGGAGGTCACCAGAGTGCCACAGGGTGAACTTTCTGGAAACACCAACTGAATTTGTTCTATTTTTATTTAAAAAACATAAGCTTCCCAGCGGTTTTGACATGTCCCTAACCAGACGTCCACAGCTATGTGTCACTCTAACCAAGCTGGGCTGAAAAATCCCCCCAATTTCTGTTCCCACAGGAGGGTAGAGAAAGTGGCCCTCCTTCCGGAAGGGCACGGAGCTGCCAGAGGGGCCCAGGAAGGAAGCAAGTATGGCCAGCGTTGAAACGGCCTCAGAGGCCAATTTTTGGCATCATTTCTAAGCATAGGGAGCTCACTTCTGCCAGGAAGCTGGCTGTAGCCTGGGGTTTTCCTGCTCAGACAAGGCTGTGCTGAGGACAGATTCCAGGGCCCTTGGAGAGAGCCTGGCAGCACTGCCTAGGGGAAGGAGGACTGCCGAGGCTGCACCTGCGTTCAACTTGGCCACCTGGCCATGGATCTGAGGTCAGGGGACAAAAGAGGGATTCAGAGGAAACAAACAAACAAACCGAGCTGTTGGGGATAGGGGGCCCGTGGGAGGAGGAGGAGAAGAGAGACCTGAGGCACTGGTAACCCCGAACACTTTCCCAGAGAGCAGCAGAGCCTGAAAGTCCAGTTTGGTGAATGGGTGGAGAGGAGAAGAAAATTTCTCTTCAGCAAAGTCAACGTTGAAGTAAGCAGAAAGATAATTATTTCTCCCTCAGGTAATGCGGCTTCCTCAGTATGGTGTAGTCAAGATGGCCCTACTAATTTCAGAGGCTGCGTTTAGGTTTCCATTTCAGGAGAGGGGAAAGAAGAGGCTCCCCTGTCATGGCCGGTGAGCACAAGAACAAAGCGAAGCCATCCTCCCCATGTGTGGGTGTCCCATGGAAGTGCTCTGCCAGACAGCTGCGCCTGCCCCCTGGCTGGGCCACATCCTCTCTGTCCTGAGGATGGGGACAGCCATGCAACCTGGATAACCTTTCCCAGGGTCTAAGTGGGCAGGACATGTCTTCCGTCTTCCAGGCAAGGCTGACAGTCGGCCCCGTGGCCTTTTCTCCTTTTTGGAAAACAACTTGCTGATGGTTGCTTGCTTTACGAGACTGGGGACCCCTATTCCACAGGGGAGGCACTTCTCTGGCTCAGAAGGGCTCTCTCACTCTTTGCCCCGGTGACACCCTATTCACTGGGACTGCAGATCCTCAGTTCTCTGGACACCCAGGGCTACACATTTCTATAGCTTTCCATGAATGTGTGTGAAGCAGTGACCCTGGGCTTCCAAGGCTGCCCACCCCGTCTCCACTCAGATGGCCCCAGGTGCCCAGGGCCACGCCTCCTCCCTCTGCTCCTGCTGCCCATCTCCCTTCACCACAGCTGCCGGGGACAGAGCTTCAGCTTCTGTCACCTCTACCAACGTCATAGCCTCACAATCCCTGCCTGCCCTCAGAGTCTTTCCTCACCAGAAACCTCCAGAGGATCTTCTCAAGTGCAAATGTGTTCTTTCCCCCTCTGTTCTTTGATGAATTATTGCCCCCAGGATATGCTCTGCCTCCCTCCCTTCCCCCTGCAGCCTCACCTCCCTGCGCCCCAGCCCATCACCACCCAGCCTCTGGGCCTCAGCCTCCTGCTCCAGAAACTCAGGACCCTCACGCCACCTGAAGGCGCTGTGCTGTCCTCACTCAGACCTCCACATGGTGGCCCTGGCTCAGATGGCTCTTCACCGCTGCCCTCCTGACAGAATTCAGCCCCAAGAGTCCCCCTCCTCAATGCTGCCCGAGTTAACCAGCACTTCTTCTCTGCCTCCAGTGTCCCAGGTGACGACATTGTCATTAAAAAAAAAACTCTTCTTTACGCATCGCAATGACTTATTTTCACAACCCCCTCCCCCACTGGACAGTGATTCTTGAGAGTTTCGGAAGCCCACATGCTACCACAGGGTTATCACATAATTGATGCTCAATGAAAGAGAGAGGAAAGAAGAGAGAGGGAAGAGGAAGGCACCAGGTTAGATGCTAAACTTGTGGTTAAAAGCTTTCCTAAGTCAGGCGTGGTGGCTCATGCCTGTAATCCCAGCAATTTGGGATGCCAAGGCTGGTAGATCACCTGAGGTCAGGAGTTTGAGACCAGCCTGGCCAACATGATAAAACCCCATCTCTACTGAAAATACAAAAATTAGCTGGGCATGGTGGCAGGTACCTGTAATCCTGGCTACTTGGGAGGCTGAGGCAGGAGAATCACTTGAACCTGGGAGGAGGAGTTTGCAGCGAGCCAAGATCACGCCATTTCACCCCAGCCTGGGTGATAGAGTGAGACTCCATCTCAAAAAAAAAAAAAAAAAAAAAAAGCAGGTGAAAGTTGTGTCTGAGGCTCAGAGCTGTGTCTGGGATGAGACAAGGGAGACCCTCATTCCCAGGTCTTGCCTATGCAGATGGGCACCAGAGAGTGAGGGCTCCTTAAGCTTTGTGGCCTGGACACTGCTCTTCCCTCCCTAGTCCCTGGAGGCTTCATTCATATTTGTCACAGCTCAAGCTCACTCACTGATTTATAAAGCCACTGGCTGTTTGCTGGGCATCTGCTGTGTTAGCTCTGTCTCAGGCATGGGGCATAATAAAACTGTGGGTGAGAAAGCCACCGTGCTTGCCCTCGGAGAACTCATGGTCTAGGAGGAGAGACAGACAGTCAAACAGTAAATCATTTCACCTTTAACTCAAACCATGATGCGGGCTATAAAGTAAGGGGATGCACAGCTCTTAAAATAGGATCCAGTGAAAAAACTGTGCCTTCCCCAGAGGAGAGAATCTGGAACCAGCACCAAACAACTCAGCCAGACAATGGCTCCTGTTCAGCAGGCCCCTCTCCAGCCTCTCCCTCCCCAACATTGTGCCGCCATCTCCTCTGCCCTGACCCCTAGAGCCATCTAGTCAGGACACTGCACATACCTCTGCCTTATGAGGCAGCAGCTCCCAAGAGACTCTCTTTGAGGTCTTTAAGGGGATGATGTGGAAATGTTCACAGTGGTGCTATGTGTGCTACATGGTATATAAGTAACATAGGTGTCCAGCGTGAGAGAAATGGATAAAAACAATGTGGTTAACCCATACCAAAGAATTATATGCATCAGGCCGGGCGCGGTGGCTCATGCCTATAATCCTAGCACTTTGGGAGGCCGAGGTGGACGGATCACCCGAGGTCAAGAGTTCAAGACCAGCCTGGCCAACAAGGTGAAACCCCTGCCTCTACTAAAAATATAAAAATTATCCAGGCATAGTGGCACACACCTGTAATCTCAGCTACTCAGGAGGCTGAGACAGAAGAATCACTTGAACCCAGGAGGCGGAGGTTGCAGTGAGCCGAGATTTCGCCACTGCACTCCAGCCTGAGCAACACAGCAAGACTGTCTCAAAAAGAGAAAAAGAGAATTCTGGCAGGGCGTGGTGGCTCACACCTGTAATCCCAGCACTTTGGGAGGCTGAGGTGGGCGGATCACAATGTCAGGAGATCGAGACCATCCTGGCTAACACGGTGAAACCCCGTCTCTACTAAAAATATAAAAAAATTTAGCCAGGCGTGGTGGCTGGCTCCTGTAGTCCCAGCTACTCGGGAGGCTGAGACAGGAGAATGGCGTGAACCCAGGAGGTGGAGTTTGCAGGGAGCCGAGGTCACCCCACTGCACTCCAGCCTGGGTGACAGAGCAAGACTCTGTCTCAAAAAAAAAAATTCTATGCATCAGTAAGAATTAACAAGATTAACAAGCTAGATGTACACACAGCAACGTGGAAGGATCATCAAAACAGAGTGCAGAGTGAAGAAACTGAATGAGATTTGCAACATGCTACCATTTATGTAAATTTAAAACATACCCCAAACTGTGCTACGTATTTTACAAGGATATATCTATAGATAGATATACATACACACACACACACACACCCACATATATAACCACACATATCTAAGAACAGATATCAAATACATTGTGGTGGGTGCCTGCTGAGAAGAGGAGACTAGGGATAAAGGGGGAGAATAGAATAATACTTGGCATGGAAGGGCTTTGCACAGACTGATGACAACTGTGCACCAAGAATGGAGGCATGTGGTCAGCTTCCTCTTCTGCTCCTGCAGTCCAGCACAAAATAAGACAATGCAAACCCAGCCCACCAGCCTGTACAAATGCTGACTGCATGGGCATGGTGATTTCATTCCATTCTTTTCAGGGAACTTAGAAATTACTCTGACCCAATTTCTTACTTTTGGGTTAAGGAACTCAAGGCCCAGAGAAGGCAGGTGAGTTGCCCCAGTCACACGGCTCCTTGGTGGCAGGAGAAGATTCTAGCCCCCAGCTGACACTCCCTGTGTCCCATCCTCTGCCTGGTTCCATTTTCTGACCGCTCGGCCTAACATTTCCACAATGTTTGTTTAAAGGGCTTGGCCGTGTTTATCTCAGCACATGAGTGCCCAGTCTGAAGTCACGCACTGGCATTAGCTGGCCTTTCCTATGTGAAGTTCAAGGTGAAGGCCTCCTAGGGGGCAGGAGGCACAGGTACTACTTCATGTTTGTTGTTTAGTGTTTTTTCTCTTTCCAGGACAACTGCCTCAAACCTCAGATGAGCTCATTGACTCACCTGGGCAGGTAAGCACAGAACCTGGAGGAAATGACGGCTCTAATGGGAGTGCATGCTGGCTGGAGGAAATGACGTCATTGCGGGGCTGAGGGCCTTTAGAGGCCCAATCTTTCCCACAGCCTTTTCAGCATTCGCTCTGAGCACAACACGTCCAGAAGCCTCTGCAGAGTGTGGGTATGATGTGTTGATGTGCTGAAGTCAAAAGTTTTGCTGGAACCCATGGACCCATAAAGCTGCTGGCAAGGAAATTGAGCAGGGTATTAATGTGGGCAGTTGGTCAAGGTTTATGACAGGACTTTTCCTGAAGCAGGGGTCTGAACGGTAAGTGTCAGAGTGCCTCTCAAAGAAGCAGCCTTCAAAATGGGTTTCCATCATGAATGCCCCCAAATCCTGCATGGCCCTGTTGTGTGTGTGTTTTTTTTTTATTAAAACACTGTATATATACATAGAAAAAATTGTACATATTGTAAAGATGAAGTTTCGCGAATTGCACACGCCCAAGTAATCAGCATCCAGATCATGCATGACACAGGCCATGCCAGACCACAGAACCCCTCCCCCCACATCCCTCTTTCCCTGCCCTGTGTCCTTTTCAGGTCACCACCTGGCCTCCTGACTTCTAACAGGACAGATGTGTTTTGCATCCCTAGTTTCAACTCCCTGGGGACCAGAGTCAGCAGATGTCAGCAGACAAGATAACCTGTGCTACTTGATTTAGCTCCAAATGTTTGGGGTTCCAACTGACTTGGAGTCTGAAGCTCTTAGAAATTCCATCCTGACGTAGATGGGACATGCCACCAGTTCTATTGGTTACTGGACTGAGTTGGAATTGAGGGGTTGGAAAATTTCTCAGGGAGGCCAATTTATCAACCAGCAGAATGAAGAAAGAAACAGCTAGGTGAACCTTTTTTCCTGATGGCTATGTTTACACTCAGGTTTATGAACATCTGAGTGTATGTTTATAAATATATGCTATAAACATATAAATATCGGAGCAATGTTATTTTGAATCTACAGCAAAATAACATTCAGAGTTAGCTCCTGGGAAGAATATTATGTGGTTAAAACCACTATTTGGTTCCAATATGCCACCTGTCACTCAAGATTAAAGCCCTTTTAAAATGAGCTCCCTTCACCGTACTACACTCCAGTGAGATAGGCAGGTGGCAAGCCGTCTTTCCATTCTGGGCTGCAGAGGCACAAAGAGAACGAGTGGCTTGCTTAGTCACTAAGTCCCACAATGAGTTAGCAGAAACCTGGACAATCAGCCAGGAACCCAGGCTGGCTCCCAGCTCGCCCCGCACCATCTGACATCCGTGAGCAGCATCCAACAGGCTGAAGCTCTGTGCTGAGCCACCGGAGCCATGCTGGGAGGGCCACAGGTTTGAAATGTGATAGAGGTCCCTGGGAGATTCCTGGTCCTTTCCTCCAAGAAGCCTCCATGGTGACAAGCCTTAGAGATGTGTTTCATTGTTAGAAACAGCCAAACAGTGTACCCTTATGTGAGAAGCAATGGTCTGGTATGCTCAAAGTACTTGGAGAACTTCTCTTTTGGAAATTCCTTTGGTGCTGGATGATAAGCCATCATTATTTTATCTTACGGTTGTATCTCATTTGTGATGGAACAGGGGTGTAAGCCTGTCTGACTAGCCACCATTTTTCTGACATGTGTCCCCATCAGGGAACAAAGTGCCAGCCATTGTCATGAAGCATACAGGAAATAGTCGCAGAACAGACTTCCCTAATAATTCAATTGACCATTTATTGAGCACTTCCTATGCACCACTTAAATAACCACCCCAAAAGGTAGGCATGGTTTTTACTGTTTTACAGATGAGAACCTGTGACTCCCCAAGGTAACCCAATCAGTAGGTGCAAAGTTGGGATTTCAATCAGGTCTGTCTTGTTCCAAAGCTCATGCCATCACCCATCAGTATTCACAGGTCCTCAAAGAGGCCCCAGGGTTCTGGAAGGGATCACAAAGAGCAGCGAGGGAAGGGCTGTTCGAGACCCTTCTAGGAGATGGGTGGAGGCTACTGGCATAAGATGTGAGCACTGGAGCAGAGGGGTGGGCCGCAGTGGGGGTCAACACCCTAACACTCTTACCAAGAACTGTGCTATGAGAATCAAAGAACTTCAGCCCTGATGGGAACTTAGGCATTGAGCCCACCTCCCTTGGAAGAATGAGGAAACAGACATTTAGAGAGGATGTGTGACTGCCCAGGTCAGCCCACGACAAGGCCAGGAGGTTTCATGAGCTCCAGGCCTCTGCTCCTTCCCTAACATCTCGTGGCATCCTCTTTGCTAGTGCTCCACAGTCACCGGAGCACTAAATGTCTCCTCCCCTCCTGTCTTGCCTTCTTCACAGCTGGGGTGGCAGCATCAATGTGGGTGGAGGACACACCAGTGCAGGTGGTGCCTGGGAAGCAGGTGATCCCAAGGTGGAGTCCTGGGCCCCAGAGACAGAGCCTCCCTGTTCTTCCTTCTTCTGCTGGGCTTTATTGACCTTAAGGGAGAGCTCTGGGCACAGTGTGTTCCCTTGACCTTTCCCTGAAGGGACACAGTGCCTGCTGCTATGTAGATGGCACCTTCCATTCTTATAAGTGTTGGGCAAACATTCTCCGGGAGGGAGGGATGCCAAGAGTCCTGGGTGGGAGGGGTTCCCCTGAAGACTTTGGCCTTGAGGATGAGATCATGGGCTTTGGAAGCAAATGCATTTTATAGATCCAATAAATTAGACACAATCTGGCTATTAATGTGCTGTCAGGTGTCATGGAACCATGCCTTGCTTTCTCCAGTGGAGGAGGAAGCAGAAATAGAGGCATAGCTGGGTTCAATGACCTACCCAAGGTCACCAAGCAGATACAGGTGACATCAAGGCATCAAAGGTCACTGCCTTGAGTCATTAGGCTGCTGTGACTCCCCACCTGATGCATACAAGTCTCTACATCCATCTCTGTCTGGCAGGCAGAACTCCAGGGGTGCATTTCCAACTGAGAAGTTGCCATGTCTGTGCTATGACCTAGAAGAGTGATAATGGCAAACACTTATACTGTTTCAACACATTTAGTCATTTAACCCTCTCAATTGCTCTGCGATTATATACAGCTATTGTTCCCAAGCAGAGATGTTCAGCAATTTGCCTAAGGCCAAATAGCTAATAAATGGCCTAGTTGGCCCTACCTAGCTGCTGGTAGAGGGCAAGCACCCAGCTTGTCCATTTCCCAATATTGCCTGGAATATGGTGAGCTCTCTGCAAACTACAGATGTGGGACATGCCTTGAAATGCACAATGGCTGCTCCTTCCTGCTCAGGGCTTGAGGGTGTGGCGTAGGGGCATTCAGAACAGGTGGAGGCAGCCGCCTGCAGGGGGGCTGTGGCCACTCCAGCTGCCTCCTGACAAGCCTGAGGATTTCTGGGATGCCATGAGTTTGCCATTCCTCTCAATGTAAAGCCTAGATTAGGTGACTGGGGCACTTGGTGCTCTCTTTATCTTTGCTCTTGTCCCTTTTCTGGCCTCAAAGGACCCTCCCCTACCAGAAGCCATTTCTTTGCTCCCTCTATGGGAGCTTTCAACAGAAGCCCTGGGTGCTGTCACCTTTTCCCGCCGAGGCCAAGCCCAGGCAGAGGCAGAGATCTGATCATGAGCAGGGCCCTGGGCAGTGGGTCTTGATCATGTGATCCCCCAGGACCAGGGAGATCCCAGCGTCTTCCCTTCGTGTATTCAATTCCATCAGCCTGCACACGGTGAGCACCCACTTAATGCTGGCCCTCACTGTGTCCTGGAGAGCTTCACAGATGAAAAAATATACCCCCTCAACACACACACACCCTGAGAAGGTCACTGCCCAGTTCAGCAGCCAAACAAACAGAACAACTGTCGAGCCAGGCAAGTGGGGATCAGTGTGATGACCCCAGGTGCTCCAAGAGCTCAAGAGAGGGAAAGATCTATTCCAAGGCCAGGGGTCAGAGGAAAGATGATGGAGGGAAGCATTTGAGCTGGCTGACGCTTTTCATGTTGCTTCTCTGAGCTTTCACTTGTCATTATTGTAAATTCTCATCATAAGTTTCCATATTTTCTTATAATCGAATTCGTTATGTTTGTAATTGCCAGTTTTAAGTTGGCTTTAAAAAACCACACCATCAGTCTAGTTTGTGAACGCATGGCTCCCCTGGGGCCTTGCTACCAATGAGCTGCCTTTTGTTAATGCCATTTTAACATTACTTTTATTTTCTGATTTTTAAAAATTTAACCGTAATTCTCATAAGAGCCTGTGATAAGTAGAAAGAGTTCTGTGTTTTTGTTGCTTTCATTATTGGTGTCCAGATTCTTTTCAGAATATTTTCTTTGGTTTTTGCATCTACCGATTATGAAACTAATTAGTTACTTTGCTTCAATTTTTGATTGTTGCTATTATAATACAATATGGTAATATTTATAGCAGAAATTGTTTTCATGTGTGTAATATACTTTCTTTTTTTGAGATGGAATCTCGCTCTGTCGCCCAGGCTGGAGTGCAGTGGTGCAATCTCGGCTCACTGCAACCTCTGCCTCCCAGGCTCAAGCGATTCTCCTGCCTCAGCCTCCCGAGTATCTGGGACTACAGGAGTGTGCAACCAAATCCAGCTAATTTTTTTGTTTGCTTTTTTTTAGTAGAGACGGGGTTTCGCCATGTTGGTCAGGCTGGTCTCGAGCTCCTGACCTCAACTGATCCGCCCACCTCAGCCTCCCAAAGTGCTGGGATTACAGGCATGAGCCATCGTGCCCGGCCTTCATTTGTATCAGGCATGAGAATGTAATGTTGCTTTATTTTTATATGCCCTAAGACTTTTTTAAATTAAGGTTTGTATTCTTAGAAAATAGTAGACCCCGCCAGGTGCGGTGGCTCATGCCTGTAATCCTAGCACTTTGGGGCCGAGGCGGGCAGATCACCTGAGGTCGGGAGTTCCAGAGCAGCCTAACCAACATGGAGAAACCCCATCTCTACTAAAAATACAAAATTAGCTAGGTTTGGTGGCACATGCCTGTAATTTCAGCTACTCCAGAGGCTGAGGCAGGAGAATCGCTTGAACCCGGGAGGTAGAGATTGCAGTGAGCCAAGATCATCCCATTGCACTCCAGCCTGGGCAACAAGAGCAAAACTCCATCCAAAAAAAGAAAAGAAAGAAAGAGAAAGAAAAGAAAGAAAGAAAGAAAGAAAGAAAGAAAGAAAGAAAGAAAGAAAGAAAGAAAGAAAGAGAGAAAGAAAGGAAGGAAGAAGAAAGAAAGAAAGAAAGAAAGAAAGAAAGAAGAAAGAAAGAAAGAAAGAAAAATAGAGAGAAGGAAGGAAGGAGAGAGAAAGAAAGAGAAAGAAAGAAACAAAGAAAGAAAGGAGAGAGACAGAAAGAAAAAAGAAAGAAAGAAAAGAAAGAAAATTGTAGACTCACATACATGAAGTTGCAAGAAATACTACAGAGAGATTTTTTATACCCTTCACCTAGTTTCCCCCAATGGCAACATATTGCAAAACCAGAGTACAATCTTACAATCGGGATATTGGCATTGATGCAGTGAAGCTACAGAACATTTCCATCAATACAAGGATCCCTCGTGTCACCCTTTTATAGCCACTACTTTGTTCTCCATTTCTATAATTTTGTTATTCTAAGAATGGCGTACAAATGGAATTATACAGTATGTAACCTCTTGTGATTGGCTTTTCTTCACTCAGCATAATTCTGTGGAAATTAACCCAGGTGTTTGCATGTATCCATAGTTCATTTCTTGCTATTGCTGAGTAGTATTCCATTATATGAATATACCACAGTTTATTTACCCATTGGCCTGTTATAGGGCTTCTGGATTGTTTCTTGTTATTAGCTATTATAGATAAATTTGCTATAAAAGTGTACATGCTTTTGCATGAACTTAGGTCTTCATTTCTCTGGCACATATGCCAAGTCGAACAATTGCTGGGTTTTATGGCTGCATGTAAGAAACTGTCAAACTGCTGTTCATAGGGACTCTACCATTTTCAATTCCCACCAGTCAATGTATGAGTGATCCTGTTTTTCTGCACCTTCTCCAACATTTGATGTTGTCCCTGTTTTTTTGTTTTGTTTTGGTTTGGTTTTTTTTGAGATGCAATCTCACTCCGTTGCCCAGGCTGGAGTATAGTAGTGTGATCTGGGCTCACTGCAACCTCCGCTTCCTAGGTTCAAGTGCTCCTCCCACTGCAGCCTCCTGAGTAGCTGGGACTACAGTTGTGCACCCCGATGCTCGGCTAATTGTTGTATTTTTGGGTAGAGATGGGGTTTCACCATATTGGCCAAACTGGTCTCAAATCCCTGGACTCAAGTGATCTGCTCACCTCGGTATCCCAAAGCATTGGAATTACAGGCGTGAGCCACCTCAACCGGCCTCTCATTGTTTTTTATTTTAGCCATTCTGATAGGTATATGGTGCTATTTGATTGTGATTTTAATCTGCATTTCCCTAATGGATAATGATAATCAGGAGCGTCTTTTCATGTGCTTATTTGCTATCCATATCTCCTCTTTGGTGAAATGATGCCACTCTACTTTTGTGTATCTTCAAATTTCTCCTTGATAAAATGTTTTAAAATGAAAAAAAAAAAAAAAAGGAGAAGAAGAAGAAGACGTATTCGAGCTGGGGTGGAGGACGACTGGGACTCTGAGGAGCCATTAGACAACACAGACCTGAGCACCTCATTTCCAGAATCCCTGCAAGACTCAGCACTTCCAGGAGTCACAGACTTTTCCTAACTCCCACTGTGAATCTGTTATAAGGTGACGGTCCTTGTACTCCAGAGCTCTGCCATGTGGGTGAATCCAAGAGGAATGTACAAATGCTATTCAAGGTGACAGTGGGTCCTACACCTAGGAGCTGCTCAAGAAGCGTTTTTGGGCCGGGCACAGTGGCTCATGCCTATAATCCCAGCACTTTGGGAGGCTGAGGTGGGTGGATCACTTGAGGTCAGGGGTTCGAGACCAGCCTGATCAACATGGTGAAACCCCGTCTCTACTAAAAATACAAAAATTAGTGGGCTTGGTGGCGGGTGCCTGTAATCCCAGCTACTCAGGAGGCTGAGGCAGGAGAATCACTTGAACCTGGGAGGCGGAGGCTGCAGTGAGCCAATATTGTGCCACTGCACTCCAGCCTGGGAGACAGAGTGAGACACTGTCTCAAAAACAAAACAAAACAAAACAAAACACTTTTGATGTGATGATGATGATGATGATGATGATAACCAGGAAGCCTCTTCTCATGGCATGCTAAGGTGCAGCTGGCCTTCCCAGGAGGTGACCCCCATGAGGGACAAGTGGCCTTCAGGGCCTACTTGATCAGCCCAGCAACTGAGTTTGGGGCAGTCATTTCACAAGTTCAAGTATCCCAGTGGAAGGGGCTTTGAGGCCTCCAGCCCAGGGAGGTAGGTAGATGTGCAGCTTTGGCATGAACTCATCCTGACCCTGAGGATTTATCTCTGTTGTGTTTTGGAACAACACAGAATAAGATTAATAACACCACTAGGTTCTTATTAGCCTTTTTTAAGCTTAAATGGTCTTGGCAGCCTCAGTTGCTCACCGTGAAGCATGGTGCCCACACTCTGACTGCCTGGTCATTCTCCTCGTCTTACTCCAGCTCATCAAGGTTCCTCCTGAAAGGGAGGTTCCAGGGCTGAGGACAGTGTCCAGTGACCAGGTGGGCCTCATTCTGGTGCTATCGTTCCAGGAACATTGCCAATGCTAGCCACACGGAACCACTGGTTCACAAGTTCCCCCTTCACAACTCCTGGAAGGAATTCCTCCCTGACAAGTGGGAATGATGTTTGACAAGTGGGAATGATATTTGACAAATGGGAATGACGTTTCACCTCCTGCTTGGTCACTAGGACAGCAGGAATGTGGTGAGTAACTGTGTGCAAAGCCACGAGCTTCTTGGAAGACAAGCTCCAGCCAGAGTTCAACCCATTGTGAGCTGGTTGAGAAAAGCAGGGGCTTGAGAAAGAGCTGAGAACAATTAGACACTTTACCCCGCTGCTTATCTAGTGACTCCAGTTCTATTGTATTGGAGTCGATCTTGAACTTGGGAGTAGGAGGCCCTGTGGGGGTGGGGAAGCTGTTCTGCTGCCTCTGTCTCTCAGCAGTGGTGAAGAAGCCTGCCCTGCAGGGAGCCCACCTCTTCCCTCTCCTCCCTGGGGATGAATCAGCTGGTGGGAACCTCTTGTGCCTTGGGAAAGAAGGAAATAAAGCCAATGGGAAGCTGACGGCTCCACTCAGCCATAGCTGAATGGAGGCACTGTTCTTTCTGCTGAGGCAGCTTCCAAAGCTGAATCATCATTTTCTTTTTTTTCTTTTTTTTTTTTTTAGATGGGGTCTCACTAGGTTTCCCAGGCTGGTCTCAGACTCCTGGGCTCCAAGTAGCTAGGATTACAGGCGTGTACCACTGAGCCTGGCTGAACTATCGTTTTCATTCAAATATAGCTCAAACCCTTCTTCAGCACTTGCCTAGGCTAGCAAGACCGTCCCTGAACGTAGCAAGACTGTCCAGATTCTTCCAACAACCTTGTCAGACTGATGAGCAGCCATTGACAGCACGGGAGTGGGAAAATGGTCAATTATTCTATGCTGGCCACTTTGGAAAGAATCAGGCTCAGTCCTTCTTCCGGGGAGGGTTTCCACATCCTAAAATAGGGTGGGAGCCTGTCTTGCCGCATCCCTTCTTCTGCCTGCATTCTGAGTCAGCACCCTGGAGAGCTGCATCCCACCCCCTTCCTGACCGGTGAGGTCAGGGCAGATGCCGGCCGGCCTGCCTGGCCCCAGCACAGAGCAAGAGGGAAGGAACCAAAGCTGCTAGATGGGGCTCCCAAGGCCCAAGTTGAAGTGATCCTCGTGAAGGCTGTGGAAAGCTCCAACACCCATGAAGTCCAGGGAACAGGGTTCCAAAGAATAGCTTTGCTGAAAAAATTCTTACTGGGGTACTCAGACAGGGGTGTGGCATTGTTCAGCACTTGTTAGTAAAATGCTTCACATACACTAAATTATAATCTGTCCAAAGGGCAGCTATGGCAAGATGCTAGTGAAGTGTCACTTCCAATGTTCCCCCAGGAGCCATTGTTATGGAAGCTCTAATGTTGTGTGACTGAGAGCTCCAGACTCTCGGTGGCCATGCATATGACTGCAAGTCTTTATGTTTTAAGATCTAAGTTAGACCAGCTCCCCAGACTCCTTTGAGGCAGCTCTCCTCTTAATCGGATGCTGAGCTCAGAGTAAATGCTTCTGTCTTGCTTGCTCAGAGTGAAACACACCTACATTGCCTGGACAGAGGCTCTAAGAGGGGTCCAGCATGGAGAACAGCTCATTAGCCTGCATGGGAATCGTGGAATTCTTACCAGTCTGCCTTCTTGCCTCTCTCCAGCTTAGTGGGTCTCAACAGCAGAAGGGAAAATGAATCAGTGGAAAATTGCTAAAGTGAAAATCTGGGGGCCCATCAGAAAGATTCTGGCTTGTGAGTCTGGGGTGGGACTAGGAATCACCACCCCCAAGTAATTCTGCTGTGCGCAGGAGCACTCCATGCTGTGAGTGCCACTGGATGCTCCAACACTGTCAAGTCAGGAGCACCGAGGAAAGCTCACCACCTGCAGTGAACATCCCAGCTCTCACCAAGGTGGCTCACTTCCCCAGCTACCAGCTAGCCTTGGCTCATGGGTCCACGGCCCTGGCCACACAGGTGGCCTCCCCACAGCCTCTGCCACCTTCTCATTAGTTGTCTAGCAGGCTAGGCTGAATCCAGCCTCCCTCCCAGAAAATGAAGGCAGAGGATGTGCACCCTTCTGTTGGCCCAGTGTGCTCTCTGTTAGGAAGAACAGCCAAAAGGCAATTGCAGTTATAGAAATGACCCATGTTTCCTGGAGTTGTCCTGGGAGATGGAAACCCCTGTGTCTGCCTCTGCATTCAGCCCCACCTCAAGAGCAGAGAGATCTTTTCTTCTCCAGCAGTGGAGAGTGGACACCACTCCTCCGGTCACCAGTGCCCTGAAGCTGCAGTGCCTTCACCTCCACTTGATGGCAGGAGGTAGAAGAGAAACATTCCCGGCACTCCTGACCTTTTCCTTCAGGAACACTGCTGTAAGTGAGCTTCTCTTCTGTAGAAATTCCTGTGGTGTAATCTACCCACACCTGGCGTCTTAGGCCGCCTGGGCTGCTATAACAGAATACCATAGACCTAAGGTCTTACAAACAACAGAAATGTATTTTTCACAGTTCTAGAGGCTGGGAAGTTTAAGATCAGAGCACTGACAAACCCAATGTTTGGTGAGAACCCGTTCACGGACGGTCACTTCTTGCTGTGTCCTCACATGGTGGAAGGGATGCTTGCGCGTCCTCGGGCCTTCTTTATAAGGGCATTAATCCCATTCATGAGGGCTCCAGGTCATGACCTAATCACTCCCCAAAAGCCCCACCTCCTAATCCTACCTCCTTGGGGGTTAGGATTTCAACACAGGAATTTGAGGGGGAGCAAACATTCAGACCACAGCGGACAGGTTAAATAGTTTTCTAATGTGCTATCCTGAAAACATACCCATAATGCATGACATGGTTGCTCTGGGAAAGGGCATTCTGAAATCCTCAAATCTCACCGCAAGCAAACTTGGGGAACATCCTCTGCTTGTGAGCTGGGGACTGCCTGCATGACTCAGCCCTTTAGTGTGTTTCTGACGGGGGCAGGGGAAAGCCCAGGACCTGACTCCAGGAGCCTGGCACGACTCCATCAGTGAGAACCTGGAATAGGCATCCTCCCTGAAACGCCCAGGTGCCTCCCTCCACAGCTCATAGTCAGGGATGTCAGGCTTCTGGTGGGCCCTTGGTAAAGGGTCTGTGAATGAACAACTATGAATGCTGCTTGCGGCCAGTCCAATTGTCCTACCTACCAATCAGGAAGCCAAAAGCCCCATTGCAGAGCTCTGGCCCAGCAGACAGAAAAGCCGTTTTCTTCAACTACCACGTTACTCTTGTCTTCACTTAGGAGATCCAGTGAGCTGTGGGACATCCAAACCGGGAGATATTAGTGGACGAAAAGCCCTGAGGAGCGGGTGCTCTGGGTTGTGTTTTCCACCCTGCCGCAGATTCGGCCTGAGCTATGCATTCTTTCCCCACAGATGCTGAGCAGGGTGATTTTGCAGAGACCCCGGTGCCCCAGTTTGTTTGTGCTCACAGCCCAAATAATTTTAAGCAGCACTTAATGAGTGATCAGATGCAATGTCCTTTATTCAAATTTGGTTTATACATTTGATGATTATATGTGTTTGGGGACACGCACCAAAAAAATTCTCTCTTCTATTTTTCTGACAGGGTTGGAGCATGCAGCAAAAATATAATGATGAATTAAGTTTAAGTTTCAATGGAAAATTCTGTAAAATTGCAAAATGTCATCATTGCCATACGGGGGGAGCTAGGGAAAGGATACTGCACCCTTAGAGGCAGAAATTCACAAATGTACACACCCCCGAAGGTGGATTAATAGTTCTTCCAAAGTCTTCTGGGGTCCCTCACCCTAACACATAAATATGCAGTCTTGAATGAACAATTAGGAGATGGTGGCCCCTTTAATTTAATGAATTTCTTTAGGAGGATGAAGCCACAGATTCTTTATGAAAGCCATAAAATAAAAGGGAAGGAGAAATGGAAGATTACTTGAGACCCATTAGAAAAATAAAAAGCTTTCTTGGTGGGGGGACGGGGGCAGTACATGTCAGTAATCCCTTGAGCAGCAGGACTGAAGGTTTAGGGAGGAGTCTGGTGTCCCAAACTGCTTATAACACAGACAAGACCAACTTCCACATGTTCAGGGAGCAAGCAGCAACTCCCAACAAGAACATAATTTACTCTCATCTGCTGATTCTGACCCAGGGATGTTCCTCTAGCCCACTTCAGATAAAGCAGGCAAGTAGCTAGGACTGAAACATGACATAATCCGAGGTATGAGGTGTATCTGAGGCACAATCGCCACTCCTTTTCAAATATGCACAATGCCGGTCATATCAAGCCATCTCTCCCTCCTCTCTGCTCATTCCTGAGTCAGCCATGAGGTGAGTTGTGATTTCCTAATGGTGTCCTGAACCAAAATGCAGGACACCCAGGACACCATTTAGACTTGCCAGGCCCACGGAGATGACAAAAAACTCAGCTCAGCATGGAATAACGTGAGCTGCGCACTTCATCGACAGCCTGCGTGTCAGAGGCGGGGTTACATCCCCACGGCCTGGGGCAAGGCCCACTCCCTAAGCCCTCAATTATGAGCAGGTTCTGTGCTATCAAGAAGACACACAGCCAACAGCCTCATTTAGGCTCTTGAGCCTTTGGAGGACAAGTCAGCTGTATCCCAACCCTCCCTAGCCTCCTGGATCTCTGCTTCTCTCTGGGCAGGAAATTGAATACTCTCCCAGCAAGATCACACAGACACATCCATGGAAGAAGCTGAGATGAAACATGACTCTCATAAACAGGAACTTTATTAAACTACATGTTACATAAAAGAACATATAAATGGACCATTAAATACATTCAGTTTATTTTAAACAAATTTACATAGATACTTATTTACATTTCTCCATTGTATTCTTAAATTATTTTTCCAAGCTTACTACCGATAAAAGGTAATACAATGATCATCTGCTCACACAGATGCATAGAGAAGTTGTCCACAGGGCTAAGTAAAGCACCACTTCCCAGGAAACACAGCTTATTAGATCTTCCAGCAACAACTCATGCTGAAGGTGCTCTCTTCTGAGCAGCCCTTGAGGTGAGGCTTTTGCTTTAGAGATGCTGGGGGTTGGTTCTGAGGAGCTGACCCAGGGCAGAGATGGGTCCTTGCTGATTGACCTGACTTGGACTCACAGAGGTGGAAAGACCTGTGGAGACCATCATCGAGGCCATGGCCCCACATCTGTGATATGGGAAACAGGCTTGGGAAGAGGTGGTGACTTCCCAAAGTCACCCAGCATCCATGATAGAGGAAGGGCCTGGGAGCTTGGTACCCAGGGTTCCTCCAAGAGGTCCCGATCCCTCTGCTATCCACAAATCCACAAACTTAGAATCACTTGCATCCATTTTCCACCACCATGGACCTTATGCTTTGAACTGTTTTGTCTACCTGATTAAATATATAACTTCTTAGGCTTCTTGAGATGGTGAAAAGCAGCTCAGGATTCCCATAAGCAACTTTGTGGAGCCCTGGAAATACCTACTCAGGGCTGTTTTTACAAGAGGTTTTGTGGTCAGGTGCTTTACTATTTCAGCCATAACGTTTACCTTTAAAACTCAGCTGACTTATGGAAGCTCAGCATTTCCAATTCGCTTAGATGACAGGCAACAGTCTGCAGAAGGGAGGTTCTAACGTCAACCACGTGGATTCCCCACAAACGCATCATATTTGCCTAAATCCATCTATCTACCAATGTCAGATCTAAAATGAGGTTTCACTAATAAGTGACCTAAAATTAAAAAAAACACAAAAAAGTTTCTTAAAAAAAAAATTCCAAGAATTTCCCCGTTTCCCAATTAGTCTCAGAGGAGTCGTGAAATGGGCATTGGGTAGAAAAAGTCCCATGTTTTCAACTGTTTCTTTTGAATAAAGCCTGATTCCCCCACTCTGCCCCCGAACTTTTCCCGATGATATACATTCTTCTGAAAGCAATTTCATGCTTTTAGTCTGCTTTAAAAAACCTGACTTGGTTCTTCTCAGTATTTAAAAACCACTGTACCAAGGAAGAGATGTCCACGTTAAAAACTATTATTAAGAGACAGAGACAAGGAGAGAGAGACTCTCTCCAGGCCATGTTAGAAAAGAAGGAAGTGCTGGGAGCACACAAAGAGAGAAGAAAGGCTGGGAGACAGAATGGTTTGCACCTCCCTGTAACCAGAGTGAACACAGGTCATAGCAGCCTTCACTCAGTTTTATAACAGACACACGAATGGAGGAACATGGGATTGGAAAGACGCACACTGTCAAACAGCCCTGATGCCTTTCCACTAAAATATGGCACTTCTAGATTCCAGAGAAATCCAGCATTCTACCAGGGGCTGCCACCCATCTGCAGGGAAGCCTGCCCTGCAACCATGAGGCCCTCAAGGCTCATACTCCACTGCTCACAATGCGCGCCCTGAATACATGGAAGCATCTGATTTCTGTCTGAGTCCAACTTTCCCTCCTGTTCCTAGACAGACTCACACCCAGAGTCATGCACGGAGAAGTGGGCAAGCCAGACAATCTTCAGGGAGACACAGCCCATCACAGGATACCCAAGGCTTATGGGGAAGTCCAGTTGCCAGCAACGGACCCTGTGTGGGCAGGTGAAACTCTGAAGCCAGAGAACACAGGAAGATAAAAATATCTTCATACTGAGGATATACTGGCCAAGTGTGGTGGCTCACACCTGTAATCCCAGCACTTTGGGAGGCTGAGGTGGGAGGATCACTTGAGCCCAGGAGCTCGAGATCAGCCTGAGCAACATAGTGAGATCCCATCTCTACAAAAGATAAATTAAAAAAAAACAATTAACCAGGCGTGGTGGTGCACGCCTGTAGTCCCAGCTCTGAGGGAGGCTGAGGTGGGAGGATCACTTGGGTCTGGGAGGTCAAAGCTGCAGTGAGCTATGATTGTGCCACTGCAGTCCAGTCTGGGAGACAAGAGCACGACCCTGTCGCAAAAAAATACATATGTATTTTTTTCCTGGGAGGCATTTCACTCTGCAAAAGGAACCAAAACTAGAACATTTCATTTTTGTTTTGTTTTGTTTGAGACAAGGTCTCACTCTGTCATCCAGGCTGGAGTGCAGTGGTGGGGTCCTGGGCTCAAGTGACCTTCCCATCTCAGCGTTCAGAGTGGCTGGGGCCACAGGCATGTGCCACCACACTCGGCTAAATTTTGTATTTCTGATAGAGACGGGGTTTCTCCATGTTGCCTAGGCTGGTCTCGAACTCCTAGGCTCAAGCAATCCACTCATCTTAGCCTCCCAAAGTGCTGGATTACAGGCATGAACCACTGCACCTAGCTAATTTTTATATTAAAAAGAAAGTCTTTGATATATAAAAACTGGCCTGAAAAAAACTTTTTTGACTTGTTTCATAAGAATGTCACTTTACACTCCTACTAAATCTTTCTCGGGATCCGGGCTTTGGGGGAGGGTGGGGTGCATGGGGGAGGTGCGGCCGTCACAGTAGTGAACGTGCATCCATCTGGACGCTGGACTGCAGCAGGGCTCAGCACAGCAGGCTGCAGTCCACAGGCCTCCTGGACTGTGCCATCCCAACAGCGTCACTAGCAGTGGCACCAGTGGCTGCTTTATCTGTAACAAAGACATGCTGCCTCTTTCCCCATCCTCGTCCCAGAAGTCAGTCTTCACCGTCTGAATCCCAGGAGGCAGGAGAGGACAGGCACCCATCACTTCCGTAAGGGATTGAGGATTCTCCCCAGCGTGGTCCGACTGGAGTCCTTCCGACGGAGGGAGGCCCTTTCCCCAGCCCCTCTGGCCTTCAGAGGGGCCTCCGTGTTGGCACTGGGACCCTCCGCAGACTCTGGGCGCTTCTTGGGGGCCCGGGCACTGCTGGCTCGCCTCAAAGTGCTGCTGTCCTTGGGAGCGGCATCCTCGGGGTCCCCTTTCACCCTCAGCTGCCGCTGCGACACTGTCCGAGTGATGCCGGGGGCTTTGGCCACGGGAGGAAGATCTGTTCTCATGCTTCGAGAGGAGGAGGCCACTGTGTTCCGGGCAAAGCTCGGGACACGGGGTAGTTCGTGGGGGACGCTGGGCACTGACGGGGTCTTGGGCTCTTCTTTGGGACTCTCAGGGCCCTCGGAGTGGGCGCGGCAGGTCTTATTTTCCTCAGGCTTCTGTCTGGGGAGGTTCCTGAGTGGTTTGGCACTGGGCTTCTTGAAAGAACCCCTGGGCTGCAGGGGAACGTCCCTCCCCGGACGGGTGCTGCTGGAGCCGCTGCTCCCCCGCGGCAGCCTCTGCTCTTCGGCGCCTGTGGAGGCCCTCCGCACGGAGTTCTGGCGTGACCACACAGTATCTGTGCTGCTGGGGGGATTCTGGGAGGGCCCCCGGGATGACAGCTCTGGTCGCCTCCAGCCGGCGCCTCTGCTGGACTTGGTGATGGGCATGACCTTGCGCATGCTCTCGTTCTCTGAGGCGGTCAGGGTCCGCACAGACTTGGCCACTGCCCCCTGGCTCCGCCGGGCGCTCCCGGGCTTGGAGGCCCCGGGAGACGCCTCTTTCAGGGAGCCTCTCTTTGGTGCTACAACATCTTTCCTTTTGGTGGGTTTGTCCCTGGGCAGGCCGCCCTTGCAGCTGGGCTCACTATCCACAGAGACGGGGGCAGGAGCCTCCCCAGGGGGGCTGGATGTAGGGTTGGAGGAGACTTGGCTGTCCCCCATTTCTCCAACCCCAGAGGACATGGAGCCATCCCCTTCCCCGCCTTCCTCCGGGTCCCCGCCTCTGGGTCTGGAGTCGGTTCCCTCTGAGCAGTCCAGGGTCAGTGAGCAGTCGGTGGTGTCCGAGATGCAGAACAGAGGTCTAGGATCTTTGTTCTCAGGGTCGCTGCTACCCACAGATCCCAAAGCTGCACTTCCAGGCTCATCGGGGGCAGCCTTGCCATCCTCCAGCGCTGGGCTGAGACTCCCCAGGGCATCTCTGCCCATGGGTGTCAGGCTGCTGCTGCTGGCACTGAGGGACTGCGGGCCCCTATGCCCCACAGACTCTAGCTCCATCGGGCTGAAGTCACTCAGAGTCAGCTGGGAGGTCTCCTCCATGCCCTGGGAACCCTGGAGGTTGAACTGGGCCAGCCCTGTCACCAGCTCATGCTCCTTAATTCCCAGAGCCAATGGCGAGAGAGGAGGGGACTGTGCTGAGCCCAGGCTCACCGGCTCACTGTACCTCTTTCGGAGGACACTGACGCCCTGGCGCCGAGCTCTGGGGAAGGCAGAGGCATGGTTCTCAGGCTGGGCGGCTGCAAGCTGGTGCGCCTGTGCTGAGGGTGGGTTGGGGGCCTCCTCCTGGCCCCCCGAGGCCTGAGGTTTGTGTGCAAAGCTGGAGTCCTGGTGCCTCACTTCTGCAGGCTCCAGGCAGGCTATCGTGGGCCGGGCCTGCCGGGGGCTGCTCCGGGGCAGGCTGTGGAACTTATTGGGCTCCTCAGGGCTGCCGGTGGAGCTCTCCAAGAAGGTCAGCAGCTCCCGGTCAGCAGAGGGACCCAGGGAGAGGCGGGAGCGGCGGGTGTTCGGGGGCCGGTAGGAGGGGCTGGAGGGGCTGATGGGCCTGGGGTGCAGGAAAGGGAGCAGGCCCTCTGCACCCTTCTTGGTCAGCAGCTCCACATCATTCTCACTGCTGCTCCGGCCAAATGCCCCCAGCTCCCCAGTTGCCCAGGAGCGCTGCTTCTGCTCCTGCTCCTTCAGCCTCTGCAGCTGCCTCAGCTCCTGCGCCTCCCGGTCGTGGTTGTCCTGAGGGATGGAGAGAAGCCCGAAGATGCATGAGACATGTGGGACCAATGTGCAGTTCCAGAGCCACCTACGCTAAGAGCCAAAGAAAGATACAGGCATGGAGGGGAGCTCAGGGTCATGTCTTACACTGAGAAAGAGGCTGTGTGTGTGCACATGCATGTGTGTGTGTGTACGCATGTGTGTGTGTGTAGAGGGAGGGTGAGGCTCTTCAAAGCTACTAGGGATCTGAGCAGAAGGGGTGAGTGCTGTAGACCTGGCCCAACAATCTGTCTACAGTTTTTATCCGATCCTTGGGCCCAACTTCCAGCTTTCCAGCCAAGGCACTGCTCAGTGGAGGCTGCCATTCCACATAAGCATGCGACCTCAACTCCAAGGAAAGCCAACTCTGTTTCTGAGCAGTATAAGACACAGAGGACTTCCAGGAAAGGGCTATATAGGCAATAGCTGAGAAAAATACTGTGGGTATTTAAAGAGCGAGCCTCAAATTGTACTTCTGTGCAGCATGGATCTGTCCTACACACATTCATGTGTAGCACATTCTACTTAACAGTGATTTGGATGTATTAATGTATAGCCACAATATTAAGAGATGCTCTGTTCAGCTCTGTTCCCTGACTGCTCCTTGGTAAAGCAACACCACACGTGGCATGGTGGCTCTGCCAGCTGCAGCCTGCAGCACATGGCTCTGCCTCTCACGTCCTAGCCTGTTCCCACAATCAGAGAAGAGGAAGAGGAGGAGGTGTGCTTTACAAATCTTTCAACCTTCACCCTGCTCCAGAGAACCCAGCCCTTCCCATCGAAACTGCACCAGAGCAAGCTCACATACCAAAGCACACTCTACCACCTGGCCATGCACTTTAAATAGATTTGTGTCATGGAAATATGTGGATCTCACAGCCCAAATGTGTTATTGTTAGCAGTTTTACTTGACAATCAATTTCCTCCAATGATGGCCTTTCCCTTCCAAGTTTCTGTGGGGCTCTAGCCGGGGACTCTTGGCTCCGCCTGCAGCTCTGGCCTCAGCCTCCCACCTCGTCCCCAAGTCTCTCGGGCCTTCTTTAAAGATTGCCTGTGGTGGTGGTGGGGCCGGTGCCTGGCTCTTTGGACAGTGGGGCTGAGAGCATCACACAGGTGGCCTCACAGGCCTATGGAATTCCTGGGAGTGAGGGCCTCATTAAGAGCCAACTTGGCCTTGACACCCACCACTGCCTCCCACAGCTGAGCTCACTTCTTGGCCAGAGGAGTGCAAACGTGGCCACAGGCTGAGCCTCCTTCTCTTAACTGGATAGAGAAAGGAGGGGTCGAGAACACAAAGCAATTCTGGGCTTGAGAGAAATCTGACCAATCCCTCAAAGAAATTCAGCTATGGACTAAGCTGCATTCCAACTGGAGGGGGAGAGATGACTCACGAGCTTTGCTTCCTCAACACCACCCGAAATGAAGGGATGTGAGTGGCCGGTTTGCTTTCAATTGATGAATTAAAGTTTTACTTGAAAGCCAAGCAACCCAGAGAGTTTTCTGGCTTCTACATTAAACCCAGAGATGACTGGAATTGGTGGTTGAAGGGCAAGAAAGGTAGCTGTCTTGCTCAGTATGGCAGCAGGCTTTGTGGTTATTTGGGAATCTGGAAGACCGCTCTGGGGAGGACCACATGGTTGCCCTGGTGCCAATCCCACAGTGACGGCAGCAGAGCTTGGAAGAAGGGAAAGGGAGGGCCGTTCCATCATCCCACCACAACAGAAGTCTCCCTGGAAGAGGACGTTCTCTTCTGGGAGCGGGAGAGAAAGACATTCAGGATCTTCAAGAGACTTTTAAATGGTATGACAGCCATCATGGAGGAACTTTACTAACAAAATGCTCTCAAGGCATTAATGTGAGTGTCAGGGAGCCTGTGCACCAAAGTAGCAGAGGCAGTCAAATGCCTCCCCCTGATGCTATGCAAGCCCTCGGGGCTGGGATGGCAGAGCCACTTTCCAGCAATCCCAGCCGAGAGCCTGGCAATACCACCTGGGCCAGATGTCCCCGAAACCGTGGAGATGCAAAGTGCCTTTCTGTGGTGAGCAGATGACTAGGTCGAGAAGAAGGAAAATAAAAATCCAAACAACCCCAAGACACAGATGCTGCCAGATGTACCTTAACTGCTTTGTTGAATTTGGTACAGAAATCTCTAAATATCTGAAAGCATTCATCCAGTTTCATGGTTTTTTTGTCTTCACAGAAAAAATCTATAAGGGTGTAGGCCTCATCCTGGAGCTCTTGTTTCCAGCATTCCAGTTCCCTCAGCTTTTCTATGGCAAACTGCGGAAAAACAAACGAACACACACTGAGGTAAACGTTGTCAGCTGAGGCGGCGCTGGGCACTGCATCCGGTGCCCAGAGAAGACGTGCTCTGGGGTTTCATTTCAGGTCTTGGAAAAGGAAGGTTTATTGCAAGGCCAATGCAATCAGAGCCAAAAGGAAAATAATTCAACCCAGAACAAACCTCGGGGAAAGCAAGGTGAAGTCCCGTGTGAGACCTAGACTAAGCAACAAGATAGATTTAAGAACTTTAACCTGCAGAACGTCACTAACAAAATGTTCACTTTTAATGTCACTGAAAAAAATTACACAGGTATACAACTGGTTTTTACCAAGGAAGATCCATTTTGCATCTGTTCTTCTTCCTCTTAAAATTGAGTCTTACACTGGTCAAGAGTTTACTTTAGGGTCCCTGAAGCTACTCGCTCTACTGATGCATTATCAATTTTGCCCCACTGAGAGGGTGTCTAAGCTTAATCCCAAATGAGCTCTGTGAGGGTCAGGGTCACCCCCACAGGACCAAAACCCTCGTGCCTAAACCCGGGGTGCTGATCCAAGTCAGCTGGGAAGCTTGGCAACAGGCCATGCCTGTATTCCTCCCGTTCGATTTCACAGGTTTGGGGTGGACCCAACACTAATATTTTCTGAAAGCACCACCCCAGGAGATTCTGATGGGTCCCAATGGCTAGGCATTACTGTCCTTTACAAAACCACCCTCTTTGCTTCTTCATTTTCTCCTAATTCTTCTAGGACAAATAAGTCTCTGAGGCCCCTGTGCATTCTGGTACTGCCTCAACACAGAGATGGGAAGAAAGGAAGCTTGTTTTCCTCCAATGATTTCCAAGGCCTTCAGCATGGAATCTGCCATGTCCAAGGGTCACACACACTTCCCCGATGGCAGTTCAGTGACAACATGGGGAGCTGCATGAGGAAGCAGTATGGTGCGGAGAAAAAGGGCTCCACAGCAGCCACAGCCCATGAGAATGAACATTTGGAATCACACTGAAGTCTTATGTTGAGACCTGCAGGGTCTCACTCCATTACCCAGGCTGGAGTACAATGGTGTGATCATGGCTCACTGCACCCTTGACCTCCTGGGCTCAAGCAATCCTCCCACCTCGGCCTCCTGAGTAGCAGGGACTATAGCTATGCACCACTACACCCAGTTAATATTTAAATATTTTGTAGAGACAGGGTTTCCCTATGTTTCCCAGGAAGGCCTCACGCCATCCTCCCACCTCAGCCTCCCTAAGTGCTGGGATTACAGGGGTAAGCCACTGAGCCTAGCCTATGTTGCTTCCTTGTTTACTGGGAAATAATGGTTATATGAAGAAGGAATGAATGAAGTATGTTACTTTATGAAATCACATGTATCATGTTTTTAAAAAAGGTTATATTTGAAAACATTTTTTGAGTGAAGTGGGGATGGGCTGGGAAATGGTAAAGCTAAAGTTGCCCACTTTGGAGGGGTAGAACTGCTGTTTGAACCTGTGTGGAGAGCTACAGAACCTACAGGGAAATTCTGTGAAGACGCCACCTATTACCCACTCCAACCCACTTTCCCCCTTAAAAGCCCTTCTCTTAAACCAAACACACTCAAGAGGTAGTAAGAAACGAAAACTATGTAGGAAACCAAATACCAGAGAAAGTAACCACCTGAGTCAGTAGCCCAAGGCAGTGTGTGCATTCATGCTGTATTTTTCTTTATGGAGGAATGGTATTAATGAAAGGATAAATCTTTGCCTGTCATTCTTCCACAGGGGGAAAGATGGATTCCAGCCAAGAACAGCTCAACTGCAGAAAAATAGGCCTCTTGACAAGAATCTACATGGGAGCTCAGCTCCACCTCGTATGTTTCATCTCTAGATCCTGTGGGGATTGACAGAGTACCAGGAAGGAAAATCTTAAACACACTGAAGTCACCCTTTGGACTTGGGAAAATGAAACATTCTGAATGTGGATCTGAACAGTAACCACACTTGAAGTTACCGGGCAGGAGTTCTACATGATTAGGGCCAGAAATGGAAAAGTTCAAAGCTACACTGGCAAAGCAAGAATGTCAACAGGTTAGCAGCTGTAGTGTCCAAGTCAACCTTACATCTCTAACTTGCCTGCTACACACTGAAGTTTCAAACAAGTTTACTCAGTATTTCTTACCCCAAGGGTGAAAATGCTGAAATAGATCTGCAAAAATGTGTTCCTGTTATTTTTCTGCTCTGAATCCTTGAAGAGTTCCCCACTTCTTATGGCATAGAGTTTGAGTCCAGCATTCAGACTGGTGTTCAGAGACCTGAGTGCCCTGACCCTGACCTACCTCGAAAAATTTTATCTCACCTATTCAAAAGGAAGTTGAATTTAAGAAAGAAAAGTATGCAGCTGTATGAAACGTTTTACTTATAGAGATAAAAATGACTGGGTTGGCGCAGTGGCTCATGCCTACAATCCCAGCACTTTGGGAGGTGGGCGGATCACGAGGTCAGGAGATTGAGACCATCCTGGCTAACACGGTGAAACCCCATCGCTACTAAAAATACAAAAAATTAGCCTGGTGTGGTGACATGCGCCTGTAGTCTCAGCTGCTCAGGAGGCTGAGGGAGGAGACTCACCTGAACCCAGGAGGTGGAGGTTGCAGTGAGCCGAGATCGTGCCACTGCACTCCAGCCTGGGTGACAGGGTGAGACTCTGTCTCGGGAAAAAAAAAAAAAAAAAAACGACTGCCAGAAAGAAGTGTAAAGGGTTAAAACAAGACTGACTATGAAAAGCAGTCCAGAGGTGAGGCTAAGTCAGAGCTGTTCTTCATCCTAAGCTTCTCTGTGTGAATATTGACTGAGATGGTAATAGTTAATATGAGAACTTGGAGGAATGAAACATCCAGAATTTTAGTCTTGATGTGCAATGGTCCTTATTCTTGATTTTCCGGATTTGTTTAATGCATTCGTTTACTGTTCAGTATTTTTGTGGTATTGGTGGTGGTGTTTGTAACAAGAAAATTAGTTTGGTTTTACTTGAAGGAAAATACAGAGCACATGTTTAATAATAAAAATAAACTCACAGCAGAGCCAAACAAAATCAAGCATCCGCCGAAGGCCATAATATTTTGAAGGAGCTGAATTAAGAAGCGAAGGCTTCAGCTGGCACAACCTCAGGAGCACACTGTTCCTCCCCAGTGCCAAGGGCAGCCCTGCTACATGATTCCACCTCACAGGTCTCAAAACACTAACAACACTTCAGGTAGCATAGCCTTTCGCTGAAGACTAAAAGCATGAGATGGTGCCTTTTTTTTTTTTTTTAATAAGGAAGATAAAAGAAGTATGTCAGACTATGCGATTAGTGAGTCACAGTGAGCTGTCACAAACATGTCCACTCTGCTGTTTTTTGTTGATGTTATTTGGAGCAGCTCCCGACACACCCTGTGGGCCCTGCGTACTCCTGGTGTTGACGGGCACAGCTCTCATGTGTTCTGCTGCTCTCATTATAAAACATGCCAAAACGCAGCTTGTTTCTTCAACATAAACAAGTGAAGAAATGACAGCCCAAGTTCTAAGGCATCTTGATTTCTGTGGAACTTTGTTCTGTTATCCGAAAGTTTAACTGGTTTAGAAACAAAACTTGAGTTGCCAGGTATAGCCCAAGTGCAACTCCATGGCTGATACCAGTTCACCACAGTAAACTGCAATCGTGCAAACTGAGCAGTGAACAACAGGAGCCTCGCAGAAGCACTGTCCCTAAACAAATACATCAGGCTTGGGCTGGGCGCGGTGGCTCACACCTGTAATCCCAGCACTTTGGGAGGCCCAGTGAGTGCGGATCACCTGAGGTCGGGAGTTTGAGAGCAGCCTGGCCAACATGGCAAAACCGCGTCTCTACTGAAAAAATACAAAAATTAGCCAGGTGTGGTGGTGCATGCCTGTAGCCCCCAGCTACTCGGGAGGCTGAGGCAGGAGAATTGCTTGAACTAGGGAGGCGGAGGTTGCAGTTTGCCGAGATCGCACCATTATACTCCAGCCTGGGTGACAGAGCAAGACTCCCTCTCAAGACAAACAAACAAACAAGTCAAACAAACGAAGAGACAAAAAAAAAAAATATATCAGGCTTAGATCACATTTAACATCCTCTGCAAAGAATGGGCATGGAAATACCAAGTTCCTCTGACTAACTTGGAGAAAAAAAATATGAATGGGAACTGCTGCTTCCACAAATACACCCATGCAAATTTAACCAGCCCCGGGGTGCTGCTGGGAGATGAGATTAGAGGGACTGACTTGAGTCACCTACAAACCTGAAGAAAATCTTCCATCTGCTGACAAAGTTCACCATCCCGCTGGATGTTTTCTTTTAGTGATTTTGTCCTGACAAACAGCAAGTGCAGTTCTGCCTCCGTGTTCTCCAGAGATAATCTAAAAGAAGAAAGGGGAGAGTGGGCAGTTGGAACAAGGAAGCCATGTGTCATGTAGGTATATTAAATAAGACTAACTGTTGTTCAACCTTGGAAACAGAAGGGGAGAGCTACTGTGATGATATTTATCTACCCCTGTATTTAGATCTTTTGTGTTTCCTCCTGTTTTAAGAAGTGATTCGTTTCTAAAGACATATACTGGTTCAAAGAGAGCAGGTTGTAACTGTACTCTTGATGGTAAGATAAACAAAACCATGGGATCTGCAAACGTTTTCATAAACTAGCTCTGAACACCTTTATGCAATAAGCATTACAAACTAAATGCCAGCGGCTTCCGGGATTCATATGCTTTCCATGGGCCACTAAACACAAATAGGAAACTCTAACCCACAAGAAGCAAGGCAATATATGTTGATAATTCTAACACTAAGGGTAACAGTGAGAAAATAGCAGATTCCATGAAAATAGCAGATTCCACAGGTGGCCAGAGCAGGCTTTCTATATTTTACAGAGAACTAAAACATAGCTAACAAATGTGCAACTTTTTTTTTTTTGAGACACAATCTCCCTCTGTCACTCAGGCTGGATTGCAGTGGCCTGATCTTGGCTCACTGCAACCTCTGCCTCCTGGGTTCAAGCAATTCTCATGCCTCAGCCTCCAGAGTAGTTGGGATTATAGGCATGTGCCATCATGCCCAGCTTAATTTTTGTATTTTTAGTGGAGACGGGGTTTCGCCATGTTGGCCAGGCTGGTCTAGAACCCCTGAGCTCAAATGATCTGCCCACCTCAGCCTCCCAAAGTGCTAGGATTACAGGTGTGAGCCACCAGGCCCAGCTGATTTTTATTATTATTATTATTTAAAGAGACAGTCTCACTCTGTTGCCCAAGCTGAAGAGCAGTGGCAAGATCATGGCTCACTGCAGCACTGACCTCCTGGGCTCAGGTGATCCTCTCACCACAGCCTTCCAAGTAATTGGGATCACAGGTGTGCGCCACCACACCCAGCTAATTTTTAAATTTTTTGTAGAGACAGGGTCTTACTATGTTGCCCAGACTGGTCTCAAACTACTGGTCTCAAGCAGTCTTCCTGCCTTGGCCTCCCAAAGTGCTGGGATCACAGGCATGAGCCACCACAGCCAGCCCTAATTCTGCAAATTAACAGTTGGATTGATTGCAATGCTTTTGTTATATACATCAAATCAAGATAGGCAGAATGTGGGCCTGGCATGGTAGCTCAGGCCTGTAATCCCAGCACTTTGAGAGGGTGGGGCGGGCAGATCACCTAAGGTCAGAAGTTCGAGACCAGCCTGGCCAGTATGGTGAAACCCTGTCTCTACTAAAAATACAAAAAAATTAACTGGGCATGGTGGCGGGTGCCTGTAGTCCCAGCTACTTGGGAGGCCGATGCAGGAGAATCACTTGAACCCAGGAGGCAGAGATTACAATGAGCCAAGATTGCACCACTGAACTCCAGCCTGGGTGACACAGCGAGGCTCTATCTCAAAAAAAACAAAAGATAGGCAGAATGTGAATGATGGTTTTGTTACCCAGAAAACTGAGTAGGCGAAACCTAAAATGCATGTGAAATTCATAAATTAGGATGCATTCATGCTTCCATTGTCAATTCAAATGTTTCTTTGTGCAATAAAGTTTTCCACCTTCACTGGTCACCGGCACATATCTGAGACCTGTTTGTATTTCCCAAGTGTATTTCACCTTCCATTTCAAATAAACAAGCTTGCTGAATAGGATTTTTCTAAGACAATATCTAGCTCCAATCCAGCTCTGACCAGAAACGCCATTTCAAAAATATAATGCTAATTTCTATCTATATATCTCTTAGGAATATTTTTATACTAATTACAGTAAAAATGTTCCCACACAAATTTCTTTCAGTAAGTCAAAAGTTCCTATCTTATAAGATGTCCATTCTTTTTAGAGAACAATCTAGAGATCTGTAAACATGAATTATAAACTGTTTACACCTCTGAACTGATAATCCCACTTTGGGAAAGACATGTAATCTGTGGCTAGATATTCATAGAATCAGTAACTTTTGAGGTACAGGCCAGTGGCAGGGCTGTGAGCTATGGTTCATTTATTTATATGCATATGGTTCACAGATGTCATAGTTGGATACACTCAGTAAGTATATGCTAGGAACTGGCTTGACACATGAGCGGTGGCTGAACCTGCTCATGAGAACCAACTGTGGGTGTCTCTTCCTAATTTGCATTCAGTAATGTATGTCAGCAGCTTGACATCAGCCATGGTTACGGTATTTACAACACGGAAATCAGCAAATGCTACAAATCAGGACTTTTTTCTCCAACAGCTGGTTATTGAACATTTACCGTGGGATGTGTGGATGTAATATAAATTTTAAAACACATATACAAAAGTCAAAATAGTATATACACACAGAGTCTAGCTACATTAAGATACATATCTACATTAGGATCAGAAGCAAATTAGAGTGATGTAATTAGAGCCTTATGTTTGGCAGATACTTTCTCTGTATGTGCCTTTCTCTGTGAGTGACTAATTTAAAGTAAAATCATTTCACAGCTCTTGGTACGGTTACAAACTCTTTTAATGCAAAGGAAAATAAATGTACCATGTTAGATTCTACAAGGAAACAGTGAAATGTGGCCATGAAAGTTTGATTGATATATACCAACTCCCAAGGAAATAGGTGGTGCTGTTTAAGCTCTATCTCTTGGGCGTGGAGGGATTTGAAATTATTAATCCATATTTTTTATACTGATGATATTCATTAGAATAGACTGAAATAGTTTCTTTAGTTTACAAATAAAGATTAATTTTTCAAAACCCCCAAATTCCAAAGGTGCACACACACCTGTGTTAAGCAAATGAAGGACAGTCTGAAAGTTCAATGAAACAAAACCTTTTAGACTTCAAACTGGAATCTAAAAGTTTTAACTATTTATCAGTTTTCATAAAAAGGTAAAGAATCTTGAATTCTCACAATTCACTTGCTCACCTAGCAGTCTTCTGAACATGATGCAATTTTTCTGAAAAGTTTAGAAGAATGGTATCTTTCTTTTGGGCTTCCTGGAACAAAAACAGAATTTTATCTCACTATGTTGATAAAACTGGAAGGAAATAATTTTCTTAGGGCTTAAAGGAATCTTAAAATCACTGCTCCTGTTTTTAAACTTGACACATTCAAAGCATTTCACTGAGACATGAACTCTGATACTCTTAGTAAGATTTGCTAGAACTCTCCTACTCTCAAGATACATTTACCTTTCCAGAGCAATTGATCTTGACACAAAATACAATTAATGAGCATTTGGCTGCAGCTCAGCAGGGCCCCTTGTTTCTGAAAGAATCCAATATATCCTGCTTAAATACCACCCATACCTGTGAGCATGCCTTTAAATGAGCGAGATACCTTCAGCTGTTAAACCAGTTTGCAAACAGAGTTTAATCAGAAGGTACAGGAGCCATGGCAGTGTTTGGATTCTTCACCTGTTCAGGAGGTGAGAGGAAGGCAAGTGGGAAGGAAGCAATGACTGACCCAGGAGGCTTCGCCACATGGACAGAGACCAAGTTACCCAGAGGGCCTGGACACTTGGATTCAGGAGAGCTTTGCCCGAATACTATCCACGACCCTTGCTGGGCAAGGAACACATTTTCTTCTTTTAATGCCTGAAAATTAACCTTTCAATTAAGTCCCAAGCTAAACATGGCCCTTTGTCTTCTGAAGAATATAGTAATAATAGTGTGTATGGTTATTTATGGAGAGCTCACCATAGGCCAAACATTGAGATAAGCACTTTATGGAGTCAGCTCCTTCAGCACTCTCAATTACCTAGTTTTGGGGTAAGTTATCACTACTCTCACCATTAGATGAAGAAATTGAGGGTCTTCAGGTTTAAATAACTTGCCTGAGGAAGTAGAGCTAGCAAAGGACAGTCAAAATCTCCCAGTCCTGTCCTGTTCTGAAGCTCACATTCAAAACAAGACTGCACCACGGCTTCCTCCCCAGGTTAAAGCTACGACTACAGCACTGATGTCAAAACAACTGAGTGATTCAATGGAGGAAAAGCCAATCAGTTCCATTAGCTGAGATCATTTCAAAACAAAGATATAACTGTCCTTGATTTTCCACTTTGTTCCTCACTTTTTTGGTGTTATAGAGATCCAGTCAAAAAAAAAAAAAAAAAAAAAAAAAAAAAAAAAACAAAGCAATGGATAGGATCAGACTCCAAACCCTGTGCTAGCAGCATGGTGCTCAAATGCATGGTTCACGGAGAAAGACAGAAGTGACCTTTCTACACATAACTGGTCACAAATCTAGTCAATTCCACATCAGAAAATTTCAATCCTCCATCCTCTATTCTCTGTCCCTATGACCATTACCCTCCCCCTCAACGCTCACCAAACAATTACAGCCAACTTCTGCGGAGGTGTATTCCTATTTCTAGTTCTTTCTCTACTCTAACCCAGCCTCCACAGTGCCTTATTTGCCTAAAAACAAAAACAAAAGAGATCCAGTCAAGCTATTACACTGTGCACAAACTCCTGTTGGTTCCCCACTGCTAAAGCATGAAATCCAAATTCCCCACCTTTGACACTTAAATCCTTCATAGCTGGCTTCACCAGCCTCTCTGCTTCACTCTCCCACTTCCCTTCAGCCCTATAGCCCTGGGTGCAGTACAACTCAGGAATCTGCTAATGGCGCTTCTACAAACAGAACCATCTTGGAACTTGCCATGCCCTTTCCTAACCCTGCTGGACACCATCTTATGCCTGGGAAAAACTTCACTGCCTCCAAGGGGTATTCATATGCGTTCTCTAAGTCCTAATCATTTCCACATACCTGTGCAACAAAGTGCAGGAGATTCATCCCAGGTTTGTTTGCTTTTGTGTCTGCCAATTTGAGCAAAGAAGACAGTTTAAATCCTACTGCATTGCCGGCATACCCTCCCTAAAGAAGACAAATCAAAAAGAAAAAATTATGTATACATACACACACACACACACACACACACACACACACACACACACACCTTTAGATAGACAAGGTTGAAAACATAACATTACAATTGTTTTGGATTTTACTTACTGCATTCATGATATTCCCAGCCTGGAGCACCAAGTGTAATATTGAATGTAGCTCTTCACATGACATCAGTTCTATCAAAAAGAACACATCACAGCACCTTAGAGATGCCTTCAGTTTCAAATGCACAAAAGACAGCTACCACATCCAAGTTCAAGTGTATCTGAAGCAAACTGTGACCTTAAACTGTATATAAAACGGAAAAAACAAACAAAGCAATACATTCTATGGGATACCTAACACATCATTTGCTACCGGCAATCCGTGTCATAGTGTTTACTTGGAAATCAAATAGGTATGATAGTTAAATAGCACAAAATAGTTCAATAATAAAAATTTTCAATTAGTGAAAAATGCAAAAGCCTAATGCAAAGCAGTATCCCGTGAGATAGGAGTTAACTTCCTTCTCAGCAGTTATTTAATTTTTCCTTGTATATCCACTACTCTTTGAGTATGCAGTCTCAAAGAGACCGCATTTATGGAATATGAAAACTAACAGCAAGCAACGTTTTGCTTAGTCAATGAGTTATGAAGAGATAAAAAATAAACAAGCTGGGAGAACATGTAAATAACTTGCAAAGCACAAACCGCGAGGGCCCAGGCATCCAGGGAATCTTTTCATTTTATTCAAAGCCACACATTTCATTTGGATTGGCTGAAAGTTTTAGAAAGAAACTTATCATTGTAATATATTGGTAAACTAGTTCTTTATTAACACCAAATCCTTTGTACACCCATGCAAAGAAACAAAATTTAAAATTTTTAATACATTTAGAAAGGTAAAAAGAAAACTTATTAAAATTATACTATCAAATAATAAAATGTCACTGACATTTTTAAGTTAATATTCTCCATTAAGTCTGGTAATACTTTCAAAAAATTACAGTTGGATCACTGCCTATATTGTGTTATCTAAGAAGGCCAGTTTTGGAAGGATGACCAGATAAGAAATGTTTCTACCATGCCCACAAGTTTGCATTGCTCAATATAAAAACACATTCTTCCAGAACAAACCTTCCAAAGTCGCTGCAATAGTGTGTATGGAAAAAAAGTTTAAAGGCCTCTATGTTGAAATTTTTAAAAATCTTTTTCCTTCTTAGTCTCCTCTCTAAAATGAAGAAAATACGATGGACCAAAGAGAAAAATTTTATCTCAAAACAGGCCAGAGCAAGTAAACAGGAAAACCAAATAGGAATAAACAATTCTAAAACAATAACTAGAAATCCAGAAAATGACCAAAAGGAAATCAGGCTGGCACTGACGCATGCTGAAAAGTGTGAAGGTCAGGGAGGGCCAGAGAATATGGCCCCGAGCTGAAAAGAAGCCAGCTGCAACTCCGCCGGGATTCTCAGTGCCAAGATGCCAGAAACCAAAGCTCCCACCCCTCCGGAAGGAGACGGCAGGGCAGCTCTGAGAAGAGGCTATCCAAGCTGGGCAGGCAAGAATTTAAAGAGTTTTTCAAATAAATGAAAATGGCCTATCTGCCCCTCTCAAATTTAAATAGCTCAGCAGAAATTGGAGTATGGAGGAGTGGGAGACGACACCACAGAACAGAAACGTCAGGAACCCTGGCAGAAGAGTCACACGGTTGACCCCAGGAAAAGAGGTCTGCTTCTGGAAAGGCTGGGTCCCAGCCACCAAGAGGCCACGACAGGGAGGAGAGAGGCAGCTGGGCCAGGGGCCCGGGCTTTGTGTACGTGCACAGCCCACACCACACATGCACACACCACATACCAACATACACAGAGAAAGCTCATCCAGGAGAGAAACAAGAGCAAGCCGTAACCAGCAAGGTTGACTCTGAAGCCTGAGATGAAAGAAATTCCCTTCTGTGGGAGGGTAATATGTAAATTAACATTCATTACAGGGGAAAAATGTCAATGGAAATCAACCTTAAGTGCATCCCTAGTAACATCTCATTTCCCTTTTAAGGGTATATCAGAAATTCAGGACTTTCCATGTCCAATTTCATTTGGCTTTTTTAAAAAACTGCTATCGAAATTAATAAAAACAAATTCTGCGAAGGATCATATGTTGACTCACCTTTTATAGCAGTTCTTAAAACTGTTATATCTGTATATAGAGAAGAGCAAGAAGGTAGAAATTCCTTCTTTAGCACCATGGCTTCAATCCGAAGTGAATAGCTGAAAAATAAAAAAGTAAAACTGTAGAATTTGATGTCATTAGTTTAAAAATCTTACTGCGTGAAGAATAATAACCAGCGACTGTATCCTTACTTTGGCACCTGAATTAAGCCATACAGAAAGGAATCTGCCAGAGACAGCTTCGACACGTCGCCACTAAACGCTTTTAACTTCTTTACCTAAAAGACAAATGGAAAGGGGGGGTATATAAAATCACTTACGAATACAATTTAAGATTATTTAAATTTCATCTTCCAATTCTTCTAAAAAAATAGGATTTTAGTGCTAAATTCAAATTAATTTAGAAAAGACAAAAAAGGAAATCCTCCCATCTGCTATTTGGTTTTTTTAAAAGAAAAATACAAACTCACAAATTTGAAAGCAAAGAGCTAGCGTCACTTATGTAGCTATAGATACACAGTCTCGTGTAAACTGGAGAGCTGGAGCCAGCAGAATCCTCAGGAAGGTTACAAAAGGGAGGGACTAAAAAGGAATCAGTTCTAAGGATGAAAATTTTCTGTAAGCAATAATCTGGAAATGAGATCATTGGGAGAAGAAATAAAAGACTGTAGAGTCATTATAATATGGTTCTTTAAGTCATAAACGGAAAAAAATCTTATTTTGAGTATTTTGTATATAAAATACTTAGACTGAGTAAGATCTAACACAGATTTTCTTTCAGTGGTCAAATCCCACTTCACATACAATAGCTTTAAAGGAAGAGTCTATTGTGTCTTCAGGTGAGTACGCATCTGCTCTTCAGCAGGAAGACAAATAGGAAAATTGCTTAAACAACGGGACGTTAAGATTGCCCCCAGGGACCCTGGCAGAAGAGTTGTACTGTGGATGCCTGGAAAGGAGGTCAGCTTCTGGAAAAGCGGGGTTCCAGCCTGAAAAGACTAGGCAATAAAATAGTATGTACACTAGGATGTACATACTATATGTACATCTATTTCTATAAATTTTTTTAAAAGGTATCTATTAACCTCCAATCCTCCCATGCACACACCTACATACACAGGAAAAAGATGAAAAAGCCCCACATCTCCAGGTAGTGACTCATGCCTGTAATCTCAGCTTTTTGGGAGGCCAAGGCAGAAGGATCACTTGAGGCCAGGAGTTCAAGACTAGCCTGGGCAACATAGGGAAGCCCCTCCCCCAAAAAGCCCCACATACACTAGGTGATAGGATTACAGTTGTCTGCTATTTTCTTCTGTTGCTCATTTTTATTTTCTAAGATATCTACAATGAACATGATCACTCTTTAAAAAATAAACTAAACTAAGTTTTTAAACACACAAACAATTATTCCTTCACCCGTAATACAGGAAAAAGAGAAGAGTTCTGACAACAGGTATATAGCCAAAAAGCAAATAGGTGAGAGTGGAGATGAAAGGAAAGTTTTCAAACAACATTAGATCACAAATCATGCCTTCCCCACACAGAACACTGGGCCATTCCCATGGCAAAACCACTTCTAAGTCCACTGTTTAAATAGAGAGTCATCCAACAAAATTCTTTATGGTAAGTAGTACCTTAATACTATTAGTGAAGTGTACAGCCTATCTTTGCAGCTAACTGTTGCCAGTAAGTAGCTAACACTTCATATTATTCTTTATAAAGCTTATTATCTTCCACTCCCTTGGTTATGATTAATAACGTGATTTTAAGTTCCTTGCAAAATAGGAAATGACAGTTCAAAAATATAAAGAAAGGAGTATTTGCAAAGATCCACAAAGTGAAACATCTACCTCAATTATTTGAAAATATAAAATGTAACACTTCGAGTTCACACCCTAGTATTAAGTCTGACTCTTAAGACTATTTTCTTCTTTTAGGACAGAAAATAGCCATTTATATAATTGCATTTCCCTTACTGGTAGAGCCTCAAAGTGAATTGACCATTTTTAGCCTTATTAAATTTAAGGGCACATGGCACTTCTGGTTTAGCTAAGCCCAAATCAGTCCCTGGCTTCTGTGCTGAGAAACCTACACGATGAATTCTAATCCCTTCTGAGCTAGAGTTGAACAATTCACTATATATGGGCAGGGGCAGAGGGAAGTTGTATAAGACCATATATGTAGCATGTGTGAAACCTCTGAAAATCACAGCATGGTTTTCAGTCTAAAGTGTAAGAACAGGTCATGCTAAGTAAACTCGGTAAATGTTTCTATTAAACATGTGCTAAACTGTAACTGAACAATGATTAATCTCCTTCACTTATGTAAAAAGCTAAAAAAAATGTATGGATTTCAAGAGAAGGGTGATGGAAAGACCGTATTTAATTTAAATGCCATGTATACAGTTCTTTGTTCAATTTCAAGATGAGATTTATGTTCTTTAAGAGGGATTATTGTATCTTCACAGCGGCAGGGAAGTAAAAAAGAAAGGTGAACAGACCCTATAATTATTATGCATTCTCATTACCAAAAAAAACATTGATTAAACATGGTTAGGCATAACTTTGTGGGCTGAGCCAAGAGACACTCATTATGGCCCTGGTTGTGCCTGGTTGCTGTCCTAACAGTGAGAGCAGGCTCCTTGAGACTCTCACACTCCAAAGGGCACACCTCCTTCATCCTATCTAATTCCAGTCACATGGCTTGAAATGGCAGGATTTCCCACAAACACACCCACCCAACAGAAGACCCATGGGCTTCCTGTCATTCCCTTCCCAGCAGCAGAGTCAACCAAGAAGGTGGGAAAGAGATACTACAAATGTCCAGCAGAGGCAACTCAAACTGCTTCAGGAGAACAGAAAGTTTCTACCACGTCTAGCACCAGCCCACAACAGAGGAAGGGCTGGTCAGGCGTGGTGGGGGTGTTCCCTGGCTTGGGAACTCCGTGCTGGACAAGAACACACTCCCAGAGTTTCATTTCTGGGCCCACCTTCTTCCTCTGCAAGTGTGAACCTCTATTAGAGGAAAGATGAACAAACATGCCAGATAAAAGATTTGTGGTAGAGGGCAGAGAAATTCTCAACAACGAATTAACCTTGGCTTTGGTCGGCTTGTCAGCTGAGAAGGCAGGAGAGAAAAGGGCTGTTTCCGTTTATATCTTTCAGCATGCTGATAAGATTACAGTATTATTCAAGTGACACTTATTCACACCAGTACTTTGTGATAGCAGAGGTGATGAAAAGGCTGGCAGGCCAGCAGCGCGAGGCGGGGTTTTGACAACCTTTGCCCTTCCTTCCTCCAAGGCAGGCAGTGGAGTGCAGCAGAACCACACTGGGCTCAGCGGAATCAGGGCTCAAGTCCACCCCGCTGCTGTATCACTCAGCAATCATGTGACACCAGACAAGGTATAACTAACCTGTGTGAGCCTCAGTTTCTCATTTGTAAAACAAGGAGTGTCTTAAAACATTGCTGCAAGGATTAAATGAAAAATACACAAAAGAATCATAGCTATGATTGATTTTTTTATGTGCCAGGCACTAGGCTCAGTCACTTCATTCTGCCCTGTCCAGTCAGTGCCTGGTACATGGGGGCACTCAATAAAGGTTTAGTCCTTACTTGTGCTAAAAATGAGCACAGAGCGTTACACATAGGCTGAGAGCCACGTGGTAATGTGTCCACTTACGAATTTATTAGCATATTTCTGCCACATTCCTAAACCTCTCTTATTTGGCCCTGTCTCCTCCTTGGCCTCTTCCGCATCCTCCAACCTCCATCCAGAGACCCAAAGACTCCAGGGTTGGCCCTGGGTCTGACTGGTGCCAGGGGACACAAAAAAGTTTGTCCTTACAGTGGGCAGCAGTCAGGGAGCGGCTTCGGCTTTCCCCGAGACCCCCTCCCACAGCACAGATACCCGGGAGGGTTTAGGAAGGGGCTCCTGCCGGCTCTGGGGACTGTCAGGGTGTTCCTGCTGAAGGAAACTCCCAGTTGAGTTTGGAGGGTGTGGTGAGCTGAAGCTCAGAGTCAGTAATGTAAACAAGGAGGCGAAGTGTGACCAAGCACGCCAGATATTCAGACTGAGGATGACCCCGCAGCAGGAGGTTGTGGGGAGAAACAGCTGCTGCCTGGTTCAGTGGCTGGGAAGGCACTTCAGGGTCCCAGGCCAATACTTTCATTTCAGCAGGACCCCATCTCCCGGGTTAGCTAACTGGGGGTGACAGAGTCTCGGGGATTCAAGGCAGTGCCTGGATGGGTTTTCATCACTTTGCCCTCAACAGTCTTCCTTTTGAATTATACCCCCACACAACCCAAAAATACAAAGTTCTTTTAAATATGAGGTTTGACAGCTTACTTGCTTCTTTGAAAAATCCCTTTGCATTTTCTAATCACCTTTGAATTTTAAATGAGAAATGAAGATATTAAGAAAATTGTATTCAGTTTCCCACCTCACCACTGCATGAAGCTGAGCTGGCAGCCTCCCTTGTGCCTAACTTTGATTTAGTTAGCAATTTAAAGCTTTTCAGAGCACTTTCACATGCGCTGTCAAATCTGATCCTCACTTAACAACACGATGAGGTCAATTAGGAGTGGGTATAGAGAGGTCCTAAAGGAGGCCTGAAAACAGCCCAAGCAGGAATAAGGTTTCAAGAGCAAGTACATCATTTTAAAACTCAAATTAATTAAAAACTATCTATCCTAACAAAGATTTTGGAACTCCTATCCTTTACAGAAAAGATTAAGGACTGTTCAGTATGTACAATCCAGGGTAAATTATGATTTAATGTGCCCTTCCTTTAAGACTTCAAGACTCTACTACTAACATTAATAACTGCTGCTAATTAATCTTGGCTTGGGTTAATTACACTTAATGTGCAAAGAGAAAACCTGAGGGAGAGAGAGCGGCCAGGTTGATAGGAACACCTAGATATAACTAGATCTCCTGACACTAAAGTAAAGCTACATACATTATGTCTGGGAAGAAGAGTGGGAAAGGGGAGGGAGAAGTCAGAAGTGCCTGTGAAAAGGATAACATATTAAAAAGTCACCCTTACTTTTTACTTATAAAGTTGGCCAGGTGCAGTGGCTCATGCCTGTAATCCCAGCACTTTGGGAGGCCAAGGCGGGTGAATAACTTGATGTCAAGAGTTCAAGACCAGCCTGAACAACATGGTGAAATCCCATCTCTAACAAAAGTTAGGCGGGGCGTGGTGGCATGCACCTGTAATCCCAGCTACTTGGGAAGCTGAGGCAGGAGAATCGCTTGAATCCGGGAGGTGGAGGTTGCAGCGAGCTGAGATCACTGCACTCCAGCCTGGGCGACAGAGCAAGACTGTCTCAAAAAAAGAAAGTCATCTATTACTTTTACTTATAAAGTAAAAAACTTTGTAAGAATCTATATTATTTAGGTATCTATAAGCATAGGTATTTGTGTAATTTCTTACTGAAATTTTTCAAGGAATTTTTTCCTTAGAAATAAAGGACAATATCAAAATTTTGGAAGGTTTTATACAACTGTTTTTCTGGGTTTTTTTTCTATCAAGCTCCTAACCATTCAACAATGCAGTTAACTCATTCAGTCCAAGCAAAATAAATAACTTTATATCATGGTAGTATGTATTACTATCACAACAATTTCCACCTTTGAGTTAATTATGTAGACAAGATTTTATTAACAGTTTACCTACCTCCCCAAAATTTTAGAGCATCTTTATTCAAAAATGATTGTTTTCATCTTTTTTTTTAAAAAAAGTATATGGATTATAAAATAACCTGGGTTTATACTATGCAAAGGTCATGTTTAGATGATAGAAAAGGAATCCTGTTCTTTGGATGATGAGAATTTATTGAGCTCCCACGTGCCAAGTGCCATGTTAGATGCATTAACTAGGATTTCATCATCTTGACAATCCAATGAGGTCAGCATCATTATCCTCCCTTTACAGGTGAGGAAACTAAAGTTCACAGGAGTTAAGAACCTTGCCCCATTTTCTCAGTTAAGGGAATAGCTCAAATCTGAATCTAGATTCTCTGACTCCATAATCCATGCTTTTTCTACCAGGTCACTTTTTACTTTTATGTGAGAAAACTCTGGCTCTGGGTAGGAGAGTGCCCTTCCCATGTGAGCATGTGAGCTTTTTTTCTTTCTTTCTTTTTTTTTTAGAGACAGATTCTCACTCTGTTGCCCAGGCTGAAGTGCAGTGACATGATCTTGGCTCACTGCAAACTCCGCCTTCCTGGTTCAGGCAATTGTCATACCCCAGCCTCCTGAGTAGCTGGGATTACAGGTGCCTGCCACCACACCGGGCTAATTTTTGCATTTTTGGCAGAGACAGAGTTCCATCATGTTGGCCAGACTGGTCTCAAACTCCTGACCTCAGGTGATTCATCTGCCTCTGCCTCCCAAAGTGCTGGGATTACAGGTGTGAGCCACTGCTCCTGGCCTTCCATGTGAGCTTTGACACACTTAAAAATATTAAGCTTTTATGATCACTCCTAACATCTACAACTCATGCGCTGAATTTCTTACCTCTTCTGACTCTGGCAAAAACTTAAGAAATTCTCGCAAGGTCTCTGATCCATAATGCTCACTTTTTCCTTGATGAATATCTTCTACAATGGACCGAGGAGACCTTGAAAAGACAATGAATCACATTCCATTTCACGTTTGCTGGAGTGCCAACAGAGGTGCAAGCCAGTGGAAATTAAATCTCCTCCACCCTCCTTCCCACCCACCTCCTTCCCAGACTGGCTGGCAGTTTTGTGTGAGTGCTCATAACAGCCCCACTGCCTCAAAACAGGGAACCCAACACTCCACTCAAGGGCCCTTCACCCAGAGCACCATCCTTGGGCATCCCAAAAAGGCTGAAAGCAGCAACAACCACTGGGAGTCTCTTTTGTTGTGAGAAAAATAATCCTCTTTGGTCTCACTGAAACCCCTGCACAACCTTCTCCTTATACTTCAGAACACAAAACTCTGACCGCTATTTGACTCATCAGTCCAACCTCCACTGAAGGGGCAACACTAAAGGTGACTCTGAAGGTGTCCCTGATGGGACAGGCTTGAATGGATGCCCTGGGGCAATTCTCCATATACTTCAAGCCACTATGTTATGTTTCCCTGAAGAAAAACAGCAGAAAGTGACAGTCACTTGCAGGCTCATCAAGCCATGCGTCTAAGAAGGATTTGAAGGTGTGAGGAATTTGAATTCCAGCTCAGTCACACCCACAGACTTTGATGCTGACAGCAGGGATATGACTAAAGTTTCAAATGTGTGCAAAATCTTACTTCTTAAATTGCTTAAGAAATATCCCAATGTTCATGCTCCGTTTTGCATCCAAAATAGTAATCTGGAAAAAAAAATAAGGACACATAGGATTACTAAATTCAAATAAAAAGAGATGGAGAAAGAAGATAATTAAAACCGATCAAAATGCAACACTAATTTATCAGAGAATAATTCCCAATGTATAAATCTGGTGATTAACAGATATTCCTAACATAGTTTTACAAATATTAAAAGATTATCATCTCCCCAAACTTTCTACAGTGGTATTATATTTCCTTAAATGTAATAATAACACATACCTACTTTAATATTATATAACTTTTAATATACAGATGGTCCCGACCTATGATGGTTCAACTTATGATTTTTCAAGTTTACTATGAGTTTAGTGGGATATGAAATGCATTTTCTTTCTTTTTTTTTTTGGAGACAGAGTCTCGCTCCGTTGCCCAGGCTGGAGTGCAGTGGCACCATCTTGGCTCACTGCAACCTCTGCCTACCGGGTTCAAGTGATTCTCCTGCCTCAGCCTCCCGAGGGCAGCTGGGACTACAGGCATGCACCACTATGCCCGGCTAAATTTTGTATGTTTTGTAGAGATGGAGTTTCACCATGTTGTCCAGGCTGGTCTTGAACTGTTGACCTCAAGTGATCCACCTGCCTCGGCCTCTCAAAGTGCTGGGATTACAGCCATGAGTCACTGTGCCCAGCCACATTTTCAACTTAGAATATTTTTGACTTAACAAATGGGTTTTTAGGATGCAGCCCCATCGTAAGTTGAGAAGTATCTGTAAAGTCAGTCATCCTTTAGTATCACAGGGGATTAGTTCCAGGACCCCTGGGGATACCAAAATCTAACGATGCTCAAGTCTTACATAAAATTGCATAGTATTTTGCATATAATCTATGCACAACCTCCTGCATACTTTAAACCATCTCTAGATTACTTGTAATACCTAAGACAATGTAAATTATGTTATGTAAGGGGTTGTTATACTGTATTTTTAAATTTGTATTATTTTTTATTGTTGTATTGTTATTTTCTACTTTTTTCTGAATATTTTTGATTCATGGTTGGTTGAATTTGAGGATGCAAAATCTGCAGTCATGGAGGGAGGACTGTAAATATACACTTTAAATGTTTTAAATTTAGCAATTTCCTCTTAGAATAATATCACCCACATTTAAAAGCCCCAATTTAGAAATGGATGTCTTGGCCTAACAAGAATCGCGTGAGATTTGAACTGAGAAAATAAAAAACAACTCTGAAGATAAGGCAGATTGAGTCCCAACCCTGATTTATGGACGTAAAAGAACCAATAAAGTCATATTTCGGAAACATCATTAAATTTTTTTCTAAAAGAAAAATTTCATTTCATTCAAAAAGTTTACATATGTCCAACAGACCTTTTAGGAGGGTGTAAGGTAGTGTCCTACATTTTGTTTACTCACAATTTTAAAACGAAAAATCTTGTGCTGTATACATTTCACCAAGGATAAGATACTTTTTTGTTTGTTTGTTTGTTTGTTTTTGCATTTTTCTGATCTCTGGAATCAGGATGTGCCTTACAATACATGGCATCTTTTTATTTAATGAAATATGGGATAGCTATTCTGTCAAAACCCAGATTGAGCTGTAGCAGGTTTTCACTGATCAAAATTTCAGGTGGCTTTATCAGACTAGAAATGAGAACTTTTTTTGGCTGTTAAATACAGAAGCCATTTCTGTCTCTGGATGTAAACATCCCGGCTGCGTGGAGGAAAGATAACCTGAAAACTGCTGCAGTTTTTTCCCGTTTGTTTTTTGGTAACGGGAGACTAGCTAAAATAGGAATGTTGTTATAATGCTCTTCCTTTCCAAATGTATGTGATTCACTGTGAACAAAAGAGAATCAGGTTTCAGGCTAAATTCCTGATCTCTGGGTCTGCTTCTGAGTTGATAACCAGCAGCGAGACTGTTAACCAACGTTAATGTCACTTCCTGGCTATAAGGTTAAATTTTTACAAGAGTATGGTTGCCTTCTTTTGAAGACTAATCTTTAACAGTCACATTATTTACTAACCTAGGGGTTTATTTCATGTTAACACAATCACCTGCCAGCCATAAGGTAAAAACTCCCAAGCTGAAAGGGCGGCCTCCTTATTGGAATCCTATCTGGGGACTGCAGTTCAAGTTCAGTGTAAAGGGAGGAGAGGAGAGAAAGAAAGGGTGAGAATAAAACCTGTCAAACTCAACACCCTTTAAAAGGTCATACCAAAAAAGGAATCTCGATTTATTAAGACAGAAAACTGGGTTCATTAGAATTAATAAATTAAAAGGCCATGCATAAGAATCTGTATGTTGATATAGTTACACAGCACGTTCAAAGAACTTCCTCTGCATTCACCTAGGATGGATAAATGACTTGTTTCGTATTCCTTTCATGAAAGTGCCACCTTCTGCTACATTCAACCCTTGACTGCAGTGCTCTCCCACACCCCACGTGAACCAAGCCCCACGCTCATCCTGTTCACCCCTCAACCCTCTGGGACTCTCTTCACTCAGCCTAGATCCGGAGACATTGCTGCAGGAAAAGTGAAGGAGAAAATTACTCTTATGATCTCTACTGGACAGGTAAGGAAACTAAGCCTCATAGACATCATTTTATAACTTTCCCAGAGCAGTGTTGAACTGATAGGTTAGCCTGGTTCTCTCTGACTCCTTTTCACTCTAGTTTCTGTGGGTTTTCACATTACTGAGCTTCCTATAGAGACGTAGCAAACGTTCCCTACCAGCATGGTGCTTGCATTGTGAGTTTTCTCCAGGAATGGGGACAGATGTGTAAGAAGCTATACGTGTGCCTGGCCAAGTCCCCTGGTGACCCCAGAGCTGTATCTGAGAGATGACAGATGGGAATCATGTTCTCCCCAGGCAAGAGAGCCTCCAGGGGCCTGAGCCCTGGCCCTACAGGAGCAGCCCACGGTGCCCCAACACAGGGGCAGCCCAGCTGTAGAAGCAGGCGTCTCTACAGCTCAAGCTGTGTTTCAGAAACAAAGAGAATTGGGTGATATTCCTAAGGGAAAACCCGAGCTGGCTGTGACTGAGCACCTTACAGGAAAAACAGAGCCCAGCACTTCACCCAAACAACATTAAAATGAGACAACTGATATCATTCAGGGACAGTCCCACTCGCTCCCGGCATCCTCAGATTTGCCTGGTGTCTGAGGAGTCTCTTTCTCCACTTTATCGCATTCGATCCTTCCAAAGCAATGTTATAAGGGTGACTGTTGAAGTCCTTTAAAGAGGGTTATCACTGCACATGTAAATTAGCTTATCTCACTTCCCAAATGCTTGCTCTCTCAAAGCTGGGCCATTCAGAAACAAAGTCGGGTCGGGTTGGGTGGTGTTTTGGAATCATTCAGAGCAGTGGAATCTGCACATGGGATCCCAGTGGGACTCACTGGCTGCACAAGCTGACAAATCAGAGGCAAGAAACTGCCCAAAGAAGAGGGATAAACAAACCCAGCCAATGAGTGAGCTGCATCATCCCCTCCCTCCCACCAGCTCCGATCAACCGGTAATTACTCCTCTGGTCACACCAGGACATGCAGGCAGGACCGCCACAGAAGTCGGTGCCACGGGTACAGTCAGCATACTGCAGAGTTCGTTACCTCTTCCCCCAAAATTCCTACCAAAGAGTGGCAAACAAGGCAGCTTGAAATATAAGGTAATGAGGTAATTAACGCACTCAACTCATTTCAACATTTCAAGGATTTCCTGCTAGGATGCGAAGGGGGCCTGGGCTCTACTCACAGTTTCCCCGCAACTGCCAGGGGGCCAGGGTTGTGCTGATACCCACTGAAACAGTCAGCAGCACTATGCCACTCAGTGAGACATGTGGCTACACCATCACTCTTGCTAAAACCTCCAAATCAGCTCTTCTAGTTTATTCTACTACAACTTTTGTAGTTTCAATTCACTTCATCAATCCACTACAAAATCTGCCTCCCATATCCTTTGAAGGAAGAAGAAACTTTTTTTCAGTTGTGGTAAAATACAAATAACAATTGCCATCATAACTTTTTATTTATTTATTTTTTTAGAGACAGGGTCTTGCTCTGTCACCTAGGCTGGAGTGCGGTGGTGTGATCATAGCTCACTGCAGCCTCAAACTCCTGGGCTCAAGCAATCCTTCTGCATCAGCCTCCTGAGTAGCTAGGACTAGGGATGCATGCTGTCACACCTGGATAATTTTTAAGACATTTTTTTGTGGAGATGAGGTCTCACTATGTTGCCCAGGCTAGTGTTGAATTCCTGGCCGCAAGCTATCCTCCTGTCTTGGCCTCCAGAAGTGCTGAGATTACAGGTTTCAGCCACCATGCCTGGTCCATAACCATTTTCTTCTTCTGCTTCTTCTTCTTCTTCTTCTTCTTCTTCTTCTTCTTCTTCTTCTTCTTATTATTATTATTATTATTATTATTATTATTATTACTGAGACAAGGTTTTGCTCTGTTGCCCAGGCTGGAGTGCAGTGGCACTATCTCAGCTCACTGCAACCTCCAGCTCCTGGGCTCAAGCAATCCTCCTGCATCAGCCTCCCGAGTAACGGGGACTACAGGCACGAGCCACCATGTCTGGCTAATTTTTAAGTTTTTTGTAGAGATGGGGGTCTCACTAAATTGCCCTGGCTCCATAACAATTTTTAAGAATACAGTTCAGTGGCATTAAGTACATCCACATTGTTGTATAACCATCACCACCATCCATCCCCAGAGCACTTCATCTTGCAAAACTGAAACTTTGTACCCATTAAACAATTAACTCTCAGCCCAGTGTGGTGGCTCACACCTGTAATCCCAGCACATTGGGAGGCTGAGGTGGGCAAATCACGTGAGGTCAGGAGTTCAAGACCAGCCTGGCAAACATGATGAAACCCCATCTCTACTAAAAAATACAAAAAAATTAGCTGGGCGTGGTGGTATGTGCATGTAGTCCCAGCTACTCAGGAGGCTGAGACAGAAGAACTGCTTGAACCAGGAGGTGGAGGTTGCAGTGAGCTGAGATCATGCCACTGCACTCCAGCCTGGGTGACAGAGGGAGACTCCATCTCAAAACAACAACAACAAAAAACAATTAACTCTCCATTCCCCTCTCTCATTTCCTGGCAACCACCATTCTACTTTCTGTCTCTATGAATCTGGCTACTTAAGTACTTCCTATGAGGGAATCATACAGTATTTGTCCTTTGCGACTGGCTTATTTAGCATAATGTCCTCAAGGTGAAGGAAGAAACTTTTAAACCACTTTTGTTTTTTATGTCAAAGGGGGCTTCTTTACCTACTTGAGTAACACTACATAGTGGCTATTTCCATCCCACTTCAAGTCCTGAAAAACAAAAATGTGAAGATCTTCCTCTATCCTCCAATATGGACCTAGCTTTCGGGTTTTGATGGTTTTTCATTTTCTTTTTCACTTTAGTTGGCTGTCAATTGGAAATTGTCCTCTCTCCCAACTTTGGGGAAAAAAAAATGAAAATCCAGTTGAAGCACATTTTTTCCCAAATGTATTTGAAATGCTCTATCTAGTTCTACAGTTCTGGACTGTGAGCATATCCCGAAATTCTGGAACATACCGGCATCATAACAAAAGGTGAGAATGACTGACAGCTGAATTATAGTGTGGGAGAATAAAGTATTTATTACTTGTCATAAATTTAGAAAAACCAATCTTCCTTCCATCCTTCCCTTCTCTCTCTCTCTCTCTCTCTCTCTTCTGTGGTCTTCTTTTTCTAATTAGCCACTTTACTTATTTCCTAGATGGTCAATGTTATATTGCTACAGACATCATAGTGAATGACCTGAGGTGTTTCAATATTTCTGCTTTCTTTGTGAGCCCCAATTTTGATCTGTTGATGCCTCATAAGCTGATCCCTTTGTGCTCTTGGTTCAGTTCTGTCCAGTTCAGTAACCTTTTGTTTCCTTTAGAGGATACCAAATGGCTAAGATACAGCCCTCCCCTTAAGAGCTGGTCAAACTGTAGAGGCAGACACGCACACCCTCAGCTAACACTGGTGGAAGGCTCCCAGGGGGCCTGAGGAATGTCAGTAATAGAGGGTCAGGAACTACAGAGCTTCTCAGGGGATGGGATCAGCCAACTCTGAGAAGAAGATGAGTTTGAGCTGAATCTCTCTCGTCTCATCCCCAGTAATATGTCTTTATTTCTAATTGCTTTATTACAGTTTAATTATTATTATACCATCATATCTACAGTCTCTTTGAGTTAATTTTTAGTTAACAAAGATACAAGGATAGTAACATTTCATATCTTCCCATACTAAATGTCTTTTTTTCTTTTTTTTTTTTTTTGAGACAGTCTTGCTCTGTTGCCCAAGCTAGAGTACAGTGGCGCGATCTCCACTCACTGCAACCTCCCCTGCCTGGGTTCAAGCGATTCTCATCCCTCAGCCTCCTGAGTAGCTGGGATTACAGGTGTGTAACATCATGCCCGGCTAATGTTTGTATTTTTAGTAGAGACGGGGTTTCACCATGTTGGCCAGGCTGGTCTCGAACTCCTGACCTCAAGTGATCTGCCTGCCTCGACCTCCCACAGTGCTGGGATTACAGGTGCGAGCCACCGTGCCTGGCCCTGTACTAAATGTTCTAACTCACTATTTAAGTGTTGTTCTTTCTAAGTTCAGCCATTCTCCAATCTTCCCTATCTTCCAGCAAATTTCTTCCTCACGAGTACAATGGAACTTATTAGTATAAGGCTTTAAAGTATAAGCCAATCACATAATGTCGGGCTGTTTCTGTAGGAGGTTATGATATTTCAAGGGTCATAATCTGTGCCTGGGCAAGTCTGAACCTCCAGAACTGCAGCCTGTGTTGTAATATGGTGATGCTGTGGCTCCGGGCTCAGGAGCAGTCCCTCTGCTGAACAGGCTGTGGAGGGAATTCTGCAGTCCACACAAACAGATGGTAGGACTATTACTTTTGACCCTGGACTCCGCTTACTGCAAAGTGAGTTGGAAGATTTATTACTGATCTTTGTTAGACAAGAACCCTGCTGAGTTCTAACTTCTTCAGAAGAAAATTGAAGGAAGAAAATAGCATGTACCATATTCTTTTACTGTAAAAAAGTATATATAATACTCCTAGCCACGCTACAGATAACATGAAAATTGAAAGTAATTCTGGATAATCTCTGTTATGTGACAGCATTACCTAATGCACTTAAAGGGATCATTCTCAACTATTTATCATACTTGAATACTGAAGAGTTGCAAAGTTAGATTATCTTATGATACACAGTCATGGTGATTTAATTTTTCTTTCTAGTATGTTGTCTCTCAGACTAGGGCCTACAAGTATTAAAAGCAAAGATTTTTGTACACCCATGTACACAGCGGCATTATTCACAAAAGCCAAAAGGTGGAAGCAACCCAGCTGTCCATCAACAGATGAGCGGATAAACAAATGTGGTCTATATATACAATGGAATAGTATTCAGCTTTAAAATTCTGACACATGCTACAACACGGATGAACCTTGAGGACATTACGCTAAGTGAAATAAACCAGTGACAAAAAAGACAAATATGATATGATTCCATCTACAGGAGGTACCTAAAGGAGTCCAACTTATAGAAACAGAAAGTAGAATGGTGCCTGCCAGGGGCTAGGGAAAGAGGGGAACAGACAGTTCTGATTTAACAGGTACAGAGTTTCAGTTCCGCAGCACGAAAAGTGTTCCGGAGAGGGAAGGTGGTGATGGTTGCACAACAATGTGGATGTACTTAATGTCAACAAGCTGTTTAAAAATGGTTAGGCCAGGCGCAGTGGTTCACACCTATAATCCCAGCACTTTGGGAGGCCGAGGTGGGCGGATAACTTGAGGTCAGGAGTTCGAGACCAGCCGGGCCAAAATGGTGAAACCCCATCTCTGCTAAAAATACAAAAATTAGCTGGGTGTTGTGGCACGCCCCTGTAATCCCAGCTACTCAGGAGGCTAAGGCATGAGAATGTCCTGAACCCAGAAGGTGGAGGTTGCAGTGAGCCAAGAGTGCACCACTGTACTCCAGCCTGGGTGACAGAATGAGACTCTGTCTCAAAAAAATAAATACTTTTTAAAAATGGTTAAGATGCTAAATTTTATATGTTATTTCACCACAATTAAAAATAATTTTTAAACCATTTAAAAACATAATTCTTAAAAAATAAGTTAATGACAAAAGTGTAAAAATCTGCATAGGGTGCAGGGGTGGAGGAAGGCAAGAGAAAGATTATTTTTTTCCCTGAATTTCAGATCTGGTTTAGAAATGGACATCTCTGCTTCTATCATAGTTGAGAAAAGATGCCACACCCCTGCCACTTTCCTCTCTCTCTCTCTGAGTGGTTCTTAACCTCTCTTTAATGTGGAAACATAAAGCAGCAAGTTCCCCTTAGCCTCTTGAAATTTTCCCAATTCACAAACGATGCCACCTACTCTAGCCTGACAGCTGCCTCCCCGGGACACGGTGAGCTAGCCCTCTTCTATTACAGGTGCTCTGCTGAGACACAGGCCTCATTTCCACATGGGTCCACCCAATAATTACTTCAGTATTCCTGAATTTCAGTAAAGAGAGCTGGCAGACAATAGTGAGAAATGACCTACTGTACAATAAAGAACCTCTGTTGGGAGCTGGGGCAAAGGCCAGGGTACTAAGGAAATGACTTCTTGCTCCTTCCAATATTGAAAGGATACTCCAGCAAATAAAAGGACTTTGCATAAAAGGAAGAGACAGGCAAGCCTGTGTTCAGCACTGACGGCACTAAGGGTTCTCATGAAGATTTCCTTCTCAAATTTATGCCATAGTTTACACTTCAAGAATTCTAACCCCAGTGTTTTCTGCATTTCATAAAAAACAGACTCTTGGCTATTTCAACAGGAGATCACACAATCAGCTTTAAGGGCCCCCCAGTGAATTAGTGGAGAGAAGGAGTTAAGAGAGAGAAAGAGAAAAGAGGTCAATATTGTTGGCTCAAGAATTCAATAATGCATGGAGCTGCTACTCCATCCCAGGGCCCTGCCTACTCTCTTATCTAATCAACTGCATCTTTGACCTGTTTTCTCTGCTCCTTTATGACAGATTTTTAAATGATGAATTTCTGTTGTCTTTCTCTGTTTTGTTGTTGTTGTTGTTGTTGTGCTTTGTGTGTGCATGTGGGCGGGGCAGCATTCTTTCCTTTTTATTTTTATTTATTTTTTCTAGCAGGTAGAGGTTTCTTCAAGTTTCTAAACTGACAATACTTATAAATGTAATTTTTGATGCAGTTTCTGTAATACATGGTGATCTGCAGCTCTGGGGTCATGCTTTCAGTTAACTTCCTGTAATTTAATAGCTTTATTTTTTCTCATAGTAACATATTTAGTGTTAACTAGAAACATCCTTCCTACACAATCTCTCTGAAAACAGCTTTATGCTTTGTCTCTTTGGAAGCCTCTGTTCCCCAATGGCCATAATCTAGTTCAGAGATCTGAGGAATGAAGGCCATCTAGAAACACTTGTTATATAAAAACTAGAGGAGAAAATAAGGGTAAAATCCTAAGGATGGACGTCAGCTGATGATGCTATTTAACAAAAGGTAGTCTGCCCCAGTCAGCTCTAGTTCATTCCAGACAACCAATTTTAGAAACTCAGTTTTTGTTTCAACAGAGACTAACAATCCGGACTTGAGCAGAATTCTCCAACAGGGGAACCTTCAGCAGATGTGCTAGAGATAGGGGCAGTGATCCCAAATAGCATGTTCTCTGCATGAGGTCATAATCCACCAGGGCGTCTGGGAGGATACAGCACGCATACTTCTTACGCTTTCTCAATACTCAGCTCAAGCTCATCGTAAAGACCCTGCCTAGCATTTCCAAGGCAGATTCGCTTGTATTATCTCATTTCTTAGGGGTGTCTAGCAATTATTTGAAATGTACACACATCCCAAAACACAAAACAATGCAGTGTGTGGAGGATTAGCCCTCCACCTTGCATTCTTACCTCTTCTCGAGCTTCTCTGAAGGATGAATTTAAAGTTCTTCCTCTCCTAGGAAGGGAAGACTTGGTGGTGTCTTCCTGCTGCCCAAAGAGCTCCTCAATGGTCTTTGTATCAATTTGGTAGTGATGTTCCTGCCTGGCTGCCAAGGTCCAGATGTTGGTTTTGCCTCGAACTTGCTCCTCCGGAATAGTTTTCCAAAAAAAGCTTCTCATCCGCTTTTTCTTACCAAGGTGGCTGTAGCCGTTCATGTGAGTAGTTGGGGGTAGGCCTGGTGGGGGAGGTGGGATGGGAGGCTCCCCAGGAAGTGGAGGTGGTGGGGGTGGAGGAGGGGAGGAAGGACACTCTTCCCTTGAACATGAACATGGTGGAGATGGAGGGGGTGGAGGAGGAGGTGGAGGAGGTGCTGGAGGAGGTGTCTGCCCAATCATGAATCCAGGTGCTGTGGCAATATTCCCATTTTCTTTATCACTGACCAAGGAGACACAATTCATAACATGCATAGTACTGTTGCCTCCTATGGAGATAATTTCTTGGCCTTGGAGAAGAAGACACAAACATCAAACTTGTGTAGCACTTTTTCACCTGCTGCTATCTGCCGCCAGAATAAAGGGCAACTGTCCTCTTCCAAACCTAGCAAGATAAAATAAATATCAAATCAGTTACAGACAAACAGTTTCGCATCAGCATTTCCCTTCAGAGGCTAGTATCAATCCTCCCATATGAGTTGGATATGAAAATCAATGAGGGGCAACACATCCCAAGTTGCATTACAAGGACCCAACGCTTTTCTAAATGTGAATCAAATTTTACCACCTGGAAATTCTGCCAGAGAAATTGCAACAAATCCAATTGGAAACCTTATATTAATCAACAAAGCACATTTATATTGAGAGCCTGCTAGAGGCTCAGTAAGTATTGCTCACTTTATGAATAAACTACTTGTTTACTAACTAGTTCGTTCTCTTTGGACAATGGTTGCCCAACCCCTAGGGAAACTGCCCAAACTGCTGGAGCATTAGGCATGAGTGACCCTACCTTTTTCCAGTCTGGACATGTCTCCTACCAATCAGTGGGTCAAAAAAGGCATCTTGCACCTTGGACGGATAAGACAGGGCATTTGGAGATGATATAATAATGGCCTAGCTCATTTCCCTGGAATCAGGGCCACCATATTTATGCTCTACTTGGTGATGTGGCTTTCCCCCAAATAGAGAAAAGAACAGCAGATATGAAAAATGAGATTCCAGCCCTAAATCAAGCTTTACTGCTTATAGTTTTAGACAAGTCACTTTGCCTCACCAGACTTCAGTTTTCTCATTTGTAAAATTAGGAGAACACATTAAATGACCTCTATCATCTTAGATTCTAGTTAAGCCACTCTTTGGAAACCATCACCTACCTCTTCTGCTTCTGACACTTTTAGCAAAGAAGAGATACGCCCAAGGACACGCTGCCCATGTCACATCTGCCACATGTCCCTTATACACAGTCACCAACTTACTTTAGTGGGTTGCATTTTTATGGAACTTCACGTTTGTTTTTCATGCTGGGCTGTTACCGATCTGATGTGAAAGAGAGGTCAAAACTACTAAATTTCTTCAGATACGAGAACAGGTAAGTGGGGTGTAGAAAGGACGCCATGCAGGCTATTGAGTGAGTACCCCAACTAGATGGGAGTGTGGAAAGGGGACTATTTCCTCCAGATCACAAAGGGCCATACACAATGGCTTTTTACACGGCACTTCGGGGTGTAATTTTCTTTTTACAGCACCACTGTCAAAGCCCATACTTACAAACACAAGTTGATGAAATAATTTTAGACTACACAGAAGTAAACAATCTGATCTCACAAATTCAAATATTACAAAATGATTTACACAGAACTACATCCAAAAGGCAGGGCTGCCTTGGGAATAAGAGTGGAGATTCTAGGAATAGACTGCTTTTTCTCAGAAAGTTCTGCTACTTTCAAGATGTGCAACATGAGCTGAGGTTGGTAACGTCACCTACATTTCAGCATCCTCATCTACAATATGAGGAAATACTTGTTCCATTGGTTTGTATAAAAATAAAGAGCTAACACATGTATGGTCCTTACCAAGATGCCTGGTACATAGTTAGCTATTATTTATAACAATAACAAGCTGTTATCATATGTGCATATAATTTCCCTTTATTTTCACAGGCATTACATTTGCTTTAAAATATGTATTGGGTTTATAGATAAAATGCCAAGTTACCCCTGGCTGCTAGGAACAAACTTGTAATATTTCCATTCTTTGCTATCAAAGTTTGTGAGAGCTGTCCTTTCTCAATGCTTGGTGATCATCTATTAAATTGTCTCCATATTACAAAAGCAAATATTTTAGTGAAACATTTGAATATTAGAGTTCTGAAAACTGCCTCTATATGGGAGGAAAATGGCATCTCCAGCTATTAATTGGATACTTTAAAAAATCATTTTCACCACTTTTAAGTGTGCAATTTAGTGGCATTAAGTACATTCACAGTGTTGTGCAGCCATCACCACCAAATAATTTTTAAATAAGTAAAATAGAAAATATTTTTCCAAGCTGACATACAGCTCACTTGAGATGTAACTGGCTTCTAGAAAGAGTTTTCATAATTATCATTAGGGGCATAACTAGGCTGTTTTCATAGTTGGCACCCTTAAAGCAAATGACTCATTGTCAATTACAGTTTATAGTTATATCTGAACTCTTCTTTTTCAAGACTGTGCAGGTAATTTTGGCAGTTTATCCTTACATATTTTAAAATACTTCTGTACATAAAATATCTCATGTATAGAAGAGCTGTTAATCCTCCAATTTACCTCCAATTCCAGATATGCTGACTTATTTATAGATTATCCCTGTTAAGAATGGTGATAAGCTCAAAAAGTCTCCAATCTAGAAAGCAGTAACTCATTCAGTGCTGTATATGGACAGATGCGCCACTAAACCTCACAATGCAAATACAGAGATACTGACAAAGACTAAGGAAGACTATATACTCCAAGGTTATGCAACCTCACTGTCTCCTAACAACAAAGCCAGAAAGGTGCGTGTTTTAGTACTGTGCTTTGCACAGAGGAAGTACCAGATAAACGACTGTCAAAGTAAAAAGTGACACTTGTTAGCTCTGCATTGGGATGATTCTAACCAATGCCCCATGTAAAAGAATGTTATTTTTAAAAGTTAAAGGAAACAAAAGAAAATGTACAACAGTGTCCCTGGTATGCTGTCTGATTAATTTCTTCCAAGGGTAACACACAAGGATCCTAGCCCCCCAACGGCTTCTAATGAATAGGTTCGCCAGCAATGATTAGCCAAGACGCTAATGCTTTTACTACCTTTACTCCAATAGGGTTTCCCCCTGGGCCAGGATGTCCAATGTGAAAGAGGTGGCAGGAAAAGTGGAGTACAGACAGAATTCTAACCCTTTCCACAGCCACATGGAAATTAAAATAGAGAATACACAAAAGAACGATGGATTTGCTGCAGTACTGCCCGCAGTAGAGATGCAAACACACACTCTCCAGGTACGCTAGGAGAACGCAGGTGATGCTGCAGCCCTAACAGACCACATTGGCTGCCTGTTTCTCACAGCTGACAACTGCCAGTAGGGACAATGGGATTAGCCCCCACTCTGTCTGGAAAATGCTAAGTAGTCCCATCAATCTGCCCCTGGGCAGACAGAGACAGGCCTGTATGTAAGATCTCAGCTACAGGTTGGAAACCTCAGCAACAGGATGAGGTAGCTGCTAAGGCTGACAAGTGCCCAGCTCTGAGTAAAATGCAGAGCTGTCATGGCTGGGCTCTGAAGATGGGAATGTCTCCTCAAGTCCCCTGAGTGCTACTCATGACCCATCAGAGTTGTGTTTGAGTGATGGACTCTCCCAAGGAGGCTGTAGCTCAGTTGAGCATCTTTCAACTATGTGAAATTTCAATAAGGCGATGCTGTGATCACGTACTTAACTTTTAGTTAATTGGCAGACAAAAAATCTTAGAACGTTCGTTAAGGGTCTTCAAAGCTGCCCCTGGCCCCCTCCTAAGCTCTCCTGCCTAAACAGCCCGCTGTACTTTTTCCTTGGTGTCAGAAACACCCCTAGAAGTTCTAGTCTCGGCCAGGCGCGGTGGCTCACGCCTGTAATCCCAGCACTTTGGGAAGCCGAGGTGGGCAGATCACGAGGTCAGGAGATCAAGACTATCCTGTCCAACATGGTGAAACCCGTCTCTACTAAAATACACACACACATAAACACACACTCAAACACACACACTGAAACACACACACTCAAACACACACACACAGTAGCTGGGCGTGGTGGCGCGCCTGTAGTCCCAGCTACTTGGGAGGCTGAGGCAGGAGAATCGCTTGAATCAGGGAGTCGGAGGTTGCAGTGAGCCGAGATTACGCCACAGCACTCCAGCGTGGCGACAGAGCCAGACTCCGTCGCAACAACAAAACAACAATAACCAAAAAAAAGACGTTCTAGTCTCTTGAAGGGAGCCAAGAAAAAAGAGTATATAGGCTTCATCTCACAGTGTATTTAAGGGGAGAGCATGTTCCTGGCCGTCAGTTTGGAGCTCAGGGCTTTCCTGAACGAGGACCAGTGGTCCTGGTGCTCAGAATGAGTGGTTCTGCACCAGTGGTCCTGGTGCTCAGAATGAGTGGTTCTGCACCAGCGGTCCTGGTGCTCAGAATGAGTGGTTCTGCACCAGTGGTTCTGGTGCTCAGAATGAGGGTCTTGGTGCTCAGCTGGTCACTCACTCCTTTGGTCAACAATAATCAAAAGGAACATCAAGGAAAACCTGCCAGAAAACCTTTCTCCTTGACTCCTGGCATGTGCCACAGAAGAGGTGGGGGCAGGAAGGGCTGGCCCACATGCTTCTGATGACAAACCAGGGTAGAACAAGCCGAGTTTGGAGAGCAGAGGTAGAGAAACACACAGCCCTATTTTATTGTATTTGGGAGAGAAGAAAAGGATGGGGAAAGTACGGACAATTCTAAACTATGGAATTTTTACTCCCACTCCACTAATTCGGGAAAAGGCTCCTCCACCACCACTTATCTTTCAAAAGCTTTCTTGATTATTAAACACAGAATGTCAGTCGGTACAATTACGCAGTCGGGCCAGAGCCGGACCGTCCAGCTCTTCTGTGAGTTCCGTCTGCCTGTGCTCCAGGCAGTAGTGAAAGAACCCAGGACAACGCGTTCCCAGTAAGCGCCTTCAATCTGCAGCACAATGTAAATATTCATAGGCGCCCGAGACCAACACCCGAGAGCAGAGGAAAAACGCCTGTATTTGAATGTTCATTTTCAGTTTCTCTCACTGTCCCAAAACCAAGAAAAAAAAAAAAAAAAGCACATGCGTGCCAAAGGATGCTCTAGAGAGAGGGAAGGGAGCGCCGGCTGCTCCTTCCAGGAAGACAACTGTGGGTCAGTTGAAGGGGGTCACAGACGGCCGAATCCCGGAGGTCGTTTCTGTCCACACGGAAGTTTGAAAACCGACCATTAAGTCCGGAAGAAATTCGGCCTGGGGGGTCCTGGGACACCACTTCTTTCAAGTTTGGATACGTAGTAGTTCACCAGCTCTCTGCGTTAGACAGCTGTCCGCAGCCTCCTTACATCCCCAACCCGGCACCCCGGTCCCCGCCCGAGCCACTCACCAACAAGCCACCGGCTCAGCCGCCACCGGCTGGGCCGCGAATCCCCGGGGAGCCGCGCTGGGGTCAGCAAACTGAACGCGAGTGGGCGGCCCACGGGCCGCGCGGAGCCCCAGCTGCGTCCTTATCAGCGCCGGGCAGAAGGGCGTCGCGGCGCGAGGGTGGGGCGCCGGTGCGCGCTGAGATCGACGCCCACACGCGCCGCGCCAGCTCTGCGGCGGGGAGAGAAGCCGCGGCCTGCGGGGCGGGGACTGCGGGGCGGGCGCCCAGCGCGGGCGTTGCACGACCCTCGGCCTTCCGCAGCGCCGACCGCTCTCCCGTCCGGCGGCTGCAGCTGCTGGGTCGGCCGCCGCACCCGCTCGCCCATTCCCGGCCCCTCCAGTTGGAGGGGGTCTCGGCCCCGCCCCCCTCCCCGAGGGGCCCACGCTGGAAAGCCCACGCTCCCCACGCCACGCCCCCCAGGGCGCCAGCCCCTCTGCGGGGGTTTAGCACGCTGCGCCCAGAAGTTGGGTGGGAGACGGCTAACTAGGGGAGGTGTCCGTGTGAATGAAACGAAAGGGGGGGTCTTCCGGCTCGCAGACACCGGGTCTGCGGCGGCCGCGCGCTCCCAACCCACCCGGAGCCTCCGCCGCGACATCTTCCCACGTCCCCCATCCAGGTCGCAGGCGCGGGGGAAAAGCCTCACGGCCGCACTGCGGCTCTGCCAAAAGGGAGCCGGGTCGAGCCGCTGAGAAAAACAGAGGGGAGACTCCTGGCGTTTGAAACCGGTCAGAACCCGCTCTCCAAGAGCTGGGGACACCCCTTGTTTGGAGGCTGATCCCCAGCCCACCCGCTTCCTCCCCCTCCCCACACTCCTGCAGGCGCGGGGCGCAACTTGCAATCCGAACTTCGCGCGGCCGGAGCAAGTTTGTCGGGGCGAGAAGCGCCTGGTCCTCGGTCCGCACCACCGCACTAGGTCCCCGCCACCGCCCCACCACTGTGTCAGGGGCCAGGCGTGGCCCCCGGCTGGCTAGGGAACCGAGCGCGGCGCCGCGGCTGCGCATTCCGTGCGGGACGCCGCTGTCTCCCAAGGGTCGGGATAAACTAGGGGGCGGTTGATCTGAAAGTCTTAGCCACGACTAATAGTCAACCGCCCAGGTGCGACCCGCAGCAGCCTTGGCGATGCAGCTCGTTCTCCAGACGCGGGTCCACACCGGCGCGTCCTCGCCTCCAGGGACCGATCGCTGTTCTCCGTGGCCGGGTAAGGGCGGCCGCCAAAGTCACCGGGGTGGATGTGGAGGGAACTGGAACCTCCTCTCCAGCTTTCCCGGTGAGGCTCGGAGGAAGCCGAGACCCGGCACCCATCAGCCGCGCTTCTCGGCGCCTCAGCCTCGGGTCCCGGACAACACCCCAACCCTGACCCTCCCGAGCGGCGGGGCTCCAGCTCCCCGTGTCCCGCGCCGCGGTCGCCCCCGCCTCGGCCGCCCGACCCGCACTCACCCGCGGCCAGCGCGCCCCCGCTCCCGGCGCGCAGACCGCTGCAGCCTCCCGCCGTTGTGTCGGCGTAGCCGCCTCCTCCCGGTCACTGCAGGCCCAGCCAACCCTGAGCGCGAGGGGGCAGGGCGGGGCGGGGCGCAGCGGCAGCCTCAGGTAACAAAGCTGCGGCCTCGCTGCTCCTGGCCGGCCGGGAAGGGCAGCGCGCCCTTTCCTGCTCCGCCCCTCCCTCGCCTCCCCTTCCACCCTACGCGCGCCACCGTCACCGCCACGCGCTCACCTTCACCTGCGCGGGGCCCCGGGGGAGACGCCTCGGGGCACACTGCTTCCCGCACCCGAAGGCTGGTGCGGGGCTAGGCCGGGGGCCACCGAGAGAAGTAGGGGCGGCAGGAGACGGAGATAGCTGGGCTGCCCAGAAGAGCCAGGTGTCCTCGGGGAACGGGCGAGAGGAGGCGCCAAGCTGGCTTCTGAACCTGCAAGTGCCTTTCACAAAGGAGCCTTTGCGACAGCCTCCCAGGCACCCTCTCTTGTGCACACGGGCGCGCACACACTCTTATATACACGCGCGCACACACACACACACACCCGCACACGCCCCCCGACGCACGCGCCAGACCACCCTCTGCCCCAACACTTGCTTCTCCCTGGAGAGCTAGCAGCACTTGGGCGAACTGACCTGTCCCAACCCCTACAGCTGAAACCTGGCTGCGCTAGAGCTTCGCAAAGGTCAGCTCCTCCCTGGGGCCTGCCAAGCTGTAAATTTGTTACCGTTTTTTATTTTGTTTTTGTTTTTAATTCTCAATGATGATGGTAACAGAAACCTTTAGGTTGTATTAAAGCGTAAAAAGACCCCTCAAAAATTTTGCCAGGCCTCATCGAATGAACGCACGCTGTCTGGGAAAGGCACACTCCTCACAGAAAGAAACAGGGGAATCGATTTAATCACATTTTTTTTTTCTTCAAAGTGACTTGGGGCGCCAGTGAGAAGCAAGTAGTCAAAGAAAACATCCCGGGCAAACCGGCTGACCGAAAATCCACTGTCGGGGTAGGGAGGCGCCCTCTACGGGGATGAAGTCATCGCTACCTTTGACTCTTTGATCCTAGATAACCGACCAAGACGTTTCCAGCCTAATGCCTGACGCCTTTTGCTTCCTCCATCCTGGTCCTCAGTCCCTGAACTCCCAGGACAGAATTCCTGACCTCCTTGGTCAAGCCTTGGATCGAGAAAGAGAAACTATTAGTGTAAACAAACCAATCAACCCCAAAACCAAAACTGTGCCTGCCAATAGCCCATTTCTTGGCCATTGATGGTGCATGAAGAGAAATGGATCCAATTAAGAAAATCTTAAAATCTTAAGGAATAAGAAAATGTAATAAAGAGAAAGACAATGTCATGCTCAGGGAGCTAATATGAATCCCAAAGGAATATTGACTGTTCAGGCTCAAGTTAAATTACAGCAGATCGAAAGTGAGGAGTTGAGTGGCATCTTCTTTTCTCTTACTGTCGACCTTGTTAAATGGGGAGTCCACACCCCTTGCCTACTCCTCCCTCCTCAACCCCGTGACAGTGGGCCTCCCCCCAACTGTATTGAGCATGCACTCTAAAACAGTTACTTTTTGAGAAGTCAAGTCTGGTGACCCATTCTCAGCCCCTCATCCCTTTGATCTCCTTGGCAGCATCCTACCCTAAGGCCTTCTCTATGCTTCTCTGGACTTCTCTGCTGACCCTTCTCTTCCTTTGAGGACAGTAACAAGGTTTTTCCAACTCTCGATCTCCCAGTATCCCAAAGAAATACCTTCTGATTTCAAACTGAACCCATCCAGATGTCGTGGGACCTGAAGCTTGTATAACTCCTGGGGGAACTTCTTAAAGGAAAGCAATAAAAACTTACAAACATAATACTAGACATGTATCCTTGGAAGGGCCCAGGGAAAATGAGGGGCTTGGAAATTTGAGCTTCAAGGTATATCTCCGGGTTTCTCTTCAATGTCAGGGACTCTTGAATCCATATTATCGTTGTAAAATTTCAAGTCCAAATAAAAATATCCAAAAATCAACTCATCTTTCCCTCAAAACTAGTACTCTTCCCACACCCACCACCTCCCCCTCTTTACCTAAGACCTGGTTTTTCTGTTTGAAATCCTAGCTTTTCCTTTGCTTGTCTCTCTTAAATTCTTTAAAATTCAAGTATTTGCTAAATTTGCTGCTCTTTCCCAAGTAACCTGTTTTATTTTTCACATGCACCATCACTGCAGTAACCCCAAGTAGTGGAAGAGGGAACAAGTATTTATCTGCTGTTGGCCACATATCAGGCACCACACTTAATTCTCACCATGATCCTATAAGCATTCTGATTTCCTAGCTTAGAGAAGTTAAATTGGATACCTACATCCACTACCTTGGTGTTCTTTCTGCTTCTCTCTTCTTCCTAAATCCATCCCAAAACTGCTGTCAGGTCACTGTTTTTAAAAGTCTGATTTCATCACACTACCTACCTCTTCAAAACCTTCTGCAGATTCCCATGTGCTCCTACAGGAAGAAGGCAGCATTCTTCAGTCTGACAATCCGGCAGCATCCTACGTTTATCTCCCACAATTGGATGCGTCCCATTTCACTCAAGCAGTGGGACGTACTGCCCCTGAATATGTCATGCTTATTTTGACTTTTTTTTTTTTTTTTTTTTTTGAGACGGGGTCTCACTGTCGCCAGGCTGGAATGCAGTGGAGCGATCTCAGCTCACTGCAACCTCTGCCTCCCAGGTTCAAGCGATTCTCCTGCCTCAGCCTCCCAAGTAGCTGGGATTACAAGCATGCACCACCACACCTGGCTAATTTTTGTATTTTTAGTAGAGATAGGGTTTCACCATGTTGGCCAGAATGGTCTCAATCTCCTGACCTTGTGATCCACCCGCCTCAGCCTCCCAGAGTGCTGGGATTACATATGTAAGCCACCACGCCTGGCCTACTTTGACTCTTATTTTTCAAATTGTACATAGGATGTGGTCAAAAAGTGCTTGAATGAAGCATGGCGCAACTCTTCAATAGAGTTCATATCTTGATGGATTGGATCTAAAGCTGCAAAATCTAGAAGACAATTTATTCTTCATCTATTAATATGCTGATTGTCCATCTGTATCCCCCAAATGTGCCAACCAGCCTTTAAATAAGGCTGGAAAGGCTCCTGAAGCCCAGTGTGCCCAAAGTCTGCCCAGCTACTGGCATTCGTGGCTTGGAGGTGGCGCTGCTGCCACTGCAGGCCTCTTGAGCAGTGGGCAGTGTGACCAGCTCTCACTTTTCCAACCAGGCCAAACCTCCCAGAAAGTGTGTTAGATAACTCAGTGTGGCCCAGAAAATGGGTCTGTACCAGGCACTGGTACCAGGCCCTGCAGAAGAACTGCTGTGTTTTCCTGATTCGATTTGCAGCTTGCTCTTCCCTCTCCCTGGGTTGCCCTTTCCAGAATGCTTTATTTCCTACACCCAGTTTATTTTGATTCTTATGGCTTCTGCCTCCTTGGCCCAGAGAGGCTTTTAGTTTCTCCTACATCAAGTATTTTGTATTTCAATCTGTCATTAGGAACAACTAAACAAAGCCTTCAAAATGAATCAAATTTCAGAATCCATGTAAAACAGACTTTTAGTATTCGCTTAAGGAGTAAGAGTCTAATTCATGAGCTACTTCATGGGCCCTCTAGGGTACAGACTGAGATCTTTACTTAATCTTTAATCGTTATTCTTCTTAAAATATATATTTGATTAGATCAGTTGTTCAGTATTAAGATTCTAGGCTATCTTTGCCTTTTAAAATTGGAAACTGCAGAAAGAAACAAACTCTGTCCACATTATGGTTAAACAGATTTGCAGACAAATGCAAAGGCTTGCCAATCCTCTGACCTTGTTTCCTTCAAAGAGTGGCAAGTGCAAAATAAAATCAGCAGAATTGTTACTGTTACTATAAAATGCAAATTTGTATCAAATACCTTACTGGCAATTTTCCAAATAACTTTTTTTTTTTTTGAGATAGAGTCTCACTCTGTTGCCCAGGCTAGAGTACAGTGACACAAACATTCTCCTACCTCAGTCTCCCAAAGTGCTGTGGTTACAGGCATGAGCCACTGTGCCTGGCCCCAAACAACTTTTGAACTGAAAAATAATACTTTATTTCTGATTTTTTTAGTTTATTTTTAATTTTTTTTTAATAGAGACAGGGTCTCACTGTGTTGCCCAGGCTGGTCTCTAACTTCTGACCTCAAGCAATCCTCCTGCCTTGGCCTCCCAAAGTGCTGGGATTACAGATGTGAGCCACCACACCCAGCCAATACTTCATTTTTGAAGGCTAAGAAATTTAAATAGTAAGTTGCCTTTAAATACTGTAAGTAATGACTAGGCTCTGATCATTAAGAGGGAGAAAAGGGAGAAATATTTTTCTGAATGCTAAGTAGTGATTTTTGAAGTTTTTTTTTTTTTTTTTTTTTTTTTTTTTAGACAGGTTCTCGCTCCATCACCCAGGCTGGAGTACAGTGGCGTAGTTACTGCTCACTGCAGCCTCAACCTCCTGGGCTCAACTGATCCTCCCACTTCAGCCTCCCAAGTAGGTGGGACTACAGCCACATGCCACCACGCCCAGCTACCTTTTGTATTTTTTGTAAAGACAGGGTTGAAAGTTTAAAATAGAAAATGCTTCCACATGTGATGTTAGTATCTAAGGTAGCATCAATGACATTTGCCTTGCCAGAAGTAAATAGGGGTATTTTGTCAACAATAGTGCCTGATTTGTTTGAAGGTAGGAGAGATTAAAGACAACCTTTACCCAACATACAGGAATGAGGTAGTAAGATAATGTGATGACTCTCATGCCTGCCTATCTATACTGTATTTCCTTAGAGCAAATTGTCCATCCATTTGTTTTTCGTGTGTGTGTGTGTGTGTGTGTGTGTGTGTGTGTGTGTGTGTGTGTGTGTGTTTTAGAGGCTGGAGATGGAAGAGGAGACTAAGAAAAAAAAAACTGTAGATATCACTGAGCTTTCACCCAGAAAACCTCCAGCTAGAGCTCTTTTTAGTTTACAATTGACTCAGTGCTTAGAAAACTGGTTGGTGTTTGTGTAGGGTCTGGCTGTTATAACATTCAAACCTTGAGGAGAAAAATAGCTGTAAAATATAACATCAAAACCTATCATTTCTTTCCATTATTTACCACCAGAAAACAGTATATGAGTCTTAATAAGAGGAATTAAGTTAAAGAGTTTGTCAGATGCCAGTTTCTTTTGCTATGGGTTTAAACTGTTTTCAAATTGTTTACCCTTCTAAGAAGTTAGAAGAGCAAACAGTAATTTGAAACCATAACACACACAGTTTAAGCAGTCTCCAAACAAACCTAATCAATCAACAATATTAGAGAGAGAGAGAGAGAGAGAGAGAGAGTGTGTGTGTGTGTGTGTGTGTGTGTGTGTGTGTGTTTCCCTGGGGAAATACTATGTGCACACCCCACATAAGTCTTTGTAGGACATAGAAAGATGGGCAAAGGGACATGTTGGTGACTTAGCAATTGGTAAAGCCCTTTCTGCTCCCCTTGGAAATCGAGTGTGTGCTTAGTTTAGTGAACTAGCTCTGGACAGTTCTTTGCACTAAGCTTCTATAATGAGAAGGCAAATACTTCGGGTATGGTAGCAAATAATAAACCAGTCCACAACAATCAGAATCTTAATATTTCTCAAGCAGATTTATAGAAATAATTAAAATGAACCATTAAAAAGCAAAGGGGGCAAGCTTTTTGTCGGAAATACTATTATTCAAGTTTTGACTGGCCTTGGACACAAAGAGGATCCCTGTCAAACACTTAGCATCATAATCAGTTTACATCTACATCTCTTTGTGGGCCTGACCTGGCTAAAATTGAAGGGGGGTCTTTTGGGGTTAAATCTAGGACTCCTTTCATCTTAACTCCTAACTTGCTGGCCTCCTACTGAAAAACAAGGATCTGGTAATTAACTCAGAAGGGTTGGTATTAAATATTCAACCTTTTATCTAGTGTTTTTGTGCCTTTGATCAACTTTTGTATGTTAGATATTAAATTGTAAATGAGATAGTAAAAAAGAAGAAAATTTATCTGTACATTACAATGTATCCAATTAGTGGTGATTTCTCAAAACTATGCCAGAGAAAAGAGCAAAGAAGTTTACACTTAATCTGTCTTAAAATGTTGCTTGTTTTCCAAGTAATACCCTAGGCTTCCTACCTACCCCACCACTGTGTGGAAGGCACAGGTGAACACGTTTCTGCATTTTGGGGTTTTGAATTGTGCCCTGCTTCCTGTGGGGTGATTGATGGGCAGTGTCACTGCAGGCATCTGTTTCACACAGTTGGGGGCAGGGAGGGAGTGCAGGGCAAGCACACAGCTAAGCATAGGACAGTTTACACTGTCAAATGGAATTGTTTTCATGCTGGAAATGGCTTCACAAAAACAAGATACAATTTTTCTTTTCAGGAGAATTGAAAATTTTAAAGGACCAGAGAGAAGGGAAAGCAGAGAAAATACTAGATGTCCACACATCTTCATTTCTCCCTCCATGCTTCCCATGACAGATTCGAACATATTTTCTAGCTTTGCATTCCCTCCTTTACGGCATGCCTTCTTCACAGTTTATCTTATTCGATAAGGAGATTAATATCCAAGGGTGGCTACTTGCCTGCAGAGCATAATCAGGTTAAACATTGTCTATGGCAGGGGAAGAAGGCAGAGAAATTAATCCTACCTCAGCAGCTCCACTGCACGGGAACTCATAAAAAGGGGGTCTCTGGTGATCCCTGAACTCATGTACAGAGTCTACAGAAGTCCCTTGATGGTGCGAAAGGAAAGTAAATCTCGGGACCCCCAAATCACTAAGCCAAAGAGAAAAGTCAAGCTGGAAACTGCGTCGTTGGGCAAACCTGCCTCCCATTCTGTTTCTAAATGAGATAGCTACCAAGATTAAAAAGTGACATATCTCCCTCACAGTTTGCACACAAGGAAATCCCTTGTGGACAAAGGACAGACAGAACTCAAAGTCATCCCTCTGCTCATGTGAGACAAATGCATATCTGTGCTTCCTTTGCCTTATTGTTTCACTAAGCCAGACCAAGGTATAAGTGACTATTCCTCTATGCCCCCTCTCACATGTAAGTTGTGTATTTAGTAAAAGGTTAATCAGAGACTCAAAACAATGCAACCATTTCTCTCTTATCTACCTATGACCTGGAAGCCCCTCTGTGCTTCTCGTTGTCCCAGTTTTCTGGACTGAGCCAATGTACATCTTACATATATATTGATTGATGTCTCATGTCTCCCTAAAATGTATAAAACCAAGCTGTGCCCTGACCACTTTAGGCACATGTCATTGTGACCTCCTGAGGCTATGTCATGGGTGTGTCCTTAACCTTAGCAAAATAAACTTTCTTTTTTTTTCTCTAAAATTTAGAATCTTAAACTAAATCCTTTATTTCAAAAACAAACATAAAATAATTTCCCAAGCAGAGAAAAGGTTTGAGATGGAAGCTTTCTTGTTAGCAGTCCTTTCATGCATAAATGGGGTTGGATAGAGAGGGGAGAGGGAATGGCCAAGGATACGGAAAGCTTTCACAGTGCATGCCAAGTGTGAAGTGACACCCCCAGCAGATGACGTTTATCATCTTTACTTAGTCACACAACATCAAGGACTGGTGAGTTCCAGGGAAGGGCTCCATTTCATCACCCGGGTCAGTTCTCTTCCCCCACATGCTCCACAATGCAGTAGAACCAAACAACACATTCATCTACAATAGAATGTTTAAATAACACCTGTCCAATAACTGCCCTTACTTCTTTGTGTTGTTGGGGAAAAGTAAAAAACAGAAAGCAATGAAGCCTAAACCCTTTGGCAAGTCGACCGGTGCCTATTCTCCTAGGGCATTTTTAGTAGAACTTCAGCTGGGCCTTTCCCTCCTCCCAATATCAGTGAGGAAAGTGGCAGCAGGACAGGTTTGGTCATCTGCACTGGAGTAGAACGAGAAACCAAACACGATTCAGGCCACAGATGGATTCTAGCACATTTTTAGATTGGATTGGTTAAAAATGTCATGTTGTGCACAGGATGCAGGCAAAGGAGTTTTTTTTTGAGGGACATAATGCCTGTAAGGCAGCGTGAATGGTCCGATCTACCATTGGGGAGGAGCTCCCTGTGTAAGGACAGAGAAACTAGGGGCCTCAAGGAAGGTATTGGTTTGGAAGATAAAGGAGACAATCTTTCCGGTGGCATTGATGGTGCCTTCACTGTCTGCGCTGGACTCAGAGTTGCTGCTCCCAGAGTAGGTGCACAGGCCTGGGAGGATGCTGATACAGACTGCAGCAGAGGGGCAGTGGATGGAGGAGCCACTCAGGGAGGTGTTTCTGAGAGACTTGCAGGATGAGGGCTCTTGATTCTTGTCATCTGGCTCAGGGTCCGGTTTCAGTCTTTTCACACTGTTGTCACTCTCTGAGCTCTTACGCTTCACAGCTCCTGCCAACAGCTTCACCTGGGAGAACTTGTTCTTGGTTTCTAAGGGCTTCACAGTCAGTTTCTTTTCCACTTCCTTCTTGTTCTCTTGAGAAATTCCAACCTTCTTGAGGTTATTTCTGTATTCCTTCAGTTCTTTCAGTTCTTCTTCTCTTTGTTGCTTTTCTATTAGTTCCTGCTGTCGAGAAACCTCATCAAGGAAGTTGGTCTCATCTTCATCTAAGCCTCTTACCATGTTTTTGAATTTGAACTGTTCCTCATACTCCTGCTGCTTCCTGTCCTTCTGTTCCTGTAGCCTTTCATATAGAGATCGAGGGTCATAAACCTCCTCTGGACATTCTTCTGAATCTTCAGGTTTTCGAACTTTCTCCCATTCTTCTTGCCTCCTTTTGCACCATTCATCTAGTTCTGCCTCAGACACAAACCTCTTTTTGATAACAAGGTTACCATCATCCCCTCCATCCATAACGAAACAACCAATCGCCACTATAGAGTCCCGGCAAAATAAACTTTCTAAATTGACTGAGACCTGTCTCAGATATTTTGGGTTCACAATTGGCAACCACAACGGGATTCTGAGTGGAGGTTCCCCTGACCTTTGACAAATTTCTTATTGGTGCTTGGTACCAGCTTGAGCTTACTTTATGGCTCAAACCAATAGGATACTTGGCTGAGGCCTGGGAGCCTCCCGTTTAGAGAATCCCTGATCTCCCAAAACTTGGTCGAGATCTAAAGTTTCCTTGGCTATACAACCCCTCTTCTGGAGTTTCACTTGCTTCCAACAAGGAGAGCAAGTTTTCCTACTTCCATGACAATGGAAGGCAGGTAACTCTTTTGTGGAGTCTGAGCTCACTTCAAAACAATTTGAGATTTTTCCTGCTTCTAGGATGGTAGAGAGCAGTCTTCAGCCTGAGACCCATTCTTAGATAAGTAGCCGAATCAGGGTTCTGTCTTAGCTAAAGTTAAGATTCACAATCAGCTGGTCTTAAATTCTTACCATTAGAGTACTCAGTAATCATATAAATTGTGCAATTGTTTGTTTGATTTGCTTAGCTGTTTTTGTTGTTACTGTTGCTTGTTTGTATTTTTGTTGTTTTGTTTTTTTTTTCCCATTGGGTTTGACCAACTCTATCAGCCTTGATGAAATCCAAAGGAAAGTCCAAATTGTGGGGAACAAGGCCTCTGAATTGGCTAAATTCCCATAATTGAAAAAGAAAAAAAGGGAAAAAGAAAAAACGGCCAGCAAAAGAAAAAAAAAGGGAAAGATTTTTTATTTAGATTACCTAAAGGGCTTCAGTTACATAACAAGGCCACCTTTTTTTTTTTTTTTTTAACTAACCAAGCCAAACTAAAAAAGCAATGGCATCACCTCACACTGCAGTTTGGTAACTAAGGTTCTGCCCTTTTTTTTTCATCACATCAGCCTGGGTTTTGTTCCTAAATCAAGCCCTTTCTGGTTTGGTATTCGTGTAACTTTTGAAATATCAGCAATGTGTCCTAGCTAAAATATGGAAATGAGATTTAAAAGAATTTTTTTTAGGGAGCTTAATGGTTAAAAGTCAGCTTAATTAAAAGCTAACATCCAAGATGTGTTTGTGTGTATTGTTTGTGTGTGTGTGTGTGTGTGTGTGTGTGTGTGTGTGTCTGTATTTTAAAGGCCTTCATGTTTTGTTTTGTTTTTTTCCCTCCTAGGACCTTGGTTTGTTTGTTTTTATCAAGTTTTTTTTTTCTTCTCAGTGGACTGAATCTGTTTTTTCATTTGTTTCTGCTGTCTCTCCTTTTTCTTGCCACCCTCTGCTGCATGAGGAACCTAAAATAGTTTCTAACAGCCTGTTTCTAACAGGCATTCCTTAAAGAAAACAGAGGAGGTGCCAGACTCTCTTTTGGGGAGAAACCTCTGTTTTTCCTTATGGAATCCCAAGAGCGTAAACAGACAAGTTCATCTCAGGTCTTAAACTCCTTGCTTTTGTATTATGTTACCTGGTTTCTTCTTCTCCTTCTCCTTCTCCTTCTCCCTCCTCCTCCTCCTCCTCCTTCTCCTCCTTCTTCTCCTCTCCTTCTTCTCCTTCTTCTCCTTCTCCCTCTTCTTCTTTTTCACTAAAATAGTTACTATAACAGAGGTTACCCTTGGGAGTTTAAAGTAAGGAAGAGTATGGATTAGACACTTAGGGAAATGTCTTTGTTAAAAAAAAAAAAAAGGAGGATGCACTGTAAAAGCATCATGTGGTCTTAGCCTCATATTAATTCTCTTTTTGGAGACCCAGGATTCAGTGTGGGCTCAGTCCAGAGGAGATCCAGTTTAGAACTACCTATCTAAATAAAATTGGTCTTCTTATACAATCCTATGATAGATTTCTATAATTTTATGTTTGATTTGGCATTTGTTTTTAATTTCCCTCTATTTCCATCAGACTCTTTCTCTCTGTACCTTGAGATGTAAATTTAGCTATCTGATTTTTTCACCTAAGAGTTCCTTTAATGTACAAATTTAGGGCTATCTAGCTGACAACTGCCTAGGGTAATAAAATAGGCTACCAAGAAATTGGAAGTCTAAAATAGAAGGAAAAAAAGGTCTTATGAACCTAAAAGATCTACTTCTGTCTGCATGTCTAATACATCTACGCATTTATGTGTCATATGTTTCATTGCTAAAAATATATAAAAGAGGTCTAATTAATTGGCTTAAAGAAAAAAAGAGTTGCTTTAAATCAAATACCTTATCAGAAAAAATAGAGACTTTAAGTCAAATGCTATTTCAAGTTCATGTAACTTGAATAAATCTTTAGTAAATAAGCTGGTTTTAAAGGCATTCATGAACTAGAAATTAGAAACGGCTCCAGAATCGTCAACATACATTATTGTTTAAATTTAATTTTTTATTTATTTTTCTTCTTTTTTTTTATTATACTTTAAGTTTTAGGGTACATGTGCACAATGTGCAGGTTAGTTACATATGTATACATGTGCCATGCTGGTGTGCTGCACCCATTAACTCATCATTAGCATTAGGTATGTCTCCTAAAGCTATCCCTCCCCCCTCCCCCCACCCCACAACAGTCCCCAGAGTGTGATGTTCCCCTTCCTGTGTCCCATGTGTTCTCACTGTTCAATTCCCACCTATAAGTGAGAATATGCGGTGTTTGGTTTTTTGTTCTTGCGATAGTTTACTGAGAATGATGATTTCCAATTTCATCCATGTCCCTACAAATGACATGAACTCATCATTTTTTATGGCTGCACAGTATTCCATGGTGTATATGTGCCACATTTTCTTAATCCAGTCTATCACTGTTGGACATTTGGGTTGGTTCCAAGTCTTTGCTGTTGTGAATAGTGCCGCAATAAACATACGTGTGCATGTGTCTTTATAGCAGCATGATTTATAGTCCTTTGGATATATACCCAGTAATGGGATGGCTGGGTCGAATGGTATTTCTAGTTCTAGATCCCTGAGGAATCGCCACACTGACTTCCACAAGGGTTGAACTAGTTTACAGTCCCACCAACAGTGTAAAAGTGTTCCTATTTCTCCACATCCTCTCCAGTACCTGTTGTTTCCTGACTTTTTAATGATTGCCATTCTAACTGGTGTGAGATGGTATCTCATTGTGGTTTTGATTTGCGTTTCTCTGATGGCCAGTGATGGTGAGCATTTTTTCATGTGTTTTTTGGCTGCATAAATGTCTTCTTTTGAGAAGTGTCTGTTCATGTCCTTGGCCCACTTTTTGATGGGGTTGTTGGTTTTTTTTTCTTGTAAATTTGTTTGAGTTCATTGTAGATTCTGGATATTAGCCCTTTGTCAGATGAGTAGGTTGCGAAAATTTTCTCCCATTTTGTAGGTTGCCTGTTCACTCTGATGGTAGTTTCTTTTGCTGTGCAGAAGCTCTTTAGTTTAATTAGATCCCATTTGTCAATTTTGGCTTTTGTTGCCATTGCTTTTGGTGTTTTAGACATGAAGTCCTTGCCCATACCTATGTCCTGAATGGTAATGCCTAGGTTTTCTTCTAGAGTTTTTATGGTTTTAGGTCTAATGTTTAAGTCTTTAATCCATCTTGAATTAATTTTTGTATAAGGTGTAAGGAAGGGATCCAGTTTCAGCTTTCTACATATGGCTAGCCAGTTTTCCAGGCACCATTTATTACATAGGGAATCCTTTCCCCATTGCTTGTTTTTCTCAGGTTTGTCAAAGATCAGATAGTTGTAGATATGCGGCGTTATTTCTGAGGGCTCTGTTCTGTTCCATTGATGTATCTCTGTTTTGGTACCAGTACCATGCTGTTTTGGTTACTGTAGCCTTATAGTATAGTTTGAAGTCAGGTAGCGTGATGCCTCCAGCTTTGTTCTTTTGGCTTAGGATTGACTTGGGGATGCGGGCTCTTTTTTGGTTCCATATGAACTTTAAAGTAGTTTTTTCCAATTCTGTGAAGAAAGTCATTGGTAGCTTGATGGGGATGGCACTGAATCTATAAATTACCTTGGGCAGTATGGCCATTTTCATGATATTGATTCTTCCTACCCATGAGCATGGAATGTTCTTCCATTTCTTTGTATTCTCTTTTATTTCCTTGAGCAGTGGTTTGTAGTTCTCCTTGAAGAGGTCCTTCACGTCCCTTGTAAGTTGGATTCCTAGGTATTTTATTCTCTTTGAAGTAATTGTGAATGGGAGTTCACTCATGATTTGGCTCTCTGTTTGTCTGTTATTGGTGTATAAGAATGCTTGTGATTTTTGTACATTGATTTTGTATTCTGAGACTTTGCTGAAGTTGCTTATCAGCTTAAGGAGATTTTGGGCTGAGACGATGGGGTTTTCTAGATATACAATCATGTCATCTGCAAACAGGGTCAATTTGACTTCCTCTTTTCCTAATTGAATACCCTTTATTTCCTTCTCCTGCCTAATTGCCCTGGCCAGAACTTCCAACACTATGTTGAATAGGAGTGGTGACAGAGGGCATCCCTGTCTTGTGCCAGTTTTCAAAGGGAATGCTTCCAGTTTTTGCCCATTCAGTATGATATTGGCTGTGGGTTTGTCATAGATAGCTCTTATTATTTTGAGATATGTCCCATCAATACCTAATTTATTGAGAGTTTTTAGCATGAAGGGTTGTTGAATTTTGTCAAAGGTCTTTTCTGCATCTATTGAGATAATCATGTGGTTTTTGTCTTTGGTTCTGTTTATATGCTGGATTACATTTATTGATTTGCGTATATTGAACCAGCCTTGCATCCCAGGGATGAGGCCCACTTGATCATGGTGGATAAGCTTTTTGATGTGCTGCTGGATTCAGTTTGCCAGTATTTTATTGAGGATTTTTGCATCAATGTTCATCAAGGATATTGGTCTAAAATTCTCTTTTTTGGTTGTGTCTCTGCCCGGCTTTGGTATCAGGATGATGCTGGCCTCATAAAATGAGTTAGGGAGGATTCCCTCTTTTTCTATTGATTGGAATAGTTTCAGAAGGAATGGTACCAGTTCCTCCTTGTACCTCTGATAGAATTCGGCTGTGAATCCATCTGGTCCCGGACTCTTTTTGGTTGGTAAGCTATTGATTACTGCCACAATTTCAGAGCCTGTTATTGGTCTATTCAGAGATTCAACTTCTTCCTGGTTTAGTCTTGGGAGGGTGTATGTGTCGAGGAATTTATCCATTTCTTCTAGATTTTCTAGTTTATTTGTGTAGAGGTGTTTGTAGTATTCTCTGATGGTAGTTTGCATTTCTGTGGGATCAGTGGTGATATCCCCTTTATCATTTTTTATTGTGTCTATTTGATTCTTCTCTCTTTTCTTCTTTGTTAGTCTTGCTAGTGGTCTATCAATTTGTTGATCCTTTCAAAAAACCAGCTCCTGGGTTCACTAATTTTTTGAAGGGTTTTTTGTGTCTCTATTTCCTTCAGTTCTGCTCTGATTTTAGTTATTTCTTGCCTTCTGCTAGCTTTTGAATATGTTTGCTCTTGCTTCTCTAGTTCTTTTAATTGTGATGTTAGGGTGTCAATTTTGGATCTTTCCTGCTTTCTCTTGTGGACATTTAGTGCTATAAATTTCCCTCTACACACTGCTTTGAATGTGTCCCAGAGATTCTGGTATGTTGTGTCGAAATTTATTGGTAAAATGATTTCATATTTATCTCTGCTAGATGTCAAAATTTGGCATGAGGGTTATAAAGCTATGAATGCAGCCCAAAGGAAAATTATCTTTGCTTGTGCAAAATTTGATAAATAAGGTATTTAATATTGTTCAGTTAATGGAAACAGCTAAACTCTGAGTTATTGGCAAAAAGGAAGGAAGGGAAAAAGGGAGGAAGGGAGGGAGGGAGGGAGGGAGGGAGGAAGGAAGGAAGGAAGGAAGGAAGGAAGGAAGGAAGGAAAGAAAATATTTATCTAACTGTAAGGTTCTTACTTAGGAAAACCTGAAATTCACAGACTATAAAAATGATTAACTGGGAAATAACATTAAATGATAACTATCACAGTTTTCATAAGTAATCTGGGTAAAATATTAAAAAATTAATTAGATAAATGTGATGAATAAATCCTTGTAAATAAACTTGTCATATAAGTTAGAATCTAAAGTTATATTAAGTTAAATAATGGATACTCATTAAATGTCTGGGTCATTTCCAATTTTTTAAAAATATATATTATAGGAAAATATTTTTTCTAAAAAAGAAATGTGTTCTTATTTAAAGGAAAATAATTTTTGTCTAATTCAAAAGTTATTTAAAAGTTATTTATGAAATAAGGTAAAAGTAACCAGTAAATAAAAGCAAGGTAAAGGAAGTTATAAATATAACAGGTATTTTTAGCAAGAAAGGTTAAAAGGAAAATAATTTTATATGAGAAATAATTTTATATGGTAGATTTCTGCCTTAGAATAAAATGACTGGTTGTTTAAGAAAAAGGGATGTTCAGGACAAACCAGAAAGTCCAAGCATGTCATGAATGGTCTGTGTAAGTCATAACAAGAGGATTTAAGGAAAAAACTTATATATGATCAAGTTGTCTATAATTAAAGGGAAATTATTTATAATGGTCTTTCTAGAGATTGGGTTTTTTTTTTTAAAAAGACACTTATATACTAAAGAATTCGGTAGAACAATGAAATTTTCTTAAGGTATTGATTTACTTTTAATAAAATTACAAGAGATTTTTATTTTTTTAACCCAAAGTTTAAACTTTTATTGCATCTCACTGTTTTCAGCTTTCTCTCCTCATTTTAAAGGCTTAAAATGATAACTCTATCCTTCAACTAATTTTTAGCTCCCATAAGTTTTATTTGTTTGGGTTCCAACTGTTTGTTGTGGCCTGATGCTAAAAATGTTTTATCTTAAAGGAAATGCTTCCTTCCAACCTAATATTCTGTGCTCTTGGCTTTAAATTGTTTTACAAATCAGAAAATTTTCACTATGACTCAGGAAACACTTCCTATGTCTAACTAATTCAAGTACCCTTTTCATTAGTTTTGACTTGAAGGTTATGACTTATCCTCAGTTTTTTATTGGCATCAAGGTTTTTAACAAAAGTCATATACTATTCTACCTTTAGCCAAAGTTCTTGAGATAACCAAGGAAGACACATTTTATGTGTGTGTGTGTGTTCTCTGTCACAATCAGTCAATTTCTTCTTCATCAGATTGCAAAAATAGATACTATAATAAAGAACTTCCCAGGCCAGGTGCAGTGGCTCACGCATGTAATCCCAGCACTTTGGGAGGCCAATGGGGGTGGATCACCTGAGGTCAGGAGTTCAAGACTAGCCTGACCATATGGTGAAACCCTGTCTCTACTAAAATACAAAAAATTGGCCAGCTGTGGTGGCAGGCACCTTGTAATCCCAGCTACTTGGGTGCTGAGATAGGAGGACTGCTTGAACACAGGAGGCAGAGGCTGCAGTGAGCCAAGATTGCGCCACTGCACTCCAACCTCGGCAACACAGAGAGTCTCCAAAAAAAAAAAAAAAAAAAAAAAAAAGAACTTCCCTACCAGAATTGCCTTCCAATTCCAGAAAGCCATGTTTGTAGACTCTGTCTCCCCTGGGTGACCTTGAAACACCCATGCAACCCAGTCCTTGTGTGCCTGTAGTTAGAATCCACACACTTGAACAGGTAGGCTAACTCGTTATTAACTTATTTTCCTTCTAAAAAATGGCAGCAGTTAGACTGGCCTCTAAATCAAAACTAAAGTCATATAAATTGCTAAATGTTCTAGCCAACAATGACCCTAATGACCTAGAAGCTTCAGATGAATTCTGCCACTTCAACTGTCCAAATATATTCTAGTGCTACTAGGTAAAAAAGAGTCAAGCATTCTATGTTAAGAATGTCTGGTGGGGAAAAAGAAAGTATTAAGATTCAAAGGCTACACAGAAATAATATTGTACTATATTTAAGATTTATGTGAGATTTATTTGGCAACATGGATAGGACCATCTTCACTGACCTAGCTGCCATGGTAGAATGGTAAAATGCCTTCTTCCCCACCCAACAAACACACATGCTCAGAATTAAGACATTCCAGTCTGGAGCTGAAGGCTGGCTGCCTCCATCCTCAACCACTAATTGTATATTCTCCACACTGATCCCTCCCTTCTCCTGACCATTCACTCCTTATGATTTGTATGGACTTTCTCCCCATTAAACCCAAAAGTTTAAGGGCAAGCCTGTCTTATTCAACTTCACATCTTTGTAGTATTTACCTTCAAGGCTCGACAGCTGTTAGTAGTCAATGTATTTTCACATTGCTTGTGATTTTCATCACCAGCAAATGTTGCCAGTGGGCCTCCAGTCATTGAAGGCTAAGTGCCCCAGCAATGCTAATTATCATTATTGAAAACATTGAGTGACCTTTACGTGCAAAGCACGAGGAGGGCTACAAACATGTTCAAAACAGTTCTTGCCCTCAAGAGGCTTCTATGGGCCAGAAGCAAATCTGCTAGATCCAAGCTCTTTGAAGCCTGATCCTCTTCAAGGTGTTAGTGGAATCAGGTGGTGAAAGTCAACGTGGGTAAGCTGACCAGTCAGCCATTCAGCAAATACTCATGACCATTTAAACTTACATTTAAAAAATAATCTACTTGATAGTACCAGTGAGTTAAGATGTAAGAGTGCATGAAGGGAACAGCCAGGTATCATAAGATTTTAGGTGAACCAAGAAATGTAGACTTATACAGGCCAATTAAGTGAAACCTTTCAGAAGACATGCTGATGCTCCACCCAGAGCAACGTGGCTCAGTGTTGGACTGAAAAACAACTCCAGCTTTGACACAGTTTGGGAAGAAGAGGGATGGATTGAGTTCTTTCTTCAGAAATTTGATAAAGTGATCAGGCAAAGAGGACTGAGAATTGAAGCATGTGGCTTTGATCCTCCACTTCTTTTAGGGCTACGCCAAAGAGATGGGGATGCCTGCTTTTAAACAAGACTAAGTATGGCCTTGATAAGACAATTACCTGGCTCTGCCATGGCTTGGGCTAACACGTTTCCATAAGCTAGGTGTACAGGATTCCAAAGAGGCTACTGTAAGGAAAAACAAAACCATAATAATGAAAAGTCAGCAGACTAGAAATGAAATTGTTGAAGTTAGTTCACTACTAGTGAATGGGAATTCACATAAAAATGAGCTAAAAGAACTAAACAGGCAGAGTTCTTCCTAGAATAAATCAAGGTCAGTGTTGAGGTCACTGGCAAGGAAGTCTGGAGTGGCTTGGACTGAAGCTACTTGTGTTTGGGGAAAAAAGACTTGTTTTCATTGCTCTAGTCATAAGCATAAATAGTGACTCCAAAAGCTTGAAAACTTGAAGACAGCACAATAGCCTCTTAGTATGTCATTATATATTTTTTAAAAGAACAAAGGGGCAAGTTAGGGCCACAGCCTACTATGAAGCTTTAATACTTGCCTTTCCCTTGTGAGTTTAGGCAAGGTCTCTTATAGACACACACAAAATTTTGTCATTAGACATGGCTGTTCATTTGCTATTTCTAACGAATTTTTTTCCTCATTTTATGGCTGGCTTCATTGGAGAAAAATATTAACTAAGCTTCACAGAGAAAATATGGTGAACCTTTTCAGAGAAACAAAATTTTGAGAAAAAAGAAATTGTTAGTGCCCACTTCAGGAATCATCTGACCCTCTTCAAGGTGTTAGTGGAATCAGGCGGCGAATGAAAGTCAACACAGGCAAGCTGACCAGTCATTCAGCAAATACTCATGACTGTTTAAACTTACATTTTTTTTTTCTAACTCACTTGATAGTACTAGTGATTATATAGTAACCATTGCCATGGTTAAAACTCAATTCTCCAAACATTGCCTGGCCTTTTTGCTACTTCTGTTATTGATATAAACTAGTCAGAAAATTTTAATCCATAGTATTTTCTTTGTTCTTATCTGAGATGGGGTGGGGAATTGGAAAAAGAGAATTTGAGAACAATATAAATAAATATCCTTTACTTATTTGAGGAATGCTTTAAAGAGTTAAGCAATTTTATTAATTTTAGAAGTGTGAATTAGGGAAAACGTGGCCATCTCACAAAATATATTTTTGGATTGGAAATAACCATTATTAAAAATTACCAGTGTATAAATACTTATTTTTAAGCGGTCTCAAGTTGTTATAGTAAATAAAGCTCTAAGCAGCTTCATTTAAAAAAATCTATAGTAGTACAGAATAGTAGTATATGCTAATTTACAAGAGGGCAAAAAAATTGAGACAGAAAAAACCATCATTATTAGGCTAAAAGAAAGTTAGTGTTTTGTTTTTGAATTTAACTTCCCTTGAACTTTCAAATAGCTATTTAGAAAGCATCAATTTGGGGCCGGGAACAGTGGCTCATACCTGTAATCCAGCACTTTGGGAGGCTGAGGCGAGAGGATCACTTGAGCCCAGCCTGGGCAACATGGCGAAACCTGTCTCTACAAAAAATACAAAAATTAGTTGGGCATGGTGGCACATACCTGTAGTAAATATAGCAATTTTTTCGAAAAGCTTCAATTTGGAAATGAGCCGAGGAGAAAAAACAAGAGAAAAAGGTCCAGTTTAGTGAATGCATGTTTTCCTATATGGAATCTTTTTACATAGTCATATCCTAAACTATTTTTGCCTCTTCACTTGTCCTGTACTCTTTATTGACAAACTGCTCAACTTTATGCTTACTTGAATTTCTGTTTCCAAATACAAATCAATTTATCTCCCATGCTAGAGGAGAAATTGTAGTATCTGTAGGAGTAGAGCAAGTGGTGTCACTCTCTATACAAAAAAAAGCCTCTGATTGCAACCCTGGTGCAAGAGGAAAGATTTAGTGGGTCCTGCTGCCTTTCTGGACCAAATATCCTTTTTTTTTTTTAATGTTATTATGAAAAACATTTTTAAAAAGAAAAAGACTAGTACTATGGAACCCCACATATCCACCCACTTATTTCAACAATTGCTAACATTTTGCCATATTTACTTTGACATCTTTCTCTCCTTTTTCTCTTCCAGCTTTCTCTCCATATATGTGAATACATATGAATGTATGTATTTTTGCTGAGCCATTTAAAGGTAAACTGCATACATCATGCCACTTTGGCTTTAAGTAGTTTAGGCATGCATTCCTAATAAAGCTGTTCCCCTATATTACCACAATATAATATCATACCTAAAAAAACATAAGTTCCTAGCAGTGTCAAATACACACTCAAGTGACTCAGTTTTTCCTTCAAATGTCTTATATAGCTACTTTTTTTGAATTATGATCTCAAATCTTTTGTTTTCTAACAGTATTACTAATTTTTTTTTTCTTTTGTGATGGACTTTTTGAAGAAACCAAGCCAATTATGTTGTAGAATGTCTCAGATTCTGGATTTGTCCAATTGATTCTTCTTGGTAACATTTAAATTGTTCCTTAACCCCCTGTATCTTCTGTACACTGGAATTTAAGGTAAAATACTTGATTAGCTGCAGATTGAACAATTCCAGCAGAAATACGTGATACTGTATAATTTATATCTCATTATATCCAAGGCACAATGATTACTATTCATGATTCTAAATTTGATCACAATTTAGGTTGTAAGCACAAATCTCTTCTTATTAATGGTACTTTTTCCCATTTCAAATTGAGCCATTTGTAGGGTAATACTTTGGTATTATGGAAATAGTCTGTTTTCCATTAATCTCTCACCTAATGATATTAGCATCCATTGGCCATCCCTGTGTAAATCAATTATTTCAGTCATGGTTTCAACATGGTGATTTCTCTAATTCTGCCATTCTTTCTACTACAGAAAGAATGGCCATTACAGAAGAACGGCTATTTAAAAAACTGGCCACTCTTCTGTAAACATCCTACTGTCTTAGGTAACATCCTGACATTAATTTAGAGTAAGTTATAAGTGTACTGCCTCTTTGTAACTCATTCAAATGAAATTGCAGTGCAAGCACTGAATATTTTTCTGCATTTGAATTTTGGATCAAAAAAACAAATTTTTATACATGGCTCCTTTGAATTAAGAACTATACAAGGAAGCCTGGCACAGTGGCTCACGCCTGTAATCCCAGCATTTTGGGAAGCCGATGCGGGAGGAATTACGTATATTGAAGGAGTCTGAGGCCAGCCTGACACACATGGCGAAATCCTGTCTCTACTAAACGCACAAAACTTAGCTGGGCCTGAGCAACAGAGTGAGACTCTGTCTCAAAAAAGAAAACTATGCAAGGAGTTGGGGATACAGGGTGAATAAGACAGCCTACCCCGTGCTTTTCTTAAGAGCTGAATGTCTAGTCATAATAAGTATATATTCCTCAAAGGAAAGAATAATTATCTGCCTAAAGCCTTAGGCAGTTTTTATAAAAAGCTTCCTAACATAGAATCAGAAATCATTTAGGAGGAGAATAACAGTAAAGTAGCATATATAAATAATTTATCTTGAGTACTTTATTATTCTAAGGCTTCATAATTTAAAAACTTTTCAGGAAGGCTGGCAAGATTAAAGTTACCTTTCCTCTCACTACTCTATAATGCTTTACACTCATTTGAAAAAAAAAAAAGTTTTTACAGAGTTTGCTTTTAGTAGAATGTCAATAATCAAAGCTTCAAGATGTAGTGAGAGGTATATGGCTATGGTTCTTCTTCCTATGTGCCCTATACCAGCTAGATGTACATTTCACCTGTAAGTTATTTATATGAACATATACACCTGTACCAAAGGCAAAGTGATATGAAAGTCTAAGTCATAGAAAGTTACTTTTAAAATCGACAAAATGGTATCCTGTTCCTCTTACATCTTCCTTATGAATCAACAATTCATGCAATCTTTGACAGAGTTTATGGCAAAGCCTAGCTTGGACCCAAACAAAACTGTGATTTTGGTTCTTGTGGAACAGTTTCCGTTGTTTAAAAAACCCAGAATTCTCAGTTCTGATAGCATACTAATCAATTAACTGCACAAGAGTAGAGTTATGGTGCTCAGACTGGACCTAATTCCCTCATATTTCTAGTCTCCTTTTTCCCTACCAGAGCTGATACCAGACTAACAGTCCTCACTTAACATACATAAACTACTAAGAGTCAAACTTTATTTCATGAAAACAAAGCTGAACTTTGTCGTTTCCTGTACATTACGATGACCACTTGGCAATTTATTATAAAGGCCCATTTATGCGCAAAATCTGTTGAACAGGAAACCTTCAAGTGGGAACATAGAACTGAATTTAATGAAAGTCCTCAAAAAAATTGTTTGCATTGTCCTATTTTAATAGGTCCTGCTATACTGTAAAAATAGTAAAGGAACTGTGACCTTGGGAAAGCTTTGAAATAATGCAAAATACAGCTGGTCTTCTGATCAGAAAATAGCCTACTTACAACTGGATAGTCTTAGCTAATGTAAAAATTTGTAGTCTTAAAGGGGAATTAGATTTTTGAAAATACCTAAATTTGGTTAAAATTGTGATTAGGGCTGGGTGTGGTGGCTCACACCTGTAACGTAATCCCAGCACTTTGGGAGGTGGAGGCAGGCAGATCACCTGAGGTCAGGAGTTCGAGACCAGCCTGACCCACATGGAGAAACTCTGTCTCTAACTAAAAATATAAAATAAGCCAGGCGTGGTGGCGCATGCCTGTAATCCCAGTTACTTGGGAGGCTGAGAGGCAGAAGCATCGCTTGAACCCAGGAGGCGGAGGTTGCAGTGAGCCAAGATCGCGCCATTGCACCGCAGCCTGGGCAACGAGTGAAACTCCGTCTCAAAAAAAATAAATAAATAAATAAATGAGTGATCAAAGATTTCAGCTAGTTTCAACTCTCCCAGGCAAACTGAAAGGTTAAAAAAGAAAAGAGCTACTGGCAAAGGATATTTAGGACTATTGCAAATAGGTATTTAAGTAGTACTTTACGAAATTAGCATAAATTATACTTGAATGACTAGCAACTCAGATAATTTACTTTTATTTTTCAAAACTACAGTCATCTCCAGTGAAAACTAAAGAATGGGCACATTTTGAGGTAGCTACATTATTCTTTCAATTAACAGTTCCATGATTAGAAGAAATTTATCTTTAGTTTTTTCAATATACATAATTTTACTTTATGTAACACTTTTCAAGCTCACCTGATTTCTTTTGCAGAATACTGCAAGTTAAAGGTCAGTGGATAGAAAGGCAAGCATCTTGCATACTTTGCAATCTACCTAGTATGAAGCCATTTGCGGGGAGATGGATTTTTTCCCCAATGGGAAGATATTTAATACACATTAAACTTAACTTTAGAAGAAACTTGACACTTTTGACACATTGATTTAATTATGCGGTTGAAATGGCAGGATTTAAAGGGGAATTGAAGTATATAGTTGCAAATACTCATCCAGCATTACATTTGGAGATGGGGGTTGGCTAAGTCAGTTTAACATATTTTGAAGCCTTGATAGTTTCATCTGTTAAAAAAAAAGTGTGTTACATAATCTCTAAGGAACATTCTAGTTTCACACTCTATAGGATAAGCTTCAGTAACATTATCAGTGTGTTTTGAATATGGAAAAGATGCTTCTTAAAGCCTAGATTTCAGCTAAATTGCTTTTGCAAACCCAGATAGTTCCTGGACCCTAAGATTTGGAAGCTTTGGGATGAAAAGTTTAATTTCACAGACCAGTTCCTCAGTGCATTATTTTTTCTAGAATAACAACTTCTATTTTAATGACAGAAAAGCCAGCCATTTTCATCCATTCCCTGCTCTCACACCCAGCATCCCCAAACTCTCCAGTTGGTGATTGTTCAGCCTTTATCTTCCTGTTTTTCTCTTTCATTATTTCATTTTATATATACAGCACTGGCTTAAAAAATATACTAAACAGGTACATGTGTATGCTCTTAGAGGTGTAAATTGGCACAGTCTTTCTTGAAAGCAAACAGGCAATATATTACAAAGTTTTAGAAGTATGTATATACTTTTGAGGGCCCATTTTCACTTCTAGGACTATAACCTAAGGGAGTAAGTAAGTAAAAGTGCAAAGATGTAAATGTATATTAAAGGATATTCAAAATAGAGCTTGTATATTAAAATCCAAAACTAAAATATCCAACTTCAGAGGTGTTGAGTGGTTCCATGCAGTATTTATTCACTTGGGAAGGTACTTATCTTCTATTACTTGAAATTTTCTTCTAATTCTTTTCTATAATGAACATAAATTACATTCCTAACAAAGTAAATGTACCATTGGCTAAATATATTGATTTACTTTTTTCTTTTGGTCATGTGCCCACTATCAGAATCATGGATATTTTAAATTTATTCTGAAAAAAATTAATCCATGAAACTATTTAGCTCCTTAGCTACAGTAACTGTTATTGAAATGTGGTTAAGAATGGACATGTTCAGCTCTCAAAAGAGATTCACATTGAAAAAAAATAGCTTACTGAGCTAAAACAATTATAAGTGACAGAAGTACCTTTTTTTTTAAGGTTCAGAAAACGCAAATTATGTGTCTTCAGAATTTCCAAATAGTTACTTCTTAAACTATGAAGGTCCAGAGAAACGATTTACTGCAGCAAACACGTTTAATAAGAATACAAAATTCACACTAGAGGCACATTCTGGGGAATGTAAATGAACTATCACAAGTAGTAATTCTGCTGGAAGAATAAAATAAGGCTCTCTGAGTACAAATATACAGGAAGGAATGATTTAAAATAGGTATGATTTACAATCACATTACATTGTATTAAGCACTCAAAACAGGCATATTAATTAAAAAGCCAGCTAAAAGGCATTTGAACATATATAACAAATCTTACAGTCCACAAAGTTCATGTATAACGGTAATTTTAAGTACTTCATTTCAACACAGAAGAAATGAACAGGTGAGGGATGCCTCTCAAAATATTAATTTATGTCTATGACAAAAACTAAAAGAGCTTTACATTGAAAATGGATTACACTACTGATAGAACCATGTAGTGGACAGGGCAACCACATTAAAACAAAACCAACAGTGCCGAGCAACTAAAACAGTACTGGCCTTTCCAATCCTCTTTCTTCCTGGTACCACCACACTGTCCCAAATTACCTCTTCATTACCCAAATCAAAGAATCTTTCTGTTTTCCCAATCCTCAAAAGGAATGAAGAAAAACCAAAGAGCAAACTCAAAAGATGATTTTTACCATAAACCTCAAATGTGGCTTAACAAGTACAAAGAAACCCAACATTCATACATAGTGCTCCATTCCATGGAAGGAATAGACACATCAAACATTATCCAACAGGGGTTTCTTTATGGATTTTGTACATTGGTTGAACAAGAATTACTGTATCTGAGAAGGCACATATCTGTGATTTAAGGCTTAAACGGTATTGTTACATATGGAAGTCAATAAAAGCTGTCTATGTATTCACTTCTATCAAAATGGAACTGACCCAAAAACTAGTTTTCTAAGTACAGATTTCTACTCCAGAAACCATTAAGAATTTCCATTCCCACGTCCACCTGTCAAAAAAAAAAATTCTCTTAAGCAGGTTTTGTTATGAACCAAAAGAAATTGCAAATGTAACTGTCCAATGACTTCGGGTGAAGCAAATTCATAAGCTTAAAAGCCTCACAGAAATGACAGTGTGATTTCTGTGTCTTTAAAAAAAAGTCTAAATAAAATTACAGTGGTACAGATTCATTTTTAAAAAGGTATTTGCCACAACTCCACAAGCTAATCATTCATTAGAGCTGCTGCCTCTGTGTGGACGCTGCAGGAACACCATATAACTTTACTCTGCAAAATAGTTTCTTTTTTCTTTAATACATGAAAATGAATCTCTTAAAGATGTTTAATATATTCACATATAAAATATCTGATGTTGATACAAATCATGTAAACCTCCCTTTGGAAAAGTTACAATCGGCCCTCATTTCCAGGACCAAAAACCTTGAATTTTTATCTTGTCAGTGCAAATCTCTATTAGATGTTTTCAAACTACAGAAATAGCCATCAACCCTCACAATACAAAAGGATTTCTCAAAAAGGAAAATTATTGTGTTCAGATTATAGAAACTATGTTTACATTAAAACCACCCTTAACAGTTCAATTGTTAAAGTATGAAAAAGGGAAAAATTAAAGCTGTTTGTGCAAGAATCACTATAATGCTTGTCACCCCTCCCACTTCCCCCAACTCTGCTTAATTCTTGTTAGGTTGGTTTAGAAATATAACAACGCGACTTTCTTTTTATTTTCCGCTGTGATTTTACTGTTCTTCAAGCCAAGATGGGGCATCCACTCCAGGGGTTTTCAATTTGATATGGAACTGTTTAAGTGTCTGTTCAAGCTGCTTCTGATTCCCAGCAAAGTAAGCGGCAATGGCATTGTGGAAAAGGACCAGCTGATTGTGCAATACTTTAACCTGTGGACAGGGCAGAGTTACAAGACCAAGCATTAACACCAATAACAATAAAATAGAGAGTGATTTATTACATTCCTTAATTAAATAGTGTATCTCTCTTGAAGAAAAGCTGGCTTAATAATGACCAAGTATTTCACACATACCAAGTGTACACTGCCTTGCAGGGTCACTGAACCTTTGATGACTTTTTAATTACCCTAAAGAGAATAGGTCAGTTTTAAGATGCCCAAATATATACCCTATTAACCATTTTCAAACATTATTGAGAGGATTAATTAAAAATATCATTAAATCCTCCTCAAACTAAGTACATTCAAAATCATGTGAGATATCAAAAAGGGAAAATTATATATAATTGCTACACAATGTATGAATAGTAAATATGGACATCATTAAATCTAAGCTTTATGTAAGCCAAGTAGGCTGGATACTTTTAAATATTGACTTTCTTTGTAAAGAATCAAGCAAGTAGCAAGTGTTGCTCAGAAAATCAATTTACTTAACGCTCATATGACTCTCAATTATTTTCAACTGCTTATTACTTCTGCTGATATCAAGAGTATATTTTAACCAAGTCATACTACCTCTATAAGTCTTTCTTAAAGAAATAAACAATGCATCAAAAAGATTTATAAACTGTTTCCTGAGGTTGTTTTTCTTTTGTTTTGTTTTGTTTTTTGAGACAGAGTCTTGCTCTGTCACCCAGGCTGTTATGCAGTGGCACAATCTTGGCTCACTGCAACCTCTGCCTCCAGGGTTCAAGTGATTCTCATGTCTTGGCCTCCCGAGTAGCTGGGATTACAAGTGTGCACCACCATGCCCAGCTAATTTTTGTATTTTTGGTAGAGATGGGGTTTCACCATGTTGGCCAGGCTGGTCTCAAACTCCTGACCTCAGGTGATCTGCCTGCCTCAGCCTCCCAAAGTGCTGGGATTACAGGCGTAAGCCACCAAGCCCGGACATCTGAGGTCTTATTTACAACTGCAAAATGTTAAATAAGAATTCTGATTCCCATCCAATATGACATTCATTAAAATTGAACTTTAATAATAAATGATGTAAAAATATTTGAAACACGATGCTAAATGAAAAAACAGGATAGAAAATTTGTTTCACTATATTACACACACACACACACACACACACACACACACACACACACACACACACACTTCTCTCTAGCCATTTCTGAAAATGATTTCCAAAACTGAGCTGGTCTCGGTCACCTCTGCCATTGTGACTGAGTCTCAGATCTCTTCTGTAGAACAGGTTGTCAGGGACAGGTCTAGGGAGCGCTTCAAGGGCAATCTGCCCTGACAGAGGGTAGAAAAATCACTGTATGATGTTATATGTGAAAGAATTTCTTAAGTAAGGCTTATAAAACCCATAAATTATAAAGAAAAAGATTGATAATTAAACTGCATTAAAATTTAGAATTTCTTTTCTTTTTTTTTGAGATGGAGTTTTGCTTCTGTTGCCAGGCTGGAGTGCAGTGGCGCCATCTCAGCTCACTGCAACCTCTGCCTCCCGGGTTCAAGCGATTCCCCTGCCTCTGCCTCCCAAGTAGCTGGGATTACAGGCACGCACCACCACGCCTGGATAATTTTTTGTATTTTAGTAGAGACGGGGTTTCACCATGTTGGCCAAGACCGTCTCGTGATCTGCCCGCCTTGGCCTCCCAAAGTACTGGGATTACAGGCGTGAGTCACCGTGCCCGGCCTAATATTCATCAAAAGATAGTGAAAAGATAAGCTACATTCATGAAAATATAGTGAAAAGATAAGCTACATACTGGGAAAAGGTATCTGCTTTATATGTAACTGGCAAAGAATGTGTATCTGGAATATATGAAGAACTCCCAGAAACCAAAAACAGCCCAATTAAAAAAGAGCAAATAACACAGATAAACATTTCACAGAGGAGGAAACAGGAATGGCTAATTACAACTGAGAAGATATCTAGTCTCATTAGGAAATAGGAAAACTCAAATTAAAACTAACATGTGACACCACTTTATACCCTCCACATTAAGAAAACTAAATATTATAACAACTATATACTATTGACGGGTGTATAAATATGTACAATTGTTTTTGAAAACAATCTGGCACGAACTAGTAAAATGAAAGATATAAATGCCCTATGGAACTGTAATTTTACCGCTAAGAATCTGCCATAGAAAAACTTGCATGTGTGTTTCATGAAACATGTACAATTATGTTCATGGCAGCACTGTTTTTAGCATTAAAAAAGCAAGAAAACCACCACAAAGTTGTATATACAGGAGAACAGATAGAGTGGTCTCTCAACGCAATGGGGATACTATATAGGAGTAAACATAAATGAACTGTAGCTACATGCATCACTATGGATGAAACTCAGGAGTATCAGGTCAAGCAAAACAACTTGCAGAATGCCTGTGGTAGGATTCCACTTACATAGAGTTCAAACTGAATGATATATTCATATGTGAATGATATATTCATATGTGGCAAAACTATAAAGAAAACCAATAGGAACAATAAACAAATTCAGAATAGGTTTATAGAGGGAGGACAGTAGAGAGGATAAAGTAAGGGTAAAGCACAAAGGATGTTTCAAAAGTATTAATAATATTTGTTTCTTAACTTGGGTGGTGGGAACATGGCTGCTTTTTTTGTTATTTTTGTTACTCTTTATATTTTGTCTGTATGTTAAACATTCTTTTATTAAAAAAGAGAAAAAGATTATGAGAGCTGAAGTCTGTCTACATCAACTTTGTTGAAGACTTGCACTGTTCACAATGTTCCCATTTTATATTCAGAGGGAAAAAACCACCTAAAATGTTACTTACCTCCATTCATATAATAAATATTACACAGGGTCATACTGTTATGTGTCAGGCACTTCTCTAGGGGTTGGGAATGCAAGCAATCAACAAAAAAGGCAAACATCTCTTCTCAAAAGAAGTTTATGTTCTATTGAGGGAAGAAAGAGAAACATCTAACATATATAGTATGTTAGATGGTGATACATGTTACAGAGAAAAATAAAGCAGCAATGTGGAATGTGAGATGTATGTCTGGGTGAGAGTTGCAATTAAATAGGAAGGGCTCATTGAGGTAACAGTTGAATACAGATTTAAGGAAGTGAGAGAATAAACTTTTAAGTTATCTGGAAGAAAAACATTCCACACAGAGGAAATAGCAAGTTCAAACGGCCTGAGGTAGGCAGTGTGCTTGGTATGTTTGAGAAGCACCAACAAGGCCTCTATGACTGCAGCAGAGTGAATAAGGGCCTGGTATATGCGGTAAGACAGGTAATGGGTTGCTAGATGGTGCAGGCCCTTAGATATCATTAAAAAGATCTGGCTCCTTGTCTGAATGAGATGAAAAGCTACTGGTAGGTTCTAAGCAGAAAAATGACAACACTTAATTTAATAAACATGCAAAGGTAGAAGTAGAGAGAGACCTATTAGAATATTACAGCAATAACCTGGGTGAGGTAATGGTGGCTTGGACTACAGTGGTAAAAGAGGAGATCGTGAGAAGAGGTGGGATTCTGAATATAATGTGAAGATGAAGCCAATGGAATCTGACAACAGATCAAGATGGGAGGTGACAGAGAAAGAGAACACTCAAAGATGTGCTAAGAGTTTTGCTCCAAGCAACTGAAAGAATGAAGTTGCATTTACCGAAATGGCAAAGACTGTGAGAGGGGCAGGCATGGAAGAGGAGAAAAGGTGGATATTAACAGCTTAGTTTTGGACATGCTTGAGATATCTCTTAAAATAGCAGTTTGGGCTAGAGTTGTAATTTGGGAGTCATTAATATACAGATGATATTTAAAGCCACATGACTAGATAAGCGCCTAAGAGAGTGGACAGAGAAGTGATTCAAGGATTAAGTCATGAAAAATGAACCTTGACCCTTGTATCTCAAATTACATACAAAATTTAATTTGAAATGGATCATGGGCCCAAGTGTCAGGGCTAAAGCTACAAAAACTTATAGAAAAAAACATAAGAGAAAATCTTAATGATCTTTGGTTTGGCAAAGAGTTTTAAACAATATACACAAAGCATAAATTATAAATGAAAAACATCAATAAATTGGACTTCAAAAATATTTCTCTCTTCAAAAGACACAAAAGTGAAAAAGCCATATATTTGGAAAAAATACTTGCAAAACAGGTATCAAAGAACTTGATTCTAGAATACATAAAGAATTCTTGGCCAGGCACGGTGGCCCATGCCTGTAATCCCAGAACTTTGGGAGGCTGAGGTGGGTGGATCACCTGAGGTCAGGAGTTGAAGACCAGCCTGGCCAACATGATGAAATCCTGTCTCTACTAAAAATATAAAAATTAGCCAGGCATGGTAGCAGGCACCTGTAATCCCAGCTACTTGGGAGGCTGAGGCAGGAGAATCGCTTGAACCCGGGAGGTGGAGACTGCGGTGAGCCCGTATCGCGCCACTGCACTCCAGCCTGGACAACAGAGTGAAACTCCATCTCAAAAAAAAAAAAAAAAAAAAAAAAACAATTCTTACAATTCAGTAAGAATAACCTAACCAAAAAGCAGGTAAAAAATTTGAACAGACATTTCATCAAGGAAAACACAGATGGCAAATAAGCACATAAAAAGATGCTCAACATCTTTAGTTATTAGGAAAATCCAAATTAAAACCACTACACATACACTAGAATGGCTAAAATTAAAAAACCTTGACCATACTCCTTACTGACCAGGATGCTGAGCAACTGAAACTATCATACACAGTTGTTGGGAATGCAAAATGGTATAAGCATCTTAGAAAAGTTTGTCAGTTTCTTAAAACCTTACATGCAGCTACTATGTAACACAATTATTCCACTCCTAGGTATTTGCCTAAGAGGAATGAAAGCAACGACTTCTACATGAAAGTTCATAATAGCTGTACTTGTAATAGCTTAAAACTGAAACAACCCAAATGTCCATCAACCATTTGATGCCAGTCAGAATGGCGTATTAAAAAGTCAAGAAACAACAGATGCTGGGAAGGCTGTGGAGAAATAGGAACACTTTTATACTGTTGGTGGGAATGTAAATTAGTTCAACCATTGTGGAAGACAGTGTGGTGATTCCTCAAGGATCTAGAACCAGAAATACCATTTGACCCAGCAATCCCATTACTGGGTATATACCCCCCCAAAAATATAAATCATTCTATTATAAAGATACATGCACACATATGTTTACTGCAGCACTATTCACAATAGTGAAGACATGGAATCAACCCAAATGCCCATCAATGATAGACCAGATAAAGAAAATGTACATATACACCATGGAATACTATATAGCCATAAAAAGGAACAGGATCATGTCCTTTAGATGGACATGGAGGTAGCTGGAAGCCATCATCCTCAGCAAACTAACACAGGAACAAAAAACCAAACACTGCATGTTCTACTTATAAGTGGGAGCTGAACAATGAGAACACATGGACTCAGGGAGGAGATCAACACACACTGGGGCCTGTCGGGGGGTTGCCGGAGGAGGGAGAGCATCAGGATAAATAGCTAATGCATTCAGGCCTTAATATTTAGGTGATGGGGCCAGGTGCGGTGCCTCACACCTATAATCCCAGCACTTTGGGAGGCCGAGGCGGGCAGATCACGAGGTCTGGAGTTCAAGACCATCCTGGCCAACATGGTGAAACCTGTCTCTACTAAAAATACGAAAAATGAGCCGGGCGTGGTGGCACGCACCTGTAGTCCCAGCAACTCGGGAGGCTGAGGCAGGAGAGTTGCTTGAACTATGGAGGCGGAGGGTTGCAGTGAGCCGATATTGCGCCACTGCACTCCAGCCTGGTGACAGAGCGAGACTCCGTTAAAAAAAAAAAAATATATATATATATATATACACACACACACATATATATATAGGTGATGGGTTGATAGGTGCAGCAAACCATCATGGCACACGTTTACCTATGTAACAGACCTGCACATCCTGCACGTGTACCCATGAACTTAAAAATAAAAATAACTTAAAAAAAAAGAATTTTAACTTCCAATCTTTTAGAATTAGAGGAGAGAATAAAAGCAGAGTATGGGATTTAATTCATGTACTGGCCTTGCAGGGAGCTGCTGTTAATAGTCTAGAAAGTTAGAGAGTCAGAAAGAAAGTGGGAAGGGCATCCAAAAATTTTTAACTAGCCCTGCAAATGTCAATATAAGTCAGTTTGTTTCCCCACCCCCAAGTAGCTGACTAAACACAGAGACAGCTCCTTTTGTAGCTGAGGAAGACTCAGTAGCCCACTAACAAAGGCTCAGGCTCAGTGTATTTGTTGTATTTAAACTGGCCCCCCACCCCACAATGCAACTTAATCCATGGGAAATCAAAGATGGTTCTTTTTAGGATTGAATTCTAGTTTTCACAACAAAATGATACAATACCCATATACACAAGAAACATTCTCCCAGTAATTGTTAGAAGACTGATGTGTAAAGCCTTTTAAAGTATACATGCACATCAGATCAGTTCCCTGGTATAGAGGGGACCTTTGAGGATTCACAATTTTGTAATTATAATGTAAAAACAAAAGAAAAAAAAAAACTCCAAATGGAAATGAAGTATAAAATTTAATCCTCAAATATAAGAAGCTATTTTTTTTTCTAAAAAGCGAATTGTTCTCAATTTGGCTTATAACAAAACAGATAATTTATCTCACTTTTCTATTAGTATTGGTTACTGTAATGTAGTACAAGCTTAACTTTGGTAGTGTATCTTCTAAATCAGATACAAATTTACGTAAGAATAGTGTGTTGACTCATCCAATCAAAACATAATGAACAATCCTCAATATGAACATTCTTTTTCAACTAAATGAATTAAAAACTTAGAAGATTTTCTGCCTATTTTTTATTAACTAATTTGTACTATGATATGCATGTGTATAATGTCCTCAATGCCATTCTGCCTGATATGCTACAGAGAATCCTCAGAACATTTTGGTTATTAAATACATTGAAATAATTACCAATTAAAGGGAATAATTAAGTAGTATTAGAAAAGGAATTGCAATACAACTTTTAAAATAAGAAATTTTTGCAATTTTGAGAATCATGCTGTTACTATACAAGCAGTTTCAGTAGAACATAAAATTATTATTTCAGTTTATTTGGCTTACTTGGTTTATCAGGTTCACTTTACCAGGCAATTTGACCTTGTAAAAGTCAACCTGGGAAAGATTCTGGTTTCTCAAATACCGCTCGCTGGCTTTCAGAGAGAGACAAAGAAAGTGAGGTGAGAGGAAGTTCAAATCCCACTTTTAGGAGAAAGGACAAAAAGCCAAAATGTTCCAGGAAATATTTCAGGGTCTTTACCTTTTTTCAATTTACTTCTATATTTAAGCTATCAGCCCACAGGAACTGAGGAGCACAGAATGAAAGAAAGAGCAGGTATTTCAGCTATTTTTGGTAGACTATGCTTTGTTATACTGGGGGAGCACTAACTTTTGGAAACACCTTCTATATGACACATAATGCATTACCCTTATATCTACTCTGTTTAGTCTCCCCCCGCCCACCCCGAGACCCGAGACAGGGTCTCACTCTGTTGCCCAAGCTAGAGTGCAGCAACACAGTGATAGCTCACTGCAGCCTTGATCCCCTTGGTTCAAGTGATCCTCCTACCTCAGCCTCCTGAATAACTAGGAATAATGGTGCGCATCACCATACCTGGCTAACTTTTTTATTTTCCGTAGAGACCGGGTCTCTCTATGTCACTCAGGCTGGTCTCAAACTCTTGGCCTCAAGTGATCCTCCCACCCTGGACTACCAAAGCACTAGGATTACAGGTGTGAGCCACTACATTTGGCCTTGTACAGTCTTAAGTCCATGATACAGTTGAAAAACAAAAAATAAAGAAAACTCAGAAAGTTAAGTAATTTGCCTAAGTTTAGACAGGTGATAGATGGATTGGGATCTGGGAAACTCAGGAATGTCTTATTCCAAGTTCCAAGTATGTCCTTTCACCTATTTTAATCTGCTTCTATTCATGGGCAATAGACATTTTAGAAACCTTTGAAACAAAATTTGAAACAGACAAGAAAGGGCAACAGAGCACTTAAAGGAAAAGTGGTAGTGTAGAAAAGACACACAGCACTTTAACCTTGTTCCCAATTTTGTCTCTAGCCTTGAAGTTGTATTAAAACATCCTTGGGACAAGGATCTAACACAGGATTGGAGCAGACGAAAGAAATAAAAGTTAATTCTTGCTAAAACTATGAAGATTAATAAAACATTAAACTTTTATATAATCTTCCCATATTTACAGAGTAGGAAAAAGTCTTTATTGAACTATTTATGTCCTAAGTTAGAAATGATTTAAAATATAAAATATTAATACAACAGAAAGGCAGAGATTTAAAACAGGAGCAAAAGAAGATAGAGGTAACAATTATAATGGAATGGCGGCAAATTTGACAGATTTTGAAAACCTAATATCAGAAACAATTACAGCAATTTAGAAATATACTAAATCATTACAAACTCACTTATGAAGAACTTTCGTAAACATCTGCCAAACAATGAGCAAAACCACTACGGCAACATCTGTTGAGTGACCTAAACATATCATACAATACTTTCATTGTTAAAGGGCAAAACAAACTCTAACACTGACTACTAAGGCAGAAAGACAAGCTGGAGTTTTAAATAGAAACTAGGTAACTGAAATTTAAGAGCAGAACTGATAGATGATGCCAAGTGGACTACACCGAAAACTTTCTCTTGCCTACACAGCATGTATCAATAGAACATAAATAACATTTACAAAGTTACTGACTGAAAAAACTAATGATAAGCATTACCTTGTCCACATCAAAATAATATAAAAGACAGTTTATTTCTACCAAATTAACTTTTTTCAAATAAAATTTAGATTATATGACCTTCCTATTCAGAGGCACTAAATTTGTTTAAAAAAGCAATTCCTGGTTAAAATAAGTTATTAGTCTTCATATATTTAGGTTGGTGCAAAAGTAATTGCAGGTTTTGCCACTGAAAGTAATCGCAGGTTTTGCCATTGAAAGTAATGGCAAAAACCGCAATTACTTTTGCACCAACCTAATATTTATGATTGTTAAGTTCTTCAAAGCAGTTACTGGCTTTCCCAATAATTCTATGAAATAGGGGTTTATATTAAATGTACAAAAATATTGGGATAGTAGCTGGTTGTAAGAAAAAGGTGTGTAAGAAAAAAGTGTAAAAATCATATTTTGGTAAGAGGTCCCCAACCGCTAACATGTAAGGTATCAACTCCTTTCTTTACTCCTATTAAAAAATATACCATTCTATGCTTTCCCTGCCCATCACTGAACTTTTCCCAGAAAGAGATCAGAAGAATAAGAGGCAAGAAAATATACCTGCCTTGGCCTTTTATTAGGTTTGTGGAGTATAATTTTATTAGTTTGCAATGGCTTTGGAAATGCCTGTCATGTTAAAGCAACTACTGTTTGAGAAAGAGAAACACTATAAAAATATGGGTGTGGGCACTGGGAAGGGAGTGAGAGAAGGAAAGACAAATATGAACTACAAGTGGGGTAGAAAAATAGGTTTTTACATTCTTCTGATGCATTGGGATAGGTTTCAACAAATCACTGACAAGCAGAAGGTTAAAAAAAGTCCTTAAGAAGGAAAAACAAAAGGCAGAGTTCTGAAGAGAAGAAAATTGATGAAACATTACCTATAGACTCCAGTAACAGCAGGTCACAGAACTGTGGTGACGTCTTATAATTCTTTATCGAATAATTACATACATTAACATTCTGAGTGCGGAGATTTTCTCACCTTTAGCAAAAAAAGTCTTTCGCCTTTTTTGTTCTATGTTTTTACAGTGTTAGTTCCCGCCCTTTGATCCCTCCCTCCCTTCTCCCTCTCTCATTTTCTCCCTCCTTTTCTTCCTTCCACCCTTCCTTCCTTCCTTCCAAGAGCTCCAAGTTTAGACGTGATCAATATAGCTTCTGTTTTCCAAGGTTATCTTTCCATCTTCTCTCTCTGCTATCTGAACAATCTCACCTTGGGCAGCATTACAGCATTGTATTATACTTAACTAAAAGCAGGGCTGTGGAGTCGGAGAGATCTAGATTTGAATCCCAGTCTGGCTGTGAGACTTTGAACAAACTACTCAACCTCTCTGAACCCCAGCATTATCATCTGTGCACTGGTATATAATCATCTAGATCACATATTATACAGATATAGGTATTATATATATAAAAATCCTTATAGCAACTTTCCTCCATTTACAGATTATAGTACTCAAAGATTAGTGTCCACTGACTAACTCAATACTCAATGTAGGAAGGCCGTGCTCCATGGAGCACCTCTAGGGGCAAAAACCGACTAGCAGGCAATCACAACATAGTATGTTATGTGCTTTAACTGGAGAAAGGCCTGGGCACTATGGGGAGGAGGAAGGGATGAACACACTTTCAAGTTGGCAGAGAAAATATAAAGTATCATAACTTCCCATCTGATCTCCGAGTCCAAAATCAATTTAGGTACAAAAGGGTAGGTAAGGAATTGGGTATTTCATTTCATCAATTAGATGAGAGATATAAAGTTATCTCAAAAAAAGTTGGGAGATCGTTATTAACCTAACAGAGAAGTTTGACAATCATGGGCTTGACAGCACTGAATCCTCTTTACAAAACCACACAGAAGTCCATAGTTACAGTTAGGGGTAGTGAGATCCCAGGAATAGCATGCAAGGTCATAGGGAATAGAAAGAGGAGGGGATCCCACCAATGTTTTCTTTTTTTACCCATCCTATAACTTCTCTCAGATCTTTACCCCATTCCTGATCTCAAGTTCAGAATTAGTCCCTGTCCCTTGAGGTACTCACAAAATCCCTATGAAATCCAAAAAAAAGGGATACATATGTAGGCAGATGTTGGAGGGGGTGGAGGGAATCACTGAATTCCATATTTAGATAACAAGAAACAGAAAGCTCAGGTATCCAGATCTGCTGGAGCTATCTGGTAAGTGACGAAATGGGGCCAAGTCACCGCAGGGATCAGCAGACCCTGTGCTCACCAGCTTTTGGACACTGGGCAATAGGAACTAGTCAAACCAATGGCCCATCCAATGGAAAAGCCTTATCAAAATTTGTTAGGACAAAACAATTACTCTTCTTTTCAAAAAGCCTGTAAGTAGTAATAGTATGCTGTGCTTCAAGAAGGGAACAGATGATTCAACAGAAGTTTACAAATCACTTAAACATATGATCCAGGGTTTCTCCAAGAATTTTTTTCCTGACTCTTTCCTGCCTATGCACATGTTACCCATTCTTGTGTGGTCCTGCTCAAGTCAAACTGCCTAGCTTACCAGGTACTTTGAGCCCACACTAACATTTTTCTTCATCAAATTCTGTATTTCTTTCTCATGTTTAAGTTAGCATTTTATATATAATTGATTTTATTTAAATTCCTCCTTTAGACTGTAAGTTGCCTCTCCGTAGGCAGTCTGTGATAATACCTTATATAGTACTTTAGGATCAGGCATAATTGCACAAAACAAGCACCTTAAAAAACTTAAGGTGAATTTTTAAAAAAGCATCTTTGAAAATTTAAGGGAAGAAATAAGGATAGAAAATCAGGATGTTATTAAGTTTATGAGGAATGAGGAAAAAAGTTATGAATGTTTTAATCTAACACAGCAAAGTATAGATAAGTCATGGAAGGAAATTATGGTCAACATGAAAACGCTGAGTCATTACTGAGAGAATTTCAAGAAAAGGTTAAAAAGAACATTGCAGCCGGGCGCAGTGGCTCACACCTGTAATCCCAGCACTTTGGGAGGGCGAGGCGGGTGGATCACAAGGTCAGGAGTTCAAGACCAGCCTGGCCAAGATGGTGAAACCCCATCTCTACTAAAAATCCAAAAACTTAGCTGGGCGTTGTGGTGGGCGCCTGTAATCCCAGCCACTCAGGAGGCTGAGGCAGAGAATTGCTTGAACCCGGGAGGCGGAGGTTGCAGTGAGCCGAGATTGCGCCACTGCACTCCAGCCTGGGCGACAGAGCGAGACTCGTCTCAAAAAAAAAAAAAAAAAAAGAACATTGCAAAGTCAAATTCTTAAACACTGCTAGTGTCTTCTGAGACTTTACTCAGAAATGCTAATTAAAGGTTTTACTTTTAAGCAAACTGAAGGAACCATAACTACTAAGAACTAAAAAAGTATAGCAAAGTCACAGCCATAAGCACCCAGTACCATCATCAACAGCACAACCAATGCAGTTATTAGTGATCTGTTCAAGTATCACATTGATCACTTAAAAACTCACCTTTATCACAAACCTGGCAAATCAAGTTGGATAATACCCAAGGCTGGCAAAATAAGTGAAATGTGGATCTGAAGAGCACACATGTATATCAACCATTAGAACAGATACATCACAGCAATAATGATTAAAAAGTAAATTTTTAAAGTGAATTCTTTTCATTCAAAGTGAAAGGAACAATTCCCTCACCTCCAACATATACAGCAGAATAAGAAACTCTAATCCTACTCTATAGTAAGTTGATAGCTTCTGACCAAAAAGGGTTAGAAAATATGTAAGTACCTTATGATTGCCAAAAAAGAACCAAGTCTATAAGAACAGTAATTCATAATTATAAAGCTATCCTTCCTGGAAAGCTTTTCAATACTGTATACAAAATATCCCTCCCTTACAAAAATTGTCATGCCGGAATCTTAGCATAACTGGTAAAAAAAAAAAACTATATGAATTGGTTAGCTAGGTGTGCTTCTCCCCAGCACCCACTCAGGCTTTCATCCCTACTCACTCTTCAACAATTACAATTACCTTGATTTATTCCAAACAGGTATGGGTTGGATGAGTCTAGTTTAAAAATCAACCTACAACTCACAATTCTTTTTGGTTGTATGGTTTATATAAAGACAGTTAATTTCTGCCTCATTTCTAAAGAGAGAAAGGAGGCAATGCAAACCACAAGCAAATTTTTCCTCTTCCATGTGTGTTTAAAAAGACAAACCACTAACAGCAGCAAATGTTGCACCATATGTTAAGATATTTTCTTCTGTAAATGAAAGGTACGATATTGCACTATTTCTACTCTGTCATTTAAGAATGATGTTGCAACAGAACTCACATTCTAAGTTAACTTTTTCTATTCTCACCAACACAGAATTAATCATCTAATTTTGAGCTAAGAGGAAAATTAAAGACTATATTTGGGAAATACATGTCTATTTTAAGTCTCATTTTGGAAAAAAAGATAAGGCACAGTATTTAAGAAACATTTTCTAGCTAACTTTTTTTTTTTTAGCTAACTTAATTTTCCTATCTTTTTAAAAGTATTATTTTTCTGAATAGGTAAGACATATATGTGGTTCAAAATTAAAGATATAAAAAGTATACAGTGAGAGGTTTCATTTTCATTCCTGTTTCCATTCACCCTGTTCCCTCTATAGGTAACTGATTTTATTAATCCTTCCCGTTTTTCTTTGTGCAAATACAAGAAAATATGATTATACATTCTTCCTTCTTTTCTTACATACAAGATACTGTACAATAAACACTACTTTGTGCTTTGCTATTTTCATTTAATTGTCTGTCCTGAGGAGTTTTCTATCATTAGCATTCTCATTTTTTTAAATAGCTGCAAAGTATTTCACTGTATGAAAAAACCAGTTTATTCAATTAGTCCTTTACTGCTGAACCATTGAGTTCTTTCTCATCTGTAGAAATAACAAGTGATGCTGCAATGAATAACCTTGTACCTATGTTATTTCACCTTTGTGTAGGCCCTAAACTACCTCTCCAGCTTCATCCAGTGCTATTTCTCCCCTGTTCCCATTATGCTCTGGCCTCACTGACCGTCAACATATGCTGTTTCTTCTAATTAAAATCTCCTTCCATCACATACCTTTACCTTACTCCTCTCTCTTTCTATCTCGGCCCCAATATCACTGCCTCAGGGAAGCCTTCCATGATACCCCAGCCCCTCCCCCGCAACACACACACCTGGCCAAGTCCTCTGTATACACACATGACATTTCTATTTTCCCTTCATCACACTTACCACAGCTTGTATTTACGTAATTGTTTGGTTAATGCCTATCTGTCTTACTTGACTATAAGCTCTATGAGTGTAAGACCATTATACCTCTATCACCTAACTCAGTGACTGGCATATAAAAAGCAATCCACAAGATCTGGCATGGCAGCTCACGCCTATAATCCTAGCTCTTTGGGAGGCTGAGGCAGAAGGACTGCTTGAGGCCAGGAGTTTGAAAACAGCCTGGGCAACATAGTGAAACTCTGTCTCTACAAAAAAATTAAAAAATTATCCAGGCCTAGCAGCACATGCCTGTCATCCCATCTACTCTAAAGCCTGAGGTGGGAGGAGTGCTTGAGCCTGGGAGGTAGAGGCTGCAGTGAGCCATGATCACACCACTATACTCTAGCCTGGATGACAGAACAACACCCTATCTCAAAAAAAAAAAAAAAAAAAAAAAAAAAGGCCAAGTGCAGTGGCATGTACCAGTAGTCTCAGTTACTTGGAAGGCTGAGGTAGGAGGATCATTTATGGCCAGGAGTTCAAGACTACAGTAAGCTATGACTGCACCACTGCACTCCAGCCTGGGCAACACAGTGAGACCCTGTCTCAAATAACTAAATAAATACAAATAAAAAGACCACTCCATCAATATTTGCTGAATAAAGGAATAAAATGTGAAAGGTGCTAATTATGCATCAGTCTGTGTTACTGTTTTACCTATATTTGTTTTACCTTTTAAATATCTCCTGAAGCCTTCAGTTCACTCCATTTCCACTATCACTATTGTAATCCAACTTCCTACCATTTCTTGTCTAAGCCACTATACTTACTCTTAGGCCCTACTAAGATCTATCCTCCATATTTTAGACCTATCATTTGCTAAGAATTATTTCAAGGGCTTCCCACTGATATTAAACTTTTCCCTAATATGGCCTATCAGGGCTACATAGTCTGGCCACCACTTACCTATCCAGCTGTCTCCCTATGCTCTGGTCAAACTGGCTCTAGTTACATTCATTCTTTCACCATACCACACCCTCTCCTGCCACAAGGCAGTTGCACATGCTGGTATTTCTTCCTGGAATACTCTCTGGTTCTCAGTTTCTCACTTTCTCAACATTAAGTGATGTTAGTGTTCGGCATCACTCCCTCATGAAGGCCTTCCCCAACCACTCTTAAGTGACCATGTACCTTCCCTTGAGAGCACCAGTCACAGCCAAAATTAAGTCTGGAATTAAAGTTGCATGAATAAGAGAATGACTCACAGAATCCAAATGTATGTAATAATATTTGGCACAGTGTTGAAAGGCAGGTTCTTTTGTGTCCAGCACTATGAACTCCCTGGTTGCTTGTTATGCTTACAGACATCAATCCATAAATGCTTATTTTAAAATTTAGAACCAGGTAGTTCTTTCACCTATATAACTTAATCTCACTTTCCCTAGGAGCACACACCAAGAAGTACTACTGTTTTTGCTTTAGAAGTAAAGGTGACATTAAGTCACTGGCATGAATATTTTTAAAGTACTCAAGAAGAAATAGGGGTTCTTTTTCTTTTGACAATGGGAAAAGAGATTTCAAGAATGTATCTATCTCCTTGTGCACATTAGGTATTAACATGCTCCTTAAACTTTGGCAACAAGTATCTATTTTTTAAATTCTGAGGTTTATATTTTTTCCTCTCAAAGAGAAGTTTTAGTAAGCAAAGAATACTTCTGCCCTCAAAGCTTTTCCAAACCTTTAGTGTATTTTTACAAAAAAGTACTAGGCTTTGAGCATTTTTTTCTTTCTTTTTTTTTTTTTTTGAGACAGAGTCTCGCTCTGTCATCTAGGCTGGAGTGTAGTGGCGCGATCTCGGCTCACTGCAACCTCCGCCTCCCAGGTTCAAATGATTCTCCTGCCTCAGCCTTGGGAGTAGCTGGAATTATGGGCACGCTAGGCTAATTTTTGTATTTTTAGTAGAGACGAGGTTTCACCATGTTGGCCAGGCTGGTTTCAAACTCCTGACCTCAAGTGATCCGTCCACCTCGGCCTCCCAAAGTGCTAGGATTACAGGCGTCTTAAATAATATATTAGAAAAGAAATCCTAATATACAGGAATGTTACTGTATTGTGATTATATATGAAACACTGTGAGTGAAAACAACAGTTTTCATATCAATCTAAGATTAGGAATGACTATAAATTTTAAGAAATTTTTTTAAATTAAGTAGCTATATAAATCAAATATGTGTCCAGGATAGATCCCAAGTCTGGTTCATCTTCTTCTGCCTCCTCTGTCATCCTTTAAGTCACTAAAATATAACATAATAATGAAACAAACCTGCATTTAATAGTTATAGCTAATTTGACATTACCTTAGAGTAGGAGTGTATTTTACACTTCTTAAAATAAGAATAAAACCCTTGCTTTTTATATTTATACCCCAAACTGCTTTGTTGAATCTTCTGATACATTCAGATCCCACTCCCAATATATTCATTGCCCTTGAGATTTATCATTCCCAAGTTAAATTAGTCACCTTAAAGAAAAAATTAACCTTCAACTATTTTTTCACATCTTTATACTTCCAAGCCACATAAAAAGCTATCTAAAAAAAAAACATGAGTTGCTTACATTGATCTGCATATTTTTCTTTAACTTTTTGCCTCCTCTTTCTATGCAAACAGAAAACATTGCAGAAAACAGAAGCATTTCTGAGAGACTATGCTTTGGCCTCATGAAAGCAAAGAGTGAGGTAATCAGGATTCTGCCTTTTATCCTCTCCGAGTTGACTTTCATTCACTTCCTTCTCCTTCCAATCCCTGTAGTGCGCCTCTAATTCTGGGAAGAAGGCAAACATGCACTTGCTGAATGAGTACTATATACCTGCACCATTGCTAGGCTTTATGAGGGCTGTAAAAGAAAGCATGGTATCTACTCTCACAAAGTCTACAAAGCACCAGAAATGTCTATTATTCTTTCTCTTTACTAAACTAGCCTATGTTTTGTTTTGAACTCTGAAAGAAACAATAACAGGTAAACAAACTGCCTTAAGTCACAAAATAGCTCAAGTTACATTATTTAAAGGTCTCAAAAAGAAGAAATACTGATGAAAGGAGAAATATCAGAAGACAAATGAGCTATGTCTTTACTGCTACACAACTCAATGTGGTTTAGTAAACAAAGAAGAGAATATCAGAGATGAATAAGGATTGTTTAGGTTAAAGGCAAACACAACTAAATCACGGGGTGAAGAGACAGAAAATACGAACTATAACTAGTAGAACAACACATGTTTTTCATTAAGGGTAAATGACAAATACCCTTAGGTGCATTTATCACACATATATGCAGAAATGTGAGTATTTTACATACCTTACCTCTTTCTTTTGCCATACGGAAGAAAGGCTAGACTAAGTACATATAAACACATCAATTTTATAGCTAAGAACCTAACTCCTGATCTGTCTCAAAATTTTAAAAAAGTTCTAAGAGGGAACAAAGAAAAACACTAAATGCTAAAGCTTATTACTATAGTCACACGGCTGGCTTTTAGTCCCATACTCAAGGACTACTTGCTTTTACTTTATGCCCTATTCTCGTTGTTTGGTTATCTGGCTTCTCATTTTAGAAGAGAAGTGTTATGAAAAGATATTCCAAAAGTCATGACATGAGAACCAAAAGAAAGCCAAAAAGAGAGACAGAGAGAGAGAAAAGCTGCAAAAACAGGTGTATATACTGCAGTACTCTTTAGGACATTATCAAATTACAGAACAGCACATTCATTGATGTTTCATTTCTTCCTGTTAAGAAATAGGATGACTAGCAGGATGTGGTGGCATGCGCCTGTAGTCCCAGCTGCTTGGGAGGCTGAGGTGGGAAAACTGCTTGAGTCCAGAAGTTCAAATCTAACCTGGGCCACATAGTGAGAGCCAGTATCTTTAAAAAAAAGCAGAGGATGGTGAGTGGTTGGGGGGAAGAAATAGGAAAAGTATACTATGTTTTCTTCAAATTAAAGTGTTGGGCCTGGTGCAGTGGCTCATGCCTGTAATCCCAGCACTTTGGGAGGCCAAGGTGGGTGGATCACCTGAGCTCAGGAGTTCAAGACCAGCCTGGCCAACATGGTGAAACCTGTTTCTACTAGAAAAAAAAAAAATTAACTGGGCATGATGGCACGCACCTGTAATTCCAGCTACAGAGAGGCTGAGGCAAGAGAACTGCTTGAACCCAGGTGGTGGAGGTTGCAGTAAGCAGAGATTACATCACTGCACTCCAGCCTGGGCAACATAGCGAGACTCCTTCTCAAACAAAAACAAGAAACAAACAAACGAACAAACAAATTAAAGTGCTAAGTAGATTACCTGGCAACCACACATAAAAGAGATGTTGAGGTACAAATTCACCTAGTTTAACAAAAGAACAAAAAACCTAGACTTGAGGCATTTCAAATTACCAAGAAAGCAAACAGGGATGACAGTTCCTAGGCTAAAAACCTGCTTTTCCTTCCTTTTTAAAGCTATTAAAAGAAACAAAAAAGAGTAAACGTTGCTCAACAACAACAAAAAAACAAAGAAAAGTTCTCTCATGGATCTCTGTCTTCTTCTAAATGACAATTACTACTTAAAAGAACAGTCCGACAATACTTATCGTTTTGAAGAGTTAAATAAAAAATATACAAAGACCAAAGTTTCTTTATAGATTTTACTTTAGACATAGCTGATTACTCAGTTCAAATTCAAACTTAACCTTGATGACAACTGTGGAAAGCCAAAACAAAGAATATCTATGCTATCTGCTGCAGTCTGAATGTTTGTGTCCCTGCCAAATTCAAATGCTGAAATCTTCACCCTCAATGTGATGGTATTAGAAGGTACTAATCACCTTTGGGAGGTACAGTCCTCATAAATGGGATTAGTGCCCTCATGATAAAGGAATGGGAGGGACCCCTCCCTGTTCCACCACGTGAGGATATAGCAAGGAGCCATCTACGAGTCAGAAGGTGGGCCCTCACCAGACACTGGTACCTTCATTGTGAACTTCCCAGCCTCTAGAACTGAAAGAAATAATTCTCTCTTGTTTATAAGCTACTCAGTTTATGGTATTTTGTTACAGCAGCCCAAAAAGACGAAGACATCATCTAAGAACATAAAATCCTTGAGAATAGAAGCAATTTTCTATTTTTATTTAATAGTACTAATAACATTATTCTTAAAGCAATGACTTCCAAGCCTTTATATCTGAAGCCCTGACCCTGTTCATCCAAACTCTAAACACACATCATCAAATTCCTACCAATTGTTTCCACTTGAGTATTCTGTCATCATCTCAAACTAAACACTGGATCAAACAGAAAAAATTCCCAATCCTTTACCCTTACCCCGTTCAGGCCACACCAGCTTCCCATTTTAGTTTTCCGACCCCTGTCGTGCAGCCTTAAAATCACCATATTCCTTCCTTCATGCTGCTATTGCAAAGACCCTAGTTCAGGCTCTTAATCATTTCATTTGGCTATAAAAGATCCCTAATTAGTACATGTGCTTCTATTTTCTTTCTTCCCTTAAGAAAGAAAGAGACTTTCTAAATGACTTTTTCCTGCTACTCTCAACTTTAAAAATTCTTCAATATTTACAAGATAAAATCAGAAGTAACATTCATCTGATTGACATTTAAAATTTATAGAGACGACCTGGCTCTATAAATGAAAAGTGTCTCCTTCCCTCCCTCTGTAAACGAAAGTGTCTCCTTCTTCCCTCCCTGCTCAGTGTACACATTCCAAGGCCACAATTCAAAGTCTGTATGTGGTCAAGGCTTAGTATAATCTGGCTTCCAATTACCATTTGATTCACTCTTCCTTTAAATCACATGAACCTTATGTTTCACTATGTTAGTCTACTTTTCTATCAAACACGTATATTCTTCTAGCATACCTCTTTTAGTATTATTGTGTAGTGATGATAGGGTGGAATGCCAAAAATATTTTTATATTTAAAATGTACAATGTCTATTATCTAAATATTGATATATTCACATCCATTATATATATGACTAAATATATATGACTAAAATATGTATATATGACTAAAATATATAGTGTATGTATAGTATACATACACTATATATTAGTATATATATAGTATACATACACTATATATTAGTATATATATAGTATATATAGTATATATAGTATATATATAGTATATAGTATATATAGTATATATATAGTATATAGTATAGTATATAATATATAGTATATATAGTATATAGTATAGTATATAATATATAGTATATATAGTATAGTATATATAGTATATATTAGTGTATATATACTATATATAGTGCATATATATATTATATAGTATATATTAGTGTATATATACTATATATAGTGCATATATATACTATATAGTATATATATGTATATATAGTATATATATATTTATGTGTATATATATTTATATATACACATAAATATACACACACACACAAAAATAGGTGTATATATATATATATATATATATATATATATATATATGACTAAAATGAATGCAATCTTATGTGCTCAGCTAATGAATACCAGAAGGCTGCACTGGGCTCTGTCTGAATGATGCCAGGCAATTTTTCTAACAACTCTGCTGAGGTTTCCTTTATTGCCACTATAATGTTTTCTGGTGAGTAATTTTCACCCATAGCAGCTTAAAAACAAGTCAGTGAAAGTGCTGGACTAGGTGGATCCCAAAGAAATATATTATTTTATAGGTTTTATAGTAGCCATGAGAGTTTCTAAGGAAATGTTAAAGAAAACAATAAGATACTGACAGTTATAGTTTACTAAAATGCCCTTTGATGTTATGGAGGAGAATATAAACATGACTGTTTCCTGAGAGAACTGAAAAACAATTTTAAGAGGGTACCTGGAAGAGAGTACAGTTGAAGACCTGTCATGACTTCACAGGATGTGAAATGCACAGAAAAAACTACCAACGTGCAATGGTGAGACCCATCTGTTCAGGACTGCACTACACCTATTCCGTACCATGCTCACTCATTTCCCATTTCCAGAACTGCAATCCTGCATACAAAGCTGAATATGCAAGTAATAGAGATATGTCAAACATGAGAAACCATCCTTTTACTTAAACCAAAACACAGGAGCCTATTAGTATATGAATCCACTTCCTGCTGAAACCTACAGCTGGTCCAGTTCAGCCCTCGTTGCTCTAGTCCTTAGATGTGTTCACATATGAAAAAAATGTGGAAAATGGATCTCTTGGCTTCCTTCTCCTAGGTTATGCTAACTGCAGCCCTAAGCTGGACCTTTTAGCTATTTTTCACTTATCAATTGCTGAGAAGAATGCCATAGTTCTTTTCCTGAAATCTGTACCTATCATTAATAGAAAAGCTTCAAAATATTCAGAGCATAATCTATCATTATTTCAATTTTTAAAGCACTTGCTATCAACGCCAATCCAAAGATCAATGGCTGTCCATCAAATACTTTTTGCCATGTGTTATATGTGAAAGACTGGGACGGTGGCATTGATAACTTTTATCAAAGAAAGGTAAATATATTTTGTATGCTTCTAAAAACTCAAACACTGATTACAAATGGAATTCCTTCTTGCAATTGTCATACAAGAGAGTTAACAGAAACAGAAAAACTGACTATCTCTCTTTAGGGTGACTTCAAAGTCCACAGAAAGACCTTAGAAGGTAAAGAATTTACCTTATTTTCTTCTAGAAATTTCAATTTGACAGAAACATCATTGCGCATTTTATCATATTTTTCCTTATGTGCTTGGAAGAGATGCTGTGACTGCTCAATCTTTGGCAGAGTGTTTGCGTCACGTGGTCCAAGATTCAGTTCTTCCAAATCAGTGCGATATGCATCATATTCAATCCTGGAAAGAAGAGAGTAAGTGAAGCATACTACAAGAACAGTAAAGTATGTTCAAAAAATGGGTTGGAAATACGTAATATTCAGTCTCATACTATACAATAAAATATATAAAATTCTCACACATATTCTACTTGACGCTTTTGAAATCATTATTTCTTTAAAAACAAAGAGCTATTTAAATAAGAACAAAGCTGCTGGTTAATCTCATTAACTATTTCTCTCAAAGCACAGTATTAACTGACAAGTAAAATTTCCAAAATCTAAAAACCAGTTAAAAAAAATAAATGTCAAAACAAGATCAAGGGTAGAATAAATACCCCAAGTGAATTGCTTAGTACTGATTAGGCAAAGCAGGTAAGGACAGCAGACTCTAGAATGGCATACTAAAACTAACGGAAGTGTAAATGGTTCTGAAAAAAGTCTGGGTTAGCAATGCACAACAAAAATGTAATGTGAGTAACACATGTAATTTAAAATTTTCTAGTAGTTACAATGAAATAATAATTAATTTCACCTGTTATCAATATATTTCATTTTACCCAATATATCTAAAATATTAATCATTGTGGCATGTAATCAATGTAACAGAATTATTCATAGGTACTTTACATTTGGAGAGTGGGTAGTGAGTCTTTGAAATCCACTGTGTATTTTACACTTCTATCCCATCTCAATTCAGACTAGCCACATTTCAAGTGCTCACCAGACATGTGTGGCTACTATACTTGACAACACAACTCTAGATGAATTTCTGTAACATCAGTATTCAGAATGTAACAACAGTATCTATTGTAGAGCACTTACCATCCTGTGTTCTGTAAGATGCCTCACTCTGATATTCTCCCCCCATCAACTCAAATAGTTACCCCACCACTGTCATCACTCCAAGATCCCATAACTCCTCATAATAGCTCTATCACAGTGCCTGTCTAAGTATAGTACTATCTTGCTTATTAAACAGTGATTTATCCAGCAGCTTCAACTATTCGGTACTCAGCAAAGAAGAAGCAAAGTGACCTCTAATTTAGTCAAGATCAGAATCACAAAGCTTATACCCTAAAACTAAAGCTCTTTATTTGGAGATATTAGGTGTATAATTCACATCTCCTATTCTGGGAATTAACAATACTTTAAATAACATAATCTATATTGTATATATGACTTGAGAAAGAATACATCAGTCCTTCACACTGATCCTAATTTATTCTTAACTCATACTGAATTTAGCAGTATGAGTTAAGATTTAATTTAATTGGCCTCTTTCAGGGTCAAAAGAGAACCATTCATTCATTCACTGATACACTGATTCATTCAACAATTCTCAAGTGAGCACTTTCCACGTTCCAGGCACTGTGTTAGAAAGTAGAGCTATAAAGATGAACAGATATGTTTATCCTCAAGAAGCTCGCATTCTAGAGGAAGAGAACCTTGTAAACAATTACAACAAAATGAGATAATAAGAACTACCATAAATGAGGGTAAGGTATAATGGAAATCAAGAGGAATAATTATTTAATTAGATATCTGAAAAGGTATCTCAGACAGAATTAAAATACTATAATTAAAATTTGAAGGATGGTAAAAGCTGGCTAGGTGAATTGGGATACAGAAATCAGTAGGATACTCTGATTCTGAAGAGAATAGCATGGACAAAGGCATAGATTTGTAAGATACAATGACACATTTGGGAATTCGGTATGTCAGAATCTGAAGCTGGAACATGACAATGGAAGGAATTAACATTAGACAGGCAGGCAGGATTGAAAGTAAGCAGCCCTACAGGCCATGTTAAAGTGTTTAAATTTAATCCAGTAGGAGAAGTAATGGGAAGCCACTGAAGAATGTTGATCTGACATAAAAATGACATGATTGTATCAGGATAGAAAGATGACCCTGGTGGTAGTGTAAGAGATGGAGGATAGAATAAATGATTAAAAAATCAGGAGCAAGGAAACCTATTAGAAAACGATGGACATATAAGAAATGAGTCACTGAATCAGGACAAAGGCATTGGAGCTAAGGAGACAAATACAAAAGATTTAGGAGGCAAGACTGACTTGGCAATAATAACTAGTTAGTTAAATCCATGGGTTCAGGAGCCAAGCTGAATGACCTCTCTGCCTTTTGGCTCTATTCTTGAGCTGGTTATTTCATCTCTTTGTGCTCCAGTTTTTCAATCTATAAATGTGAACAAAAATCTCCACAAAAACTTCATATAGATAAAACACACAGGATACCTGGTAATAACTGATACCTTTAGAATGCTTATTATTATGGCCAAATTAGAAGAGGGGTATCTAGAAGCAAGCACACTAAAAACAATAGGAAATAAAAGAGAAAAAAGTAGAACTAAATAAATAGTAATACATGGTGATTTAATCTAAGGACAAATATCCTTCAATAGCCTTGGAGCGCATTTCTAAACAACAGTGATTAACTCAAACATATTCAAAGTTATAATACTGACCTTATATTTCTTAATTTTACATTCAGAGTTTGTAGGTGGTACCAAAGTAAAACTTTCCATAATAGCTTCTCTAACAGTGCTCATTACCACCAAGAAGAGAAGCTCACTAAGTTTTCAAAAAGCAACTTCACTTCAAGGTTGCCCGTCTGAACTGAGTCCGTATCAACAAAGTTAGTGACGGTTACTTTATGGCTTATGTAAAACTTCTAGAGAACAGGTGTCCACATCTGAAAAGTCTCGACCACAATTGACTCCCTTGTTGGTGCTGCTGTGGAGAAGTGTTGAATGGGCTGTTACAAGATTTTCTATACATGAAGCACCAGAGGGCTAGGAAATACTTGTACACAATGCATAATAGGGAGGATTAAAAGGCCACTCGGGCATTTGCCTAAATTACCACTTTTTGCACTGATCAAATAGATGACCCTTGCCCTAAAAGTCAGTAAATTCTGGCTTTGACAGAGAAGGAAATTCAGCTACTGAAAAACTTTTAACCTTGGATTCTTTTTGACTATTATCCATCAGTAGGCAAGGTTTTAGTGTTAACAACTAGCCAATTCCACAGCTATTTCATAAACAACAGAAAAGTCAAACCCCAAGCTAAGCTTAATGAATAAGATCATACATTGTAATTTGAATAAAAAAGGATAAATTACGGGATGACATAAAACAAAAACAACATTACTGTTGTTGTTTTTTAAAGTACACACAGAGGCTGTGTAAGGGTTTCCCTTAAGAAACCAGCCACCAAGTACATGTAACTTGATTTATAATTTTGTTCAAAAGTTCCAAATGAACCTATATACTGTATTTTATAATCTGAGATCTTATACCACATTATACTTAGGGCACTAATACTCAGGTATAAGGCCTACTGATAAAATGTGAACCATAGAGAACCAATGGGTTCTTATTTTGCCTTTGAAATTGACTACAAGTGAGCAAACCATTTAACCTCTAGAGTGTTTTCTCCTCTACAAATTAATTATAAACTGTTTAGAAATAAAAGCTGAAGGGAAAGAGATTATTATTAACGAAAATATATTTCAGGATAGGTAGACAATTGCAAAGTAGAGAAACTAGATTCACAAAGTTCTCAACTAGGAGGTGGTGGGGGTATTTTTGGAAGAAAACAATATCCATCTTTAAAACCCATACATGTTAAAACAATCAGAAGGACTAGAAAATATGAATATTTAAAATGATTAGAGATAAAAGAAACAGTACCATTATGAACAAATTAGGACATTATGAACAAGGAACAGAAAAATTTAGAAAAGGATCAAGTAAAACTTATATAAATGAATTTTAAAATTCATATACATAATGAACCCTTTGAAAAATATAATTTCCATGAAAGGATTTACACTGAGACTGAAACACCAATTACTGAGAATGTTATTGAAGAGATTTCCACGGAAGGCTATCTTACTAACAGCTATCCTCACCCTTACCCCTCCATACAACCACAGCTGTTTGACCTTCATTTTCAAGTCAATAAGAATCTCATACTTTAATACTAAATGGAAAATGACAAAATAAACATGGTATGGGACAGAAGCATCTCTTCCTGTGAAAACATCAAAAATTAACTTTTCAAAATGATTTGGGCTTTTACTTAATTGAAGTGTAAGGAAATATATATTTAATAAGCACTCAATTGCAAAAATACTAGATGAGTTTGGAGTTTTTTACAGGTATTTCTCATACCATTAAACTAGGATAAGAGGCCAAAGAGTAAAGTTATCCTTCTAAAAGGTAAAGTTTATCTTCAACTATGCATAAAAAGTATAATGGAAAATAAGAATTTTGAGTGCTCAAAAGAAAAAAACCTCAAAAGGGACTAGAATGATACTTAAATAAAAGGGGTAGGGCATATGGGGAAAAAATTGGGCCTGGAATCAAAAGGTGAAAAAGGCTATTATAGGTCTGCCATATTTTAGACCCTTCAAAATATTTATTAATATATTTATTAATATATATTTTGTTCACCATTTAACAGGATAGTTATGAGACAGGGAAACTGTATATATACATATATATATGAATATGGATATACAAAAACCCATTAAAATAGGATGTATAAAAACACTGCATTATGAACAGTTATCAAAATACAAGTCAAATATTTAATTTATATAAAAGGTAAAATTTGAAAGGGTTTGAAGGCTTGTTATAATCTGGATAAATGGAAGATGACTGATATCCTAACAAACAAAAATCATGGAGGCAAAATGAGCTTATTTATTCAATAGAAACTGAAAGTATGGGTCTGGCTATTGTGGAAGCAGTGGTAATAAGGATGAAAGGTAAATTTAGGCGAGAGTATAGAGGACCATGTAATACCTACCTGGTAGAACATAGGGCCCTGTCCTCTTCTAAAGAAGCCAGAGCTGGGAGATCCTCCATTTCCCTACTCACTAGAAGGCAGGGTTTGGGCACATGACCAAGGCTCAATTAGATAATCTCAAGGCAATGAAGCAAGTATTCATGGGTATTTAGGAAATTATTTATGGTAGCTGTGGCAGCATCAAGTACTAGAGGCACCCAGCATAGGGGTTCTAATTAGATTCTTCTGAGGCTTAACTTGGCTTTGGTTCTTGGTTGTTTCCAGAATCTTGTTCTCTCCCTTTCTGCCAGGTCTGTAGAGGCATCCTATAACTTTCCAGTACATTTTTTTCCTGCCCATATTGGCCAGAGTTGGTTTCTGTTGTTTGTAACCAAAAAATTAACTGAATTATATGCCATCTGTAAAACAGACAACACAGTGAAAATGTATACCTTACCTGGCACTTTCATACTGTTTCACAGTCATTAATGTATCTTCAATGGTTTTATTCACCAAAGTGTTCACACTAGCAATGAAAAAATTAATGGCCCCAAGAAGAGTCTCTCCATTTTTAGCCAGCAGTTTCTGGGTATCGGCATTATAGCCAAATTCTTCCTAAAACAAAGAAGTCACCTTAATTTATTCAGTAATAAATCAGTAAAAGTGACTTAAAAATCTCAAGCACGTCACTAATGGGAAAATATGTGATTTAGATAGAGATCTAGCTGTAGCAGTTTTACTTTTCCTTTCCGTCTTTAAGAATCGAAATCACAGCTAGCCATATAATTACTGAAAAAGTCTAATAAACCAAAATTGTCATCAGCTCAGATACATACCTAAAAGCTAAATAATTTTTTTAAGTTACTTTGTAGTAGAAACAATATTTTCATTTCTACATTTTGTTTCTATTATACTATAAGCACAGCTGTTGGAAAGAAAAATAGAGCAGATTATTAATCAGAGAAACTATAACTTTCACAGCCAAATTAGGTAATAATTGGTTAAAACTTTCAGACATAAAACAAAGTGCATTTTTTTTGTGTTTTGACTGATTCTCCTCAAAGTATAAATATTAACAATACATATTTCTTTGTAAACTTGGTGACTAGCTGACTCCCAAGCTCAGCTCTATTTAGGCACACAACTGAGGAAGGATCACTCAACACCAGCTTTAGTTCATTCTTTTTGAATAAACTGCATCTTGGTGCAGTAAACATTACACATGACTCCTTCAGATATGGCAAGAACTAACTCTAGCTCTGTATATTCAGCAGTGAAAGCTTTCCAGTGCAAGTTTTACTAATTAACAGATTAATCAGGATGCACCTAACCAAATAAAAAACCGATCACATATTCTAAGATGTATCATTTAATTTGATAATTCTCCAGTTTGTTACAAAACACTTTTCAATTTCAGTTGAAACAAATAATGTAATATTAAATTAACTAAAATATTAGAAGATACAAATTTAATGCTATTGCAATAGCTGTAATTACGTTTCTTAGGTGACAAAGTATTCAATAATTCAGAAAATAGCAGGAAAGTAAAATTATCCTTATTATGCTAAAACCATTTTCCATTTAAGAGATGTCCATGTAACTCCACTCTGTACTCAGTCTTCAAAATATTATAGACCTTGATTTGTTGCAAATATTGGCAGATAAAGGACCACATAAAAAGATTACCAATCAATGCATGTAAAAACTAAAATGAAAAGCAGGACAGCTTAAGATTTTTGGCACCAAATTTCCACAAGCTAAGTTACACACTTCACTGAAGTCTACATAAATGTTACTGGAAATAGAATAATACAGAAAACAACATTTTTACAACTTTTAGAAAAAGTTAACAGAACATATTACAACAGTAACCCTTGATATTGATTAAGGAGTAAAAGGCAAAATAAAATATTAACAAACAGGAAGAAAAATATGAAAGATTTATATACATATGATAATTCATAAAAAGTAAAGTTAACAGAAGTCATATCACTTTAAGAGGGCCTTCTTAAAGTGATATGAAATATCTTAAAAGAGAATCTCAGAATTCCATCTTCATTAAGAGTTCAGCAAATCACAATAACAAATTACCTCTTAGAATACTTCTATTATCATTTTCTCCCATCCCTAATAGTTATTTAGAATAATCTTACATGAAGTTCTAGTGACTTCAAACTCAGGTCAGCAAATGCATCTCCAAGTTGCCTTTGGGTATGTACCATCTGGAAAAGCTGGGTCGACAATGTTTGAGCCAGTTTTAAAATATTTTCATATTTTTTCTTGTTATCCCTTAATATATCAATCTGAGCTTCAAGTTCAAGGTCCACAGTTCTTGAGCCACGGCCTAGCTTCTCAGAGATAATCTGTCGAGTACACTAAAAGTGGAAGATGCATTTTGTTTAGAAAGAAAAAACAAAACAAAATATAAATGCTAGAGCATATGGCATACACCATTTTTTGGATTCAAACAAGCTAGCGTAACAAACTGAAAATTGTCAGCTCCCTTACTTGATCAGGACTCAGAAAGTAAATTCACCAGATGTGTCTAATAATTATTACTAATCAAAGGAAGTTTTAAGACATATCTAGCAAACTTATATACTGCCATAAGAACTCTCTCACATAATTATTTTGCAAGTTTAGTACATTTGGGTAGATTATCTAAAACAGAGATATTTGGCATTAAGACTAATATAGACTGTTAATATAGGAATAATAAGAACACCAAAATACTACTCTCCTACTGCTTTCAAATGCTCTTTTACTTCTATCTTCCCCCTTAAATGACTTGTATATATATATGTGTGTATGAATGAGGAATAAAGAAAGAAGAAACAGGAAGGAAGGAATGAAAGCGGGGGGGAAGAGGAAGAGAGAGAAACTACTAAGTTACTTTTACTCACACAGTGTGGTATTATATGATGTTATGTTATTGTATTCTGCCCCAGAAATAATAATACAGAAACCTATAATTTTTTTTTTTTTTTGTCTGAGATGGAGTCTCTCTCTATTGCCCAGGCTGGATGAAGTGCAGTGGTCCAATCTCGGCTCACTGCAACCTCCACCTCCCAGGTTCAAGTGATTCTCATGTCTCGGCCTCCTAAGTAGCTGAGATTACAGGCGTGCGCCACCAAGCCCAGCTAATTTTTTGTATTTTTAGTAGAGATGGGGTTTTGCCATGTTGGCTAGGCTGGTCTCAAACTCCTGGGCTCAACTGATCAACCTGCCTTGGCCTCCCAAAGTGCTGGGATTACAGGCGTGAGCCGTTGTGCTCAGCCTAGAAACCTGTAATTTTTAAAAAGTATCTAATTTCAAAGCACATGGAAATAAGTTTCCTAGTATTAATGTTTTACTCTCAACTTCATTCGATAATACATTTTAAGAATAACTGGGGCATTAATATATACCTCATCATTAAATGTTATCAGAAATATTCTTAAAAAGTAGTAAATAAGTACTACAATTTTTTGTTTTGTTTTGTTTTGTTTGAGATGGAGTTTTGCTCCTGTTGCCCAGGCTGGAGTGCAATGGTGCAGCCTCAGCTCACCACAATCTCCACCTCCCGGGTTCAAGCGATTCTTCTGCCTCAGCCTCCCGAGTAGCTGGGATTAGAGGCATGCGACACCACACGTGGCTAATTTTGTATTTTTAATAGAGACGGGGTTTCTCCATGTTGGTCAGGCTGGTCTCGAACTCCTGACCTCAAGTGATCTGCCCGTCTTGGCCTCCCAAAGTGCTGGGATTACAGGCATAAGCCACCGCACCTGGCCAGTACTACAATTTTTAAAACTTGCTCTTTATCATGTTCTTCAAAGTTCTGGTTACAGAATTAATGTCTGTGGTAAAAATTAAAATAATGCATGAAATAAGAGGTGAATTTCCTCTTCCTTTAATCACACTGAATAGTAGAAAACTACTATTAACAGTCTGATAGGTATACTAGACTTTCCTTCAAACATATACAATCTCAGATATTTTTAGAGTAAACATGAGATTATGCTATATATAATATCCTGAATATTTCTTTTCTATGAACAAAATAATCTGAGACTTTTTCTTGTCAATATACACAAATCTGCTTATATATTTTTCTACTTCCCAACACATTTTCTATTCTCATCAACTAAGGAGCCTTATAAACTTTTTTTTTTTTTAACAAAAGAGTGTTATTTTTTAAAAGTAGAGAAATCCTTAATCACAAATAACAGGACGGGTGAGAGATCAAAACCACGGAAGGGGATAAAGTATTACTGTGGAAAACGTACAAACACTCCTAGAAAATGAAAATCACAAGAGAAACTTGAACTGAAGATGTGATTTTAACAAGAAAACCATCAGCAAGAAATAATGCCAGAAATTTTAACAAGATAAAGGAGATAGATACATCACTTATTCCCATATTTTTCTTCCACACCAGGGTTTTCCCTATGCAATATTATCAGAGACATTTACTCTATTCAAAAGCCAAAGCATGTGGTACTGTCACAACAGCCTAGATATAATAATCCATTAAGTCAGAATTCATTGAAGAAGGATTGTTTCTTAGCACAGTGAGAGAAATGTACTCACTGCTGTCTGAGTGGCCTTTTTTTCCCCCACAGAAATAACGGTTACAAGCAGGCATAGAGGTGAAGAATTAATGAGGAAATGTTTTTTGTTTCCAGGAAGCCAAAGCAGTGGGAAGAGTAAGATGATACTGATTATAAGGCAAATTAAGATAAACTGGACACTTGAAAGAAGTTGTAAAACTAGATTCACATATATTCCAATCTGATAAATCTACACTTTTCAGCAAAACCTAAAGAATCTGGAAATGAGAGTACTACAGATTTCCTACAGGAAGCTTTGTAAAGGAAGTTGTAGTGAGAAGATATAAAGTTGCCACCAATTTCCCAACTCATCAGGGTCCTAGAGGAAGTGTCTTAGATGATCTCTACAGTGGATTTTTATTTAAATTGCTTTCCAGTATATACTGAAATAAAATGTAATATTGGAGATCAGTATATATTATAAAGCAAGTTCAAAATGGAAGAGAATTAACAATCTAAATTATTTAACCTTCCTCAGAGTCCCTGAAAATGGAGATCACTTACAATGAGCTGGTGGTCCTATTCAGTTTTCCATATAAATGAAAAATTCATTTTGAAGAACAGGACAAATGATGCTAAATTCAAGAGGCAAAAGGAAGCTAAAGTAAATTACTGACCTATGTAGATTCTCTACTTGGGAAAGGGTGGGTGAAATACAGTGATAGTGTACAAAATACCATGAATCAGCATTATACTGGTTTATGAATTTATGCAACAGTCAACTGTGTACTCTGAGTATTTAAGTAGTGTATTAGTCCATTTTCATGCTGCTGATAAAGACATACCTGAGACTGGGAATAAAAATATGTTTAATTGGACTTAGAGTTCCACATGGCTGGGAGGCCTCAGAATCATAGCGGGAGGCAAAAGGCACTTCTTACATGGTGGTGGCAAGAGAAAATAAGAAAGAAGCAAAATCGGAAACCCCTGATAAACCTATCAGATCTTGTGAGACTGATTCACCATCACAAGAATAGCACAGACAAGACCGGCCCCCATGATTCAATTACCTCTCCCTGGGTCCCTCCCACAACACATGGCAATTCTGGGAGATACAACTCAAGTTGAGATTTGGGTGAGGACACAACCAAACCATATCATTCCACCCCTGGCCCCTTCAAATCTCATGTCCATACACTTCAAAACCAACCATGCCTTCCCAACAGTCCCCCAAAGTCTTAACTCATTTCAGCCAAAGTCTTAACCCAAAAGTCCACAGTCCAAAGTCTCATCTGAGATGCGTGTGAGTCTGTAAAAATCAAAAGCAAGCTAGTTACTTCCTAGATACAATGGGGGTACAGGTATTGGGTAAATATAGCCATTCCAAATGGGAGAAATTGGCCAAAACAAAGGGGTTATAGGGCCCATGTAGTCCAAAATCCATCAGGGCAGTCAAATTTTAAAGCTCCAAAATGATCTCCAGGTCTCACATCCAGGTCATGCTGATGCAGGAGGTGGGTTCCCATGGTCTTGGGCAGCTCCACCCCTGTGCCTTTTCAGGGTACAGCCTTCCTCCCAGCTGCTCTCATGGGCTGGCGTTGAATGTCTGAGGCTTTTCCACGTACACGGTGCAAGCTATCGGTGGATCTACCATTCAGGGGTCTGCAGGATGGTGGCCCTCTTCTCATAGCTCCACTAGGAGGTGCCCCAGTAGGGACTCTGTGTGGGGGGCTCTGATCGCACGATTCCCTTCTGTACTGCCCTAGCAGAGGTTCTCCATGAGGGCCCCACCCCTGTAGCAAACTTCTGCCTGGGCACCCAGGCATTTCCATATCTCTTCTGAAATCTAGGCAGAGGTTCCCAAACCTCAATTCCTGACTTCTGTGCACCCACAGGCTCAACATCATGTGAAAGCTGCCAAGGCTTGGGGCTTCCACCCTCTGAAGCCACAGCCCAAGCTCTACATTGGCCCCTTTCAGCCATGGCTGGAGCGGCTAGGACACAGGGCATTAAGTCCCTAGGCTGCATACAGCACAGGGACCCTGGGCCTGGCCCACAAAACCACATTTTCCTCCTGGGCCTCCAGGCCTGTGATGGAAGGGGCTGCCGTGAAGATTTCTGACATGGCCTGAAGACATTTTCCCCATCATCTTGGCAATTAACATTAGGATCCTTGCTACTTATGCAAATTTCTGCAGCTGGCCTGAATTTCTCCCCCAAAATGGGTTTTTCTTTTCTATCGCATAGTCAGGCTGCAAATTCTCCAAACTTTTATGCTCTGCTTCCCTTATAAAACTGAATGCCTTTAACAGTACCCAAGTCACCACTTGAATGCTTTGCTGCTTAGAAATTTCTTCTGCCAGATACCCTAAATCATCTCTCTCAGGTTCAAAGTTCCACAAATCTCTAGGGTAGGGGCAAAATGCCGCCAGTCTCTTTGCTAAAACATAACAGGAGTCACCTTTGCTCCAGTTCCCAATAAGTTATTCAGCCTGGATTTTATTGTCCATATCGCTATTAGCATTTTGGGCAGAGCCATTTAACAAATCTCTAGGAAGTTCCAAACATTCCCACATTTTCCTGTCTTCTTCTGAGCCCTTCAAACTGTTCCAATCTCTGCTTGTTACCCAGTTCCACAGTCGCTTCCACATTTTTGGGTATCTTTTCAGCAACAACCCATTCCTGGTACCAATTTACTGTATTAGTTGGTTTTCACACTGCTGATAAAGACAGACCCGAGACTGGGAATAAAAAGAGGTTTAACTGGACTTACAGTTCCACATGGCTGGGGAGGCCTCAGAATCATGGCAGGAGGCGAAAGGTACTTCTTATATGGTGGCAGCAAGAGAAAATGAGAAAGAAGCAAAAGCAGAAACCCCTGATAAACCCACCAGATCTTGTGAGACTTATTCACTATCACGAGAATAGCATGGGAAAGACCGGCTCCCATGATTCAATTACCTCCCCTTAGGTCCCTCCCACAACTCATGGGAATTCTAGGAGATACAACTGGAGTTGAGATTTGGATGGGGACACAGCCAAACCCTATCAAATAGCACCAAGAGCTCTTCTGTAGTGCCAAAAAAAAAAAAAAGAATAAAGATATTTAAGTACAAGCAAAAGAATAAACTTATGGCAACAATTGACAGATACAACAAGGATTATTAAGGTAAGGGATAGAGAAGGTAGCACAAAAGGAAAATGAACAGGGGAAGTAAGTCAACCAATAAATGAATGAGGCAACATGACAAGAAAAACAGGCATGAAAGTTTAAAAGATACTGGTTTAAAGACATCAAAGGTTAACTTGATAAGGGTGTGAATGCTAATGGCAAATTCTTAAACATTAAGAAAAAAGTTTGGGAAAGATGCCAAATAGCTCTGAATGCTGAAACTGAGAGATTATTCTTTTTTTTTTTTTTTTTTTTTTTATAAAAAAAGACAAACTTCAAAAAGCACTCTACTTTAGACTAGGAAAAAATAAAAATCAAAAACTTAAGTAAACCATAGTTTATTATTTCAACTATTTCTGTAGATGAAAATAAATAAGAAAATAGATTTTGGATTCAAATTTTGTGAATAAAATCAGGTAGATTAAAATAATATTTAAGAAGATAGGTTCAATGTCTAAACCTAAAATTGCTCCTATTATATATTTGCTTTGAATCACCATGTTGGTCTTGGGACCAAAATTAACAACCAATAAATGAAGCTAAATATTCCCTTTAAGGAAAAGCATTAAAGCATTTGTTACAGAATAGAAACCGAAGAAATTAAAGGTAGAAAGCATGAAAGAGAGAGGACCAAAGACATAGCCAGAATCAAGTTATTCAAGAGTAAAATGGGGCCGGGCTTGGTGGCTCAACACCTGTAAGTCCCTGCACTTTGGGAGGCTGAGGTGGGAGGACTGCTTGAACCCAGGAGTTCAAGACCACCCTGAGCAACATAGGGAGACTCGCTCTCCACAAAAAATAAGAAATTAGCCAGGAGTGGTGATGCCTGCCTGTATCCCAGCTGCTCAGGAGGCTGAGGTGAGAGGATCACTTGGGTCCAGGTGGTTATGGTTGCAGTGATCCATGATCATACAACTGCACTCAAGCCTGAGTGACAGAGTGAGACCTATCTACACAAACAAACAAACAAACAGTAAATGGATAACAAGCACAGTCCTGAATCAACCAAATCAGAATCAGTATTTGAAGCATTATCCAAATGATAGTGAATGCCCAACATTAGCTAAAATTTGAGCTGAGAAGCTCAAAAAGCAGTAAGAACACAGAGAGTCATGCAGACCCCATGAGGTCATTACACTATGAACTTTTTTTGGTTGAGTGGAATATGTCAGCCTGGACACACTGGACTATTAACTCCACAGAATCATGTAAGTCAGATACTTTCTTTTTCTTTTTTGACCTAGATTAAAATATCCAAGTTAAGTTCTAATGGAAAAAATTGTCATTTAAAAATAAGGTTTAAAGAAAATAATGCCTCCTTCACATAGTACTATACCATATGTATAACATTTTAAAGAGTTGTCATTTTCATTAACACAAATTTTTAATAGGCTAAATGTGGCATATCAATATGAGATAAATATGGAATCTTAATAGTGATTCAATTCAGATTATTGTAGAGATAAGAGATGCAAGAATAGCAGATAATAACACATAAACACATAGGAACAAATAGATAATGAACAATGAAAACATCAACTAAACAACATGAAAGGAAGACTCAAATGAACAAAAAGCTTAAACTTGCTCAGTCTAGTATGAAAGATGAACAAGTAAAATGAAAGGGAATTCCAAGGAGGAGGCAGATATAGTCTTATGAACAAAGTTACAGAAGTATGAGAAAGCACAGATTGTTTAGGAAGTTTCTGGGAAATTTGGTATGAATCACTTGATCCATAGATAGAAAAGAGGCAGAGACAGAGTGGGAAAGGTAGATAGAGGTCAGATTCATGCCACTCTAAAAACAGTGGGGATTGACTGAAGGATTTTAAGCAGGAGCGAACCCACGTTAGGCAGGGTCGAACATGTAGTCTTAGCGAATTGGTTAAGAAGCTGTTACAGTAATGTGAGAGAGTAATAAATATGAACTATGGCTGTGAAGGCTGGGATGGAGGAGAACGGGGAAAAGGTGAAAGAATATTAAGAAGGCAGAATGCATAGGACTTAACGACTGACTGGCTATGTGGAATCAGCAAGAAGATGCAATAGAAATCCGTGAATATTTTAGAAGAAGAGTTTAGTTTAAGCAAGCATCACTTTTTGAAGACTACCACTGGGATTTCTCAGATTCTACACTTTCATGAGCTAAATAATTTTTGGACAGATTCATGTAACATGTTTCAGGGAGGTTTTACCATCTTAAGAAAACCTATACTTTTGTAGAAGACTTCTACATCATATTTTTAAGGTATTAACTGAAAGAATAAATTCACTTCTGTTTTACTGTTGAGAAGATGTAAGAAAGGCCTGTTCTGTATAAAAATACAGACAATTCCTAATTTACCAATCACTAGACCCACAATCAGTTCACGAATATAGGGAGAATTGTGGCTAATGTTCTAACCTGAGCTGCTAGGGCTTTCATCCTAACTATTCCACGAATTCTACAGTCTTGTCCCTGTTAAAATTCAAAAGGTACTAAGTGGATTTGGGGGTTGAGCTGTTTGTAATACATCAAATACAATATGGGTTAAATAATTTGCTTATTTGTTTTATGGAGGGCATAAGAAAAATAATCACCAATTACTCTGAAGCAATGCAACTAAGAATGTTAACAAACTTTAGAAACACAACTAATTTGCAATCTGGTGTTGCCCATATAGTTAATGCTTAGTTATTATAGTAAAATCAGAGAATTTCAAACTTTGGAGAACTAATATACCTCTCTTCACCTTCAGCTCCTATAAAGTATCAAAAGGAGGGGAAGGAGCAAATATATCTATAGTAGCTCTACAGCTAAATAAATTCCAAAGCAGTACATGTCTTCAATTATGTACATTATCGGTTAATAAGCATTTTAATAGCTTTTTTACTCTTTTGTACTAAATTCTTAAATTACATGCAAAGATCAATGATAAAACAAATACTTCATTTTCAAACTGTATTTCTACCATGTTTAGATGGCATTTTCTCTTCTCTATGTGCATTTAATTGCAACATAATGACTTGAATAAACATATAAATGAACTTTTTTAGAGCCATTTAGGGTGGAAACATTAAATAATTACAAACCTTATAGGTGTTTAGACTCCATTTTCTAACAAGTTCTAACTTTTCCATTGCAGGATTTTTAATTTCATCTGCTAGAATAACTGGTCCACTTTTTGTCTGTGTTCTCTGGCCACCTGCAAGATAACAAAAGATAAAAACACAATCCAGATGAAGACAAGCAGGGAAAGAAAACAAAACCCTGATATTGTTCAAATTGAAATTCTTATGCATCTAAAAAAAGAAAAAAAGGTTCCCACAAAGTAAAGAACTAGAACTTCCTGGAATCGCTGAGGATAGTTTCCTAATTACTTAAACAACACTTCTGTCCATTAAACACAAATGCCATGTGACTTATCTGTCTTCTTTAAACAAACAAACAAACAAAAAAACTCTTGCTGCAATCAGCCTTATTTTCTATATAAGCTGCCGCTTACTTCAAGAAAAATAAAATTTCCACAACTAATTTTATACACTAATGACACTAAAAAAGAAGTATCTTGGTCGATAAAAATCTAAAAGGCCACGTATTCCCCACAGTGATCTTTCACTGTAATGTGCAGACTACAACAACAATAGAATGTTGCTATAATTTTGGAGAATTTGAAAAAAATAATTCAAATTTCATACAGTAGTTCAATTCAAATAGTCATTAAAGATATGCTATCACTAGTATGAAAGGCTGGGTTGAAACAAGATCTATATTGTACCTCTTTTTTCTCAAGAGACCACAAAAAAAAGGTAAGAAAACCAAAAAGAGCCATAATGAATAAAGAAGCAGTGTAAATTCCTGACAATGTACTCTTCCAACAATTAAGAATTTTTGATATGAAAGCAACTCTACAACTATATAGTTCTTAATAGTAAAATACTTTTCATAGTCAAAATATTTTTCATTTCAGTTTTTGGATGGAAACTTTCTAATAATTTAAAAAGAATAATGAAATAAGGAAAAGAAAAAATTAGGATCAGCCCCCAGTAAAAATCCCCAAAAATTTCTTCTCTCACTTATTCCTATAATCAGACCAATCTTTCCCATAGCTTTACCAGTCCGAGAACAAGAATGGTATATAAAATAGAACACATTTAAGAATTTACAAAATTCTCACAAAACAAAATATAAATGTTAACATTTCATATAAGAAGAAACGTGGAGTTCATTTTTTCTCCCATTTTTATAGTCCAGTAACGGTAAAGTGCAGAGCAAATTGAATGTAAAGATACTGATTTTCCCAAGTATTTTTCATTGGGTATAACTGGTAAATTAACAGTATTGTGTTGCAATCTGCAAACTATTTGTAAGTTAAAGCTAAAAGTAAGAAGACAAGACCTTTTTCATTTAATCCATTCTTAAAAACAACCAACCTAATTGTTGAAGGTTGTTTTTCCTTTAACTGAAAATAGAAGGCAGAGCTGCAAAGATGAGAGTTTAGGATCAAACAGTAAACCTACAATTTCCAGAGCAAAGAAAGAATGATTTAAAGCAAATCAAATTTTATAATGTTTTAATTTTAAAATGGATTAAGTTTCAGGTGTGAGATACAGCCGAATTATTCTGAAAAGCCACAAAGATAGGATACAGTTAGAAAAATTATTTCCTTTATTGTTAATAAGGCAGCCACCAAAAAAGTCAGAATCACACACACCTAAGAATATAAAGCAAGTGATTATGAAACTGAGTAAATTAGTGTAGCTTCAGCAGTAGCAATAAGTGCTTTATCCAATCAGTGCAGTGAATACCTGCAGGAACAATTAAATCACTTCCTTGCTGAGCCAGTCGACTAGCTGCAACCCTGCTAGGAGACATAACAGATGGCAGTGGCGGTGCTGGGGAACCTGAAAAGGTAGACATTTTAACTGTGAAAATCCTTTTCCTCCTCCACATACTGTACATTTTGAATATAGGGTTACTGATATTTCCTTTAAAATATTCAAACACTAGGATTAAAAGTTGGAATTAATATATTTGTTTTCTTTCAGGGAAGGACTAATAATAAATGTATGCTACCAGGCTCAGTTTTTATATAAACTTTTCATCAAACTATCAAAACTAAACAGAATATGTAACTATATAATGAAATCTGGTAGATGACATCTAACCAGGATTTTAACTGGACTCTACTATTTCCAAAATCAGTTAACAGAATGTGAATACAGTCCCATAGCTGGATGATTTAAAGCTTCAGTAAATATTTCATAACTTGCTACTCTCATATATAAAGGAAAAGCTCTTCAAGTAAAAATTCAAAGGCATGTAAGGGATATTAAAACATGCTCTCATATCTCTTATAAGAAATGTGAATGAACTACAGCCTTCACAGGAATTGTAGCCAAAAATTTCAAATCACAAATCAAATGTCACATAGTGTGTCTCATTGCTATTCATAATGTGGACATAGAGGACCTTCTTCAATTCACCTGGACGCTTGTTAGAAATGCAAAATCTCAGACCCTGCCCAGACCTACTGAACCCAAACCTACATTTTCATAAGATTTCCCCAGGTGATTTGTATGTACTTTGAAATTTGAGAAGTGCTGATGTAGAATATTTTTTGACATTATAAGAATCACTTTTGGAGCTTTTAAAACATACCTGCGATACTCAAAAAGATCTACTGATTATCAGTGAAACAGGCATCTATTCTTTTGCAAAAGCCACTCAAGATGATTCTCAAACACAACCAAGTTTGAGAACCAGAGGAAACAACACAATTTTTGAATGAAACACAACTAAGTTTTAAATTCTAACACTGAGTTTAAAATTCTGGCTCTATCTACCACATGATATCAGGAACACCCTGGCAAATTACTAAACATCTCTGAGCCTTAATTAGCTACAAAGTAAGAAACATTAACTACTGGCTGAGAGCGGCGGCTCATGCTTATAATCCCAGCACTTTGGGAGGCAGAGGCAGATGGATTGCTTGAGCTCAGGAGTTCAAGACCAGCCTGGGCAACATGGCAAAACACCATCTTGCTGGGCATGGTGGCACAAGCCTGTAGTCCCAGCTACTCAGAGGTTGAGGTAGACGGACTGCTTGAGCCCAGGAGGAGGAGGCCGCAGTCAGCCAAGATCGCACCACTGCACTCCAACCTGAGTGACAAAGCCAGACTCTGTCTCAATTAAAAAAAAAAAGAAAGAAAGAAAGAAACACTGACTACCCAACATTGTTGCTAATGTCTAGCATTAAACAAAAAAAGGGAGTAATAGGTTTCTAAAACTGAAAAAATATTAAAGTCCTTCCATGTTTAGCTGAGAATATTTTAATGTCTATAATGTACTTTTATTTCAATTACACTCTTCCCCAGTTCTCTGGAAAAAATACATGCATTAAGTACATAATTAAATTTCCTAATAAGAAAGACATGTCTACTTTCTTTACTATTAGTAATAACTGGTCATATTCCAGATGTACTAAATTCTGACATAGAAACTGTCACGAGTTCTAACAGTATAAAATATACCTTAACTTGAACTGGATCTCACATTAAAATTCAAACATGCAATAGACCTAAACTAAATAGATTGTTGTTAACTTTCAAAATGAGAGATATTTTTCTCTTTAAATCTGTTAAATTATAAAATTTAAAACCAGAAGGGATGATGGAAATCAACTAAACTGTCACATTAAACGGTAAGATTAATGAAGCCCAGAGAAGTTAAAATAGTTTCTTATTAGAGACTCAGATGTTCTGAACACCATAATATCTCCATTATTAAATTCAATATAGAAATCACTAATCTACAAGTTACTTGCTGAGTTGGAAGGCATTTTAATAGGTTATCCAGTTCAATCACCATTTTAAACAAAGACTGTATCTCTACCGTCCAAGGCATAAGGGATTCTAAAATAAAGTGTAAAATAAAAGAAGACCACTGTACTTCCATGTCTTGACCCCAGGAATAGGAGCTCTATTGTTCTAGTTATTACAGTTTCTTAATCTTGCATAAGAAATAAACCATAGCACTACATGGGATGTGTATAATATATATAACAAATGATATGTAAATTTTCAAAGTAAAATAGCAAATGATGTAGTGTGGCTGTAACTGGGACTTCAGCTTTTTTGATTTACCTTCAAAGGTAATTATCACTTTTCTGTATCTTTAATACTTTAACCCTTTAAACAACTGTTACCAAAATCATTCACCAATACCAACTAAAAAATAAATAATAATACAGGATCTCTCAATAATACAGGATCTTACTAACTGGCTAAATTTGGGGAATTAAATCTATTTCATCTCAACAACAAAAATCTAGAAAGATGAATACATATGTGCAAAGATTTATACCCCCATTAAAACAAAACCCTGGTACCAAGTACACTTCACTCTTGTGAGCTTTGATTTATTCATGATTTCCACTATTACTGATTCTGCAACATCTTTGGTGCTAGGCCGATTTCAATATTTGTTGTTTTTAAGCTGAATTTAAGTATAACTTTTTAATTTGCTCTAGATAGATGAAAAAGTAGATGGTTATACTCTTCTTGTTAACTGTTTAAGCAATAGTCATAATTTATCATTTAGTCATCTTTCCAGAGAGCTAACACAGCCCTAATTCCTTTAACATTTTTTCATAAGACCTATTTTCCAGATTGTAACCATTGTATGTTATTCTTTCTCATGTTCATTCCAATTTATCTACATATATCTTAAAACAATCACAACTTTCCAACAAATGCTTAACTAATTTAAGTATAGCAGCAGAATGATTATTTTCCTAATACACTGATCAACAATACAGTTTGGATTTTAAAATGTTTTACAAACTCAGTTCAGAGAGACATATATTACTGCCATTATCACGAAATATATTTTCTTATTCCAATTGGAAGGATTAGGATGTATCTATAAGCAAGTGAAACTGATGGGCATTTTAATGCTCATGTATATCAGTTCATGATGGCCAACTGATTTCAATTATTGTATAATACCATTATACAATAACTTTAAGGGGAAAAATGCCAGCTAAATAATTTCATTAAAAATATTTAAAAGATTGCTTTTACAAGTAATTGTTTCGAGACCCTCTCCCCTCTCCCCTCTCCCGTCTCACCTCTCTCCCTCTCCCCACGGTCTCCCTCTCCCTCTCTTTCCACGGTCTCCCTCTGATGCCGAGCAGAAGCTGGACTATACTGCTGCCATCTCGGCTCACTGCAACCTCCCTGCCTGATTCTCCTGCCTCAGCCTGCTGAGTGCCTGCGATTGCAGGCACGCACCGCCATGCCTGACTGGTTTTTGTGTTTTTTTGGTGGAGACGGGGTTTCGCTGTGTTGGCCGGGCTGGTCACCAGCTCCTAACCGCGAGTGATCCGCCAGCCTCAGCCTCCCGAGGTGCCGGGATTGCAGACGGAGTCTCGTTCGCTCAGTGCTCAATAGTGCCCAGGCTGGAGTGCAGTGGCGTGATCTCGGCTCGCTACAACCTCCACCTCCCAGCTGCCTGCCTTGGCCTCCCAAAGTGCCGAGATTGCAGCCTCTGCCCGGCCGCCACCCCGTCTGGGAAGTGAGGAGCGTCTCTGCCTGGCTGCCCATCGTCTGGGATGTGAGGAGCCCCTCTGCCTGGCTGCCCAGTCTGGAAAGTGAGGAGCGTCTCTGCCCGGCCGCCATCCCATCTAGGAAGTGAGGAGCGCCTCTTCCCGGCCGCCATCCATCTAGGAAGTGAGGAGCGTCTCTGCCCGGCCGCCCATCATCTGAGATGTGGGGAGTGCCTCTGCCCCGCCGCCCCGTCTGGGATGTGAAGAGCGCCTCTGCCTGGCCGCGACCCCATCTGGGAGGTGAGGAGCGTCTCTGCCCAGCAGCCCCGTCTGAGAAGTGAGGAGACCCTCCGCCCGGCAGCCGCCCCTTCTGAGAAGTGAGGAGCCCCTCCGCCTGGCAGCCACCCCGTCTGGGAAGTGAGGAGCGTCTCCGCCTGGCAGCCACCCCGTCCGGGAGGGAGGTGGGGGTCAGCCCCCACCAGGACAGCCGCCCCGTCCAGGAGAGAGGTGGGGGTCAGCCCCCGCCCGGCCAGCCGCCCCGTCCAGGAGGGAGGTGGGGGTCAGCCCCCGCGCGGCCAGCCGCCCCGTCCGGGAGGGAGGTGGGGGGGTCAGCCCCCGCCCGGCCAGCTGCCCCGTCCGGGAGGTGAGGGGCGCCTCTGCCCGGCCGCCCCTACTGGGAAGTGAGGAGCCCCTCTGCCCAGCCACCACCCCGTCTGGGAGGTGTACCCAACAGCTCACTGGGAACGGGCCATGATGACAATGGCGGTTTTGTGGAATAGAAAAGGGGGAAAGGTGGGGAAAAGATTGAGAAATTGGATGGTTGCTGTGTCTGTGTAGAAAGAAGTAGACATGGGAGACATTTCATTTTTTCTGTACTAAGAAAAATTCTTCTGCCTTGGGATCCTGTTGATCTATGACCTTACCCCCAACCCTGTGCTCTCTGAAACATGTGCTGTGTCCACTCAGGGTTAAATGGATTAAGGGCGGTGCAAGATGTGCTTTGTTAAACAGATGCTTGAAGGCAACATGCTCGTTAAGAGTCATCACCACTCCCTAATCTCAAGTACCCAGGGACACAAACACTGCGGAAGGCCGCAGGGTCCTCTGCCTAGGAAAACCAGAGACCTTTGTTCACTTGTTTATCTGCTGACCTTCCCTCCACTATTGTCCTATGACCCTGCCAAATCCCCCTCTGCGAGAAACACCCAAGAATGATCAATTAAAAAATATATATATTTAAAATATCTTAATAGTAAAATTAGTTTTTTATTCTATGTTGACATTTAAATTTTAGAATTGGTGATTAGTCAAAAAATGGTACCAAATTATGCAAAGTAAGCCTTACGTTTTTCAGCACTCTTAGTTTTAGGTACTCAGTCAGCCCTTCCAAATTCAAAATTATCCCTGATATAAGAATGCCATGATGCTTCAGAATGACTACTAAGACACTGACGTGATTGCTCCCTTTATTTTTCTAAACATAAGTATGAAAAGAGAAAAAAATGATGTCAGTAGACAGTCCATTCATTTCACAGCCTAAAGGAGAGGATATTATACTGGATTATCCTAAACGTCTATTTCCAGGACCCATATAGCAGAGAATATACTTCAAAATCTAAACTGTTCTTTAAATAAAGTATTGGCCAACTGTACAATAAAAAATACAGCATACGGCCAGGCACAGTGGCTCATGCCTGTAATCCCAGCACTTTGGGAGGCCCAGGCAGGAGGACTGCCTGAGCTCAGGAGTTGGAGACCAGCCTGGCCAACATAGTGAAACCCCGTCTCTACTAAAAATATAAAAATTAGCCCGGCATGGTGGCAGGCGCCTGTAATCCCAACTACTTGGGATGTCGAGGCAGGAGAATCACTTGAACTCGGGGGCAGAGGTTGCAGTGAGCCAAGATCATGCCACTGCACTCCAGCCTGGGCAACAGAGTGAGACTACATCTTTAAAAAAAAAAAATACAGAATACTAATATCTGCATGAGGGCTATGGTTTACAAAGGCATGGACATAATTGTTTCTTCATTTTGTAAAATGTAATGCAGCATTAAAATTAATATGTGCTTAATTGAACTGAACATAAACTGTAGCTACTACTTTACAGTACTGTCCAGAAAATCTATTTCCCACATCTAAATGTTTACACGGCTTTACTTTCACTCGAGTAAAAAAAAAAAAAAAAAAAAAAAGTTTAAAAAAGTTATCACAAGTAAAAGCATTAAGAAAGGAGCCAATATTTTTCTATTAAAAATAGACATAGATATGAGATGTGTGCAGAAAAGAGTTAACACAGCAGGTCTAACTGCTATCCTTAAAAAGGCTGGCATGCGGCAACTTGAATTTTGGGAGGATTTCCTCCATTGCCAGAATGATTACGAGTGCCTCACTGTGCTTAAGCTGTTTACCTGCAATGTGGCTTATGCTGCTTACCTGCTTTCCTTCTGGAAGTCTAGAATCTTGGTATGTAACAGATGGAGAAACCTATGTGATCAGCCCCCAGTAAAAATCCCAAGCATGGAGTTTCAAATGAGCTTCCCTAGTTAGCAAAATTTCACCTATGTTGTCAGTCTCACTGCTGGAGGAATTAAGCAATTCCTGTGTGATTAAGCTGGGAGAAGACTCTTGGAAGCTTATGCCTAGTTTTCCTCAGACTTAGCTTATGCACTTTTTGCCTTTACTGATCGTGCTTGCTACTCTCATTACAATAAATCATAGCCATGAGTGTCACTATGTAAGTCCTGTGAATTCTCCTAGCAAATTGCTGATTTGGTTAAAAGAATGCTTAAAGAATATTAATTTGGCAGACATGTAAGAACAGCTTGGAAGAGTCAGAAACTGAGGCAAGATCAATCATAAGATACCACTATATCTCAGGTATTCAACAGCTACAGTTTAGGATAGAGAGGTGGTCAAAAGTATGGAGAGAAGGGAGGAAATTTAGGAATAATTAAGAGTAATTAAAATACAAACTTTTAATGAGTGTGGTCTTGGAGACCTCCTATATAACGTAAAAAGTTCATTTTTCTATTTGCTTTGAAATAAGAAATATGTATTTATAAAAATCAACATTGATTTATAAATTTCATGGTTACAAGTTAAAATAATCTACATCTACATTTCTGACATAATTTTTGTTTTTATTTCAGTATTTTATAACCTATTCTTAAATAATAACCAGTGATATCATGTACATTGATCTGTTTATATAAAGGAGACTACTCAAATAATTCTATTACTTAAATTGAAGAGAAAAAGGAATACATTTATAATCAATGTTTTATCACAGAATGAAAGGGCTCCATTCTTGTGCTTTATTAATAAAGGTAGCATTTGGTGAACTTCTCCCATCCTCTATCCCAGCCATCTTTACAAATATATGGGCTCTTACCTTGAAATGCTCCTGCTTCAATAACACCCTCTTTGGTATTGTCAAAGCCATGAGATGTAATTTGGGTTTCTGAGAGACCAAGTCCAGATGGTAATGAATGCTTCAAATCCTTAGCAAGATTTAAATAAAAGAAAAAACTTTGTAAAAAAATCCCACATGACGTAACAGTTCAGAATAATTGTATCCTTTTAATCAAATCTTAGATTATTTTTCTCTCTGCTATGCGGTATTCCCTTATGCTATCATGGCATTCTATAATGATGTATAATCAGCAGCAAATACAGCAAGATTTGTATTAAGTGGTATTGTGTACATCACATACAATACACTTTCATCATTCTGGAATTAAGCAGCAGGCAGATATTAAAATTCAATGTAAAAATTTTAATCTTACTGATACATCAGAAAAATTATTTTAATGAGCAAAATTAAGATCATTCAATTTCCATGTCTAATATGTAAAAGCTGACTGACACCTAATATAATCACAATGAGCCTGGCTAATGCACAGTATAAACAAATCATTCACTTGCCATGTTAATTTCCCTTCCATTTCAAGAGGGCTTCTCTGACTTCAATCAGGGTGAGGTAAGCAAAAATTACTTAGATTTACATTGCACAATGATAATAGTTAACCTAACTGCAAATTAGCCTATAACAGAACCTTATTATAATAAAAATAATATTCAACACTGGGTCTTAAGAGCTTAAAAAGTATAAAAAGTCAAGAAGCACAATGTTCTTTAAAAGGCACAATCCTAGTTAAGTATATTCTAAGTTTTTTTTCCCAGAACTTTGTAAATTAAATCTCAGGGCTTAAGTAATGATTAGGCAAAAAGGCCAAGTAAAACTGTAAAATCACCAAGAAGTAAAGCTGAGGCTACAGTCTGCTGGCTTCAAGTGATGCAACAATTATGAATAATGTAGACTTAAATCTGGCCTATCCACATGACTAGAACTTCAGAGAAATCAAACTGAAATGAAGGCATTAAATCTACAATAAAATCACTTTTCTATTTACCTTTATTAAATTTTCATGGGAATTTCAGGGCTATGACAAGTTAAAAGTAAACACAGCTAGTAAGCTAAATTTTTAGACTGATCGTAGTTTAAGATAGCAGATTTTAGATCATAAATATATATAACTACTGTTATATATTTTTTCTAAACCATTACACCTTTTCTTGATGTACTGGTACAAGTATAGAGCCTATAGCAGGGGTCCAGGATATTTCTCCAAAGATAGTTATCCTTTTTTTTTTTTTAAACCTAGGACAAAACATACACATCTTAATCAGGTGAAGGCAATATGCAATCAAAGAGGAAAGTATACAACAATTTATAATGTAGTTAAGAATTCAGAAGAGGAAATGATCAGTGTGCATTCAATAGAAGAAAAAGTCTTAATGGAAGAGATGGATTCTAAGCTGCATCAGTGACCAACATGGATGATATGGAACGCTGGAGGGATGGAATAGGGTTAGGAAGGGTTCATCTTCAACCTAGTAGAAAAACTTTCAGGGAAGAGGGTGGGTAGCACTGGGCAGTCATTATCATATTATTGGGATAGCATGGAGGCCAGCAACTAGGCTACCATGGCCAACGTCGCTAAAGGTCTATGTTGAGAGATAGCGGTAAATGAATTAGAAAATTTTGAGTAACGGGTTTACTTGATTTGGTTAAAGCATTGCTTAAAGAATATTAATTTGGTAGACATGTAAGAACAGCTTGGAAGAGTTAGAAACTGAGGCAAGATTAATCATAAGATACCACCGTATCTCAAGTATTCAACAGCTAAAGTTTAGGATGGAGAGGTGACCAAAAGAACAGACAGAAGGGATGAAATTTAGAATAATTAAGAGTAATTAAAATACAAACTTTTAATGAAAATTCAAGGTATAGCCATACATTAAATATAACAATGAAGTGGTATAGCTAAGATAATATATACTACTGAAATAAGAAGCCCTTTCAGAAGTTAATTTCCATAATCATGAACCAAAATGCAAAGGGATTATTAAATCACTAGCCAAGAAGATTTAATCTTAAACAATTATATCTACTCTGCTACTGAAGTAAAAATATTGTAGGACAAGTTAAGTGACATGTTGTATAATATAACTTGAAAACACCCTATTTTGGAATGTTTGCTGAAGAAGTTTCCATCTGGATTCTAATGTTCTAAATGTACTCCTTAAATGTACTTGATGTTTTTCTTGACCAATGTATAAGCAACCCTTAATTACCTTTTTTTCCTTAAGTTTTTCACTGTTTTCAATGAGGAACTTACTAACTTATACAACGTCATAGAAATACAGTAAGGATAACTTGGTTCATCATCTCTATACTTCTGAGAAAAGGTATATGCTGCAAATGAAAATAGGTGGCTATAAAGAATAGAAACAAAACAGTTCCTAAAGATGAATAGAATCTTCTAGGTGCTAGGCCATGGAGTCATGCTTTTCTCTACTTTGCATCATCTTTGGAGGACTCTCTGGGACTATATTACGATTAGGTACCCAGGCCCAGAGCATGCTGAATCTCTATCACTAAACTTCTTTAGTTAACCATGAACATTTATTAGAATCTGTGATTTTAAATTAAGTACACAGGATTTAATATAATTTCCATTCTGAAAGGTCAAGTTTTACATTGCTTAAAACTATTCTTAGATATTTTTACTAAAGCATTTTAAAAACTGAAGTATAAAAAAGCCAATTTGGTTCAATTAAATTAAAAATAGTTTTTAAAATTCCCTCCAGATCCTAACACCTAAGAATGGAAAAGCAAACACCCATATACTTACCTTCTACTGTCTATTAACAACATTTGTAGGCTGTCTATGAAATCTAAAAATCTACCCTGTCATAAGTATCTTTGCTTAGTTTTAGCCATTTTAGTTTTATCCATTCAATCTTAAATCTCCAATTTTGCAGCTTG